>NC_000007.14:125631779-126256779 GCF_000001405.40 Homo sapiens | reverse complement strand
CTCACTAATTTTTGTTTTTAGTAGAGATGGGGTTTCGCAATGTTGGCCAGGCTGGTCTCAAGCTCCTGACTTCAGATGATCTGCCCGCCTCTGGCTCCCTTCACTATTTAAAGAATCATTGTCTTCCACATAGGCAGTGGCCACAGTAAATCTGAGATGGTTTAAGGCAAAATCCTTGAAAAAAACTGAAGCTAGGAAAGGCCCTTTTTATGAAGAAAACTTGACGTTATTGTTGAATGCATGTGCTTTCCAAAATCTAGAAAAGAGTTATTCCTGGTACCTGAGGTTAATTACCCTGGGTACAGCCAGGTGTTGATTCTCAAAGCAAAAGTCGAATTATCTAAAGGAAAGATAATTATGCATGATAAAGAGAAGATTTAAATTCAAGTTTTGTTACATAACTATCTGCATTAAATAAACTCAACGTGATCACTGCAGGACTGTTTTCTTACTTTATTTTCAAATTGTATTTTATTATTTCATTTCATTTACTATCTGATTAAAAATAGTACATAGTTATAGGATACATGTGATATTTTGATTCAACCATAAAATGTGTAATGATCAAATCAGGGTAACTGGGATCCATCACCTCAGACGTTTATCATTTCTTTGTGTTGAGCACACTTCAAATCTTCTCTTCTGGCTATTTTGAAATACGCAATAAATTATTAAAAACTATAGTCATCCTACTATGTTATCAAACATTAGAACTTATTTGATCTATCTAACTGTATTTTTGTTCCCATTAACTTGTGTCTCTTCATTCCCCCCACTTCTTTTATCCTTTCTAGCCTTTGTTAACCACCATAACATTCTCTGTCTTCAAAAGATTAGCTATTTAGCTCCCTAATATGAGTGAATATACACAATATTTATCTTTCTGAGCTTGGATTTTTTCATTAACGTATTGACCTCCAGTTCAATCCATATTGCTGTAAATGACATGATTTTATTCTTTTTATGGCTGAATAATATGTGTACATACCACATTTTCTTTTTTTTTTTTTTTTTTTTTTGGTGAAGAATGTTACCCAAATTTATTCACGTGCTTTATAATCGGTAGAGCTACCACATTTTCTTTATCCATTCATCCACTGATGGACACTTAGATTGTTTCCGTGTATTTGCTATTGTGAATAGTGCTGTGATAAACATGGGAGTGCAGATGTCTCAATATATCAATTTCCTTTCTTTTGGATATATACCCAATATTGGGATTGCTGTCTGTTTTTAGGCCAGTTAGTTATGATGTTGTTTTGGTTCCTGTTGGTTTGTACTATATTTTGAAGTCAGGTAGCATGATGCCTCCGGTTTTGTTCATTTTGCTCAGAATTTGCTTTGGCTATTTTTGGTCTTTTATGATTCCTTAAACACTTTAGGATTGTTTTTTTCTGCTTCTGTGAAGAATGCTAGTATTTTGAGAGAGATTCCATTGAATATATAGATTGCTTTGGGTAGTATGGACATTTTAACAATATTAATTCTTCCAATACATAAACATGGGACATCTTTCCATTTCTTGTATACCTTCTTCAATTTTTTTCATCATTTCATAGTTTTTCTTGGAGAGATTTTTTTTTTTTTTTTACTCCTTGGATTAGATTTATTTCTAGGTATTTTTGTAGTTGTAAATGGGATTGATTTATTTATTTTCTTCCTAATTGTTCATTGTTGGATATGCTACTGATTTTTGAATGTTGATTTACATCCTGCAACTTATCTGAGTTTTTAATCAGTTCTAACAGTTTTTTAATATAGTTTTTAGGGTTTTCTTAATATAATATCATATTGTCTGCTAACAGGGACAACTTGAATTTTTCATTTCCCATTTGGAAGCCCTTTATTTCTTTCTCTTCCCTAACTGCTCTTGCTAGGACTTCCAGTAATATGTTTTTAGAATTCTCTTTTTGTCTGTGACTTCGACAGCTTCACTGTAATGTGCCTTAGAGAGGAATTCTTGGGCTGGGATCTGTTTGGAGATCTTTTCATTTTCTGTATTTGGATGTTTACACTTTCCTAAGACTTGGGAAGTTTTTAGCTATTACTTTATTAAATTGGGGTTCTACGACTTTTAAGAAAATCTCTTCTCCTTATGGAAATCCCAAAAATCAATATCTATTCACTTAATTGTGTTCCATATGTCACATAGGTTTTCTTCATTCTTTTTTTAATCTATCTTTCTTTTTATCTGAATAGGTTATTTCAAATGACCTGTATTGAAATTCAGAAATCTTCTCTTCTTCTTGCTCCTGTTTATTGTTTACAATCTTGATGACGTATTTCTGTTTCAATCATTAAATCCTTCAGTTCTGGGGTTTCTATTTGGTTCTTTTTTTAGAGTATCTATCTCTATTAAATTTCTCTTTGATTATAAATTGTTTTCATGATTTATCTGTATTTTTTATTTGTGTGCTCTTGCATCTCACTGATTTTCCTTAATGTCTTCATTTTGAATTATTTTTCAGGCATTTCACAGATTTTCTTTTATTTGGAGTCTGTTACTGAAGAATTATTTTATTCCTTTGGAGGTGTCATGTTTCCTTGCTTTCTCATGTTTCTTATGTTTTCATTTACATCCATACATTTCTTGTAACCGTCACTTCTTTTAATTTTATTGAGTAGCTTCCATAAAGAAACAGATTTTTCCTGTAGATTTTTTTTTTCATAATGCCACTTGGATAAGATACTTTGGCTTTGGTTATTAGTGGGCACTGTAGTGTAGTTTCTGTATGATTTCTTTGGCTATAATCAATGTCAGTGGTGTCCGCATGTTCCTAATGGCTTAGGCTGTGCTTGTTTGTAGAGGCTGTAGTAAGGCTTTGCTGGGGACATGTTTCTCAAGAGAGCCAGGGAGCATGTTTCTCAAGACCCCTATATTGTGTATCCAGGCACTGGTGTTAGTAGTATGTCCTGGGCAGGCCAGTCTCTGCGAGCTGGACTGGGTGTGCATACACTGTGGTAGCAGTGGCAGACTGGACAGGCTAGTGCTCAGGTCCCTAGGTGGTGAATGTGGATCATGGAAGACCAGTTTTCAGGCACCCTGACATTGCACATGGGTGCCAGTGGTGTCAGTGGTAGGTTGAGCAGGCTAGTCCCAAGGCGCAGCCTAGGCACGTGGACACTGGTAGTGTTTGTTGTGGGGTACGTATTTTATTTGTTTTATTTTATGCATAATTATATCTGTGTCACCAACCGGAGTTGTCTAAAAAGAGGTTAAAGAAAAAAATAAGACAAGAAATTCATTAAATTAAATAAGTTAATATATAATTTTAAATAAAAGTGCCTACTCATAACAAGCATTAAACATAACTTAGTGAAATTGATTGGTTGTGACAAAAATGGGCCAAAGGGAGGAAAACGCATGGGTATTTGATAAATTTGGAGGCACATGACCCTCTAATAAGGGTGACTACCACTCAAGTATAGCCTATTGTTGCCAAGTGGGAATACATTTAAAAAAATACTTTGATTTTTCAAATCAGACTATAAATCACAATTTTATGTGAAATTATTCAATTTCTATTTTTATTTATTTTATTTTATTTATTTATTTTTTGAGACAAAGTCTCCCTCTGTCATCAAAGCTGGAGTGCAGTGGCCCCATCTCAGCTCACTGCAACCTCCACCTCCCAGGTTCAAGTGATTCTCATACCTCAGCCCTCTGAGTAGCTGGGATTACAGGCGTGTACCATCACACACTCAGCTAATTTTTGTATTTTTAGTAGAGATGGAGTTCACCATCTTGGCCATGCTGGTCTCAAACTCCTGGCCTCAAGTGATCCACCTCCCTCGGCCTCTCAAAGTGCTGGGATTACAGGTGTGAGCCACTGGGCCCGGCCAGAAATTATTCCATTTTTAAATGTTGATAATTACATAAACTAAAAAATACACACATGTAGATATACTGACTACCCCCTCAAAACACACATACACACATATGTGTACATATACACACACAAACAGGCACACACATACATCTTCACATATACACACATACCATCTGGAAAAATAGGGCTCCATTTCTGCTAGTTTGTGGCACCCTGAGTTGATGGTTCCCATACTTCCCTTGTATAAATGTTTGTTGAAATTAAGGCTGTGGTTGTTTGTAACACCACAGGTATCTCAGGGGTAAAATGATTGCAGTAGAGCTTCTTGAATCTCATGTTCTCTATTTTCCTTATTATGTTCCCAATGGCCTATTATTCTTTGTGATGGTGCTTGTTTTTTCAATATTTTCTCAGCATGGTCATACTGCAAAGTTACAAAATGTAACTTTTGGCACTATCTTTCCCTTGTTACTTTATGTTTCCTTGTTTGTTTATTTGTTTAAATTTATGAAAAAGTCATATTTTCTTTTGATTTTTAAAATGTATGGTTTTATGATTAGTTTAGAAAATAGTTTGATCTTGATGTTTTACAATTTTTAAATTCTTATAAACAGATATTGTTCAGTGCAGTTTTTATAGGCACATCTGGCTAATAAAAGAGAAGTCAATAAAATAGGATTTCTCTGGTTACCTCTTAGTGGGCAAAGTTTCTCTATCTTGCCTGCTAACCATTCTATATTCCACTAGAATTAGGAAGGCTACATGAGTCTTGGAGTCATGATGGCTAATCAAGAGAATCTAGTGGTAATTGGGTTTTTAAAAGAGGTAAGATAGGAAATATAGGCCTAGGATTCTCAAGTATGGACTCCAAGCTCATAATTTCAATCCAGAGAGGAAAAAGTTATACATTTTTATCACATCACATATCCACCTAAGGATATTAGTTGTTTAAGTCAACAAATATTTACTTAGTTTCTACACGGGGCCAGTGCTGTAGGTACTGGAGATAAAACAAGAAGAAAACATATAAACTCTCTCCCTTAAGAGAACTTTCATTTAAATCAAAAAGGACTGACAATAAATTCATAAACAAATTAGTTGTGCTATGTTAGGTGTTGATAAGTGCTATGAAGAAAGCTAAAATAATCTCAAGGTGATAAGGGAAAACTGAAGAGGAATGGGATTGCAATTTTATAGGGTGATTAAGAAAAGCACTTCTGCCAAGGTGATATTTAAGTGGAAACCTGTGGGAAGGAAGGGAGTGAGCCAGGCAGATATATAGAAAAATGTAGCAGGTAGAGGTCAGCTAGTGTAAATGGCCTGAAGCACTAAATGTTGTTGTATAATAGCAAGGAAGTCTATGTAGCTGGGGCCTGAATGAAGGAATTGGAAGGAAATTAGCTTAGAGAGGTAGCAAAGCATATTTAAACTTGTATAGCATTGGGAGCACTGATTTTATTTCTCTTGGTGAAACAGAAAGCCATTGAAGAACTTTGAGTAGAAGAGTTTTCAAAAAACAAATCTGACTGTTCTGTGAGGACTAAATGGAAGAGGAATCAAGATAGTGACTGTGATATTGGTATAGGTGGGATAAGAAATGGTGCTATAGAAACATTAAGTCAATGGATAATGACAGCTTGAATCAGAGTAATAATAGTGTAGATGTTATCAGAGTAATAATAGTGTAGGTGTTGGGAAGTGATCAAATTCATACACAACAACTCACCAATAAAATGTATTGAAGTATAACGTACAGGAACACACACAAATCAAAGTGAGCACACTCACGTAACCAGCATCTGTATAAAGAAATAATATACTGCTAGCACTGCAGAATTCCTCTTATGCACTCTTGCAGTCACAAGCTCCCCAGCACAGCATAAACCACCATCCTGAATTCTAACATCATAGATCAGTTTGCTGCTTTTAAAATTTTGTATGAATGGAAACTACATTATGTATTATTTTGTGAAGTTTATTTTGCTTGCCGTAGTTGTCTTATTTCCAATTTTAGGCTGTTGAAATACTGCTTATATGAACTTCTAAATGTGTTTGTGTATGCGTATGTGTTTTGACAAACATACATATTTTGGGAAATATATACCATAGGGTGGAATCACTGTATTGTAGGCTGTGTCTGTGTTCATGGATAATAGTGAGCACTTTTTCAGATGATGTTGCAGACTCTCCTCAGAAGCATATGAGAGTTCTAGTTGCTGAATATCCTTGCCACTGCTTTGTTATTTTCTTTTTTAACTTTTTTTTTTTTTGTCATTTTAGCCTTTCTGGTGGGTGTTTCATGGTATTTCATTGTGGATTTAGAGCACCTTTTCATTTGTTATATTTCAATATTATATTCGTTAAATGCTTGTATATTTTGTACATTTTTGGGTGGCGTTTGTCTGCATTTTTAATTGGTTTGTGCTATTCAGGATACAATTATTTTGCAATACATATGTATATCAAATAAATTTTCCTTCCAGTGGCTTCATGATTTGTTCTCTCAATGGAGGGAAGTTCTTAATATAATGTATCTCAATTATTAGGGATTCTATGTTTAGCATATTAAATATTTACCTATAGCAAAGTCATAAGGATTTTCGTTTTTTTCTTTTAAAAGTGAAGAGATGTTTGATTTTTCAATTTTTTATGTTTAAAATTAAAATATATAAGGTAAATAATAAATTAAGTTTCTTCATATAGACAATTTCTCAAGCACTGTTTATTAAAAAGATCATCCTTTTCTTATCATTTTATATGTTATATTTGTCAGGAATGTATGCAGATCTGTTCTGGGCTCTGTATTTCTCTGGCATATATGTCTATCCTTGGGAACAAATCAACAAAATGAAAGTTGGTTTTTGGAAAGGAAAAACAATGATAAACTACTACTTAGACTATCTAAGAAAAAAAAGAGGAAAAAAACCCAGATGAATAAAATCAGAAATGAAAAAGTAGACATACCAGAGAAACACAAAAAATCATGATAACCTATTATAAAAAACTATATGCTAACAAATTGGAAAACCTAGAGGAAACAAATAAACTCCTAAACACATACAACCTACCAAGAATAAACCAGGAAGAAATAGAAATCCTGAGCACACCAACACAAAGTAACATGACTGAAGCAGTAATAAGATGTCTCCCAACAAAGGAAAGCTCAGGAACAAATGGTTTTACTACTAAATTACACGAAACCTATAAAGAAAAACTAACATTATTTTTTCTCAAACTATTCTAAAAAATTGAAGAGACTATAAACCTTCCTAACTCATTCTATGAACCATTGTTATCCTGATACTAAAACTAGACATGGACACAACAAAAAAGAAAGCTACAGGCCAATATTCCTGATAAACCAAGTTGAAAACACCCTCAATAAAATACCAGAAAACTTAATTCAAGAACATATCAAGTCTGGGCACAGTGGCTCATGCCTGTAATCCCAGCACTTTGGGAGGCCAAGGCAGGCGGATCATGAGGTCTGGAGTTCGAGACCATCCTGGCTGACACGGTGAAACCCTGTCTCTACTAAAAATACAAAAATGAGCCAGGCATGGTGGCATGTGCCTGTAGTCCTAGCTACTTGGGAGGCTGAGGCAGGAGAATTGCTTGAACCCAGGAGGTGGAGGTTGCAGTGAGCCCAGATGTCGCCACTGCACTCCAGCCTGGTGACAAAGTGAGACTCCATCTAAAACAAACAAACAAACAAACAAACAACAAAAAAAAAAAACAAAAGATAACACACCACACCATGATCAAGTGGGACTTACTCCTGGGATGCAAGGATGGCTCAACATACACAAATCAATAACGACAATATATTGCATCAACAAGATGCAGGACAAAAATCATATGATCATCTCAATAGATGCAGAAAATGAATTGGATACAATTCAACCTCCCTTCCTGATAGAAACGCTCAACAAATTAGGCATAGAAAAAAAAACATACTTCAACATCATAAAAGATATATATGACAAACTAACAGATGACGTACTGAATGAGGTCTGAATGCCTTTTCTGTAAGAACTGCAACAAGACAAGAATGCCAACTTTCACTCCTGTTAGTCAACATAGTACTGGAAGTCCTACCCAGAGTAAATGAGCAAGCAAAAGAAATAAAAGAGGAAGTCAAATTGTCCCTTTTCATTGGTGACATGATCTCATATATAGAAAAATCTAAAGACTTCACCAAAAATCTCAGAACTATATACAAATCTTAGTAAAGTTTCAGGATTCAAAATCAGTATACAAAAACCTATAGTATTCCTATATGCTAATTTTAAAAACTAGCTGAAAAAGACATCAAAAAAGGAATCCCATTTACAATCAGTATAAGAAAATAAAACATGGGAATAAGTTAAGCAATAAGGTGACTGTCCTCTATAATGAAAGCTACAAAATACTGATTAAAGAATTTTAATGGCTGGTCTTGGTGGCTCACGCCTGTAATCCCAGCACTTTGGGAGGCCGAGGCGGGCGGATCACCAGGTCAGGAGATCGAGACCATCCTGGCTAACATGGTGAAACCCCATCTCTACTAAAAATACAAAAAATTAGCCAGGCGTGCTGGCAGGCACCTGTAGTCCCAGCTACTCGGGAGGCTGAGGCAGGAGAATGGCGTGAACCTGGGAGGCGGAGCTTGCAGGGAGCCGAGATCGTGCCACTGCACTCCAGCCTGGGTGACAGAGCGAGACTCTGTCTCAAAAAAACAAAAAATAAAAAAAATAAAAAATAAAAACAAAAGAATTTTAAGAGGACACAAAAAATGGAAAGACATGCCATACTTTTGGATTGGAAGAATTAATAATGTTAAAATATCCATAATACCAGGAAGAAATAGAAATCCTGAGCACACCAACACAAAGTAACATGAGTTAAGTTATTTACATATTTAATGCAATCCCTATTAAAATACCAATGGCACTCTTCATTTTCTTAGGAAGAAAACACCTTAAAATTCATGTGGAACTACAAAGGCCCAAGTCACCAAGGTACCTGAGGGAAAAGAACAAAGCCAGAGGTGTCACACCACCTGACTTGAAAATATGCTACAAAGCTATAGTAACTGAAACAATATGGTATTGCTATGAAAATAGACACATAGACCAATGAAGCAGAATAGAGTGCCAAGAAAGAAATCCATGTATTTAGAGCCAGCTGATATTGTCAAAAACACTAAGAACATACATTGCAGGAAGGACACCTTCTTTAACACATGGTTCTGGGAAAACCGATTAACTGTATGCAGAAGAATGAAGCTAAACCCCTATCTCATACCATATACAAATATCAACTTAAAGTTGACTAAAGACTAACACATAAGACTCAAAACTATAAAATTACTAGAAGAAAATAATATGGAAAACGCTTCAGCACATTAGTGTAGGAAAAGATATTATGGCTAAGGATTTAAAAGCAAAAACAACAAAAACAAAAATAGACAAATAAGGCTTAAACTAAAAGCTTCTGCACAGCAAAGAAAACAGTCTAGATAGTAAAGAGACAATCTATGAAATGTGAGAAAATATTTGCAAACTATTCATCCAACAAGGGACCAACATCCAGAATAGACAAAACACTCACACAACTCAACAGCAACAAAACAAATACTCACAAAACAAATGCTCCCACTAAAAAGTGGTCAAAGCATCCGAATAGCTATTTCTCAAAAGAAAACAGAGCCAGAAGATGTATGAAAAAAGGCCCAACATTACTAATAACCAAGGATATGCAAGTTAAAACCACAATAAGATCATATCATCTCGTCCCAGTTAGAATGCCTATTATCAAAAGACTAAAATAACAAATACTTGCAAGTCTGAAGAGAAAAGGGAACCCTCATACACGACTGGTGGTAATGTAAATTAGTCCAGCCATTATGGAAAACAAATAGAGTTTTGTTAAAAAATTGAAAGTAGAACTATCATGCAATCCAGCAACAACACTACTACATATTTATCCAAAGAAAAGGAAATTAGTATATCATTGGGAACCCTGCACCCGCATGTTTATTGCAGCACTATCCACAATAGCAGGAGATACAGTATCAACCTAAGTGTCCACCAATGGATGAATGGGTAAAGAAAATGTGGTATATATATACACAATGAAATGCTATTCAAAAGTTTGTAAAAATAATGAACTTCTGTAATTGAAGGCAACAAGGATGGAATTGGAGGTCTTTATGTTAAGTGAAATAAACCAAGCATAAAAAGATAAATATTACCTGTTCTCAGGCATATGTGGGAGCCACAGAAGTTGATCTCATTGAAGTAGAGAATAGAATGATTACCAGAAGCTGGAAATGGCTGGTGTGGGAGAAGGGAACATGAATAGAGATTGGTCAATGGGTGCAAATACAGTTAGAAAGAATATGTTTTAGTGTTTGATAGCATAGTAGAGTGACTATAGATACAAATCATTTATTGTATATTCAAAATAGCTAGAAGAGAAGACTGGAAATCTTCCCAACACAATCAAAAGACTAAAGTTTCAGGTGATAGATATCCTAAGTACCCCAGTTTGATCATTACACACTGTATGAACGTTTCAAAATATCACATGTACTCCAAAAATATATATTATTATTACATATCAATAAAAAATAAGGGAGAGCAATATCATCTTTACATTCCTGATATTAGCAATCTTGTTTTCTGTGTTTTTATTGATTTATTTCACTCATTTATTTTACTTATGGAGTGAATTGTTAATCTTTACAATTTACTAAATTTTGTATTAATTTCTCTACTATGTATTTATCACTATTTTATTTCTACTTTAAAAATTTTTTATTTATTAATTTTTTAGCTTTTTAAAATCGGAACAACTAATTAATTTTCGGTCTTACATTCCTGACAGTGTGTACGTAAGACCATACATTTTCCTCTGTAATGTGTTAGCTGTTTTGATATGCGTGTCTTCATTGTCATTCATTTCATAATGTCTTCTACATTCAGTGGTTGTTTTTGACCCTTGCACAATAGAGTTTATTGCTTAATTTTCAGGTAGTTATAGATTTTCTAAATGTACTTTTGTTAGGTATGTCTACCTTAATTCATTTGTTAATGGTCAGATAATATATTCTTTTTTTTTTTTTTTTTTTTGAGACGGAGTCTCGCTCTGTCGCCCAAGCTGGAGTGCAGTGGCGCTATCTCGGCTCACTGCAAGCTCCACCTCCTGGGTTCACGCCATTCTCCTGCCTCAGCCTCTCAAGTAGCTGGGACTACAGGTGCCCGCCACCATGCCTGGCTAATTTTTTTGTATTTTTAGTAGAGACGGGGTTTCACCGTGTTAGCCAGGATGGTCTCGATCTCCTGACCTTGTGATCTGCCCACCTCGGCCTCCCAACAGAATCGAGTGAATATTATTTAAGCTTTCTCTCTAAACTACAATATGAGCAATATTGGTAAATGTTCCATTTGCACCTGAAAACTATATGTAGTCTTTAATTTTTGAGTGCAGTGCTTTATGTATGTCAACTGTGTCACGTGTATTAGTTATTCATACCTACTTGATTAGCAGTATTGATAGTTTGTATATTTTTTTCTATCAGCTATTCAGAATAGTCTGCAGAAGTTTCCCACTATAATTGTATATCTATTTATTATTGTATTTCTTAAGAGTATGAAATTGAGTATACACATGTGTTATAGCTTCCACATGGACACATAGAGGAGAACAACCTATTGAAGGTTGGAGAATGGGATGAGGGAGAGGATCAGGAAAAATAACTAATGGGTACTAGGCTTAATACCTGGAAGATGAAATAACCTGTACAACAAACCCCCATTATACAAGTTTACCTATATAACAAACCTGCACATGTACCCATGAACTTAAAAGTAAAAAAAGATAAAATTGTTATAGCTTCCTAGAGAACTGTCATTTTATGTCTATAGTAATTTTTTGACCAAATCAATTTTCAAAATATTACAGGGCTGAATGTGGTGGTTCATGCCGGTAATCTCAGTTCTTTGGGATGCTGAGGGGAAAGGATCACTTAAGGACAGAAGTTTGAGACCAGCCTGGCCAATATGGCAAGAACCTGCCTCTACCAAAAAAACAAATATATATATATATATATAGCCAAGTAGAGGCAAGTGGCAAATGCCTTTCTTCTTGGCTACTTGGGAGGCTTAGGCAGGAGTGTCACTTGAGCCTAAGAGTTTGAGGCAGCAGTGAGCTATGATCAGGCCACTGCACTCCAGTCTGGGCAACAGTGTGAGATCCTGTCTCTTAGAAATAAAATTATATAGTAATATCAGTCTTCTTTTGGTTACATTTTGCATAACCTTTTCCTCTTCAAAATTTTTCATTCTTTTACTTTCAACATATCTGGCTCCATATATTTGAGTTGTTTTCCTTATAAGCAGTATAAGGATGAAACTTTCTATGTATTTTTTCTATCAGGTATTGAGATAGTTGATATTTTTTCTATCAGCTATTGAGCACTATTTTAGTGCTTCTCTTCAATCTTGTATTGGCAGTTCTATTAGTGTGATAGGCAAGAAAATAAAACAAGGTACATACCCTTTGGAAAGAGGTACCATTTGGGAAGAAGGATCATTTAGATAGATTGTCTTTACTGGCATAAAACATTATTATGAACATAGAAAACTAAAGTGTACCTACAAAGATAGTATAAAACAAACAATTGAGTTTAACATGATCACAAGATACAAAGCGAATGTAAAAATTAATTGTATTTCTAAATATGGAAAAATGAAACTGGGAATTGAAGGTTAAACAGCATCAACAAGCATAAACTACTTAACACAAATTTAACTATACCCATGAAAATTTGTTCATTCAAAACTACTGATCCTTGCTGGGAAAAATTTTTAAAAATTATGAAAGTATATAAGATTCATGAGTAGGAAGATTTGATATCTTTAAGATGGATAATATTTCTAAATTGATTCATGGATTCCATAAAATGCCAGCCAAAATCTCAGCAAGCTTTTCTTTGCAGAGTTGACAAGCCAATTCTGAATTTATATGGAAACCTTAAGAGCTTAGAAAACTAAAACAATTTTGAGGAAAAAAGAAAAAGAGAACTTACATTACTTTTTTCAAGACTAATTACGATGTTACAGCAATCAAGACTGCATAGTATTGGCTAAGGAAATACATGTCGATGAATGAAAAGTAATAGAGAGTGCATTAATATAACCACACATATATGGTCATTGATTTTCAAAAGGTGCTAAAGCAATTCATTGGAGAAAGATAGTCTTCAAAACAGGGTTCTAGAACAACTACATATTCATATTTTTAAAATTCCTTTACTTTACATCATATGTAAAAATTAACACAAAACTGATCATTGGCCTAAACATAAAGATAGAAACTGTAACACTTTTGGAAGAAAAGAGGGAAGAAAATCTCCCTAACCTTGGATAGATTAAGATTTCTTAAATAAACACAAAAAATCAGAAAAGAAACTATACAGTAAAAGTTGTACAAATTTGATTTGGTAAATATGGAAATCTATTATTTGAAAGTCACTTTTAAGAAAATGAAAAGAAAACCAGACCATAGGCTGGAAGAAAATAGTTGTGCAATACATATATTTTATTTGTATGCAGTAGATGTAAGGAATAAGTAAAGAACATTTATGACTGTATAATAAACAAAGACATTCAATAAAATTTTTCAACATATATTTCATACAGGGTATAAAAAGAGCCAATAAACCCTAGAAAGGATGCTTCTTTTTTCATCAGGGAAATGCAAAATAAAACCAGAAGAAATACCACTACACAGAAGTCTCCAATAGTGTTTTTGAAAATGAAAGTAGTACCACCAAGTTTTAAAATAGTTTGGAAAATCCATTAAGTTAAACTTATCACATAATCTTGAAATCCCATTCAATTAATTATTTACCCAAGAGTTATGAAAACATATGTTCATTTAAAAACTTGTGTGCAAGTATTTACAGTAGTTTTATTCATAAAAGCCCCAAACTGAGAACAATCCAACTGTCAATCATCAAGTCAATGATTAACACATTATGGTATGTCATAACATAATAATACTACTAAGTTTAAAAAGAATTTTTTAATACACAAAAACATGGAGTATTTCTCAAAATATCCAGAATGAAGGAAACCAGACATGATGCAATAGAGTGTATGATTCCATTTATATAAAACTTTAGAAAAGCTTAATTTAATCTATAGTGATGTAAAACAGATTAGTGTTCTCCAGGGACTGGTGTTGGGGTGAAGAATATTGCTGTATTATTTCATCTTCACATTGCTATAAAGATACTACATGAGACTGGGTAATTTATAAGGAAAAGAGGTTTAATTGACTCACAGTTCTACATGGCTGGAAAGGCCTCAGAAAACTTACAATCATGATGGAAGATGAAGGGGAAGCAAAACACATCTTACATCGTGGCAGGTGAGAGAGAGTGACGGGAGAAGTGCCACATTCTTAAACCATCAGATCTTGTGAGAACTCACTCACTGTCATGAGAATAGCATGAGGGAAACTGCTCCCATGATGCAATCACCTCCCACCAGGTCCCTCACTTGACATGTGTGGATTACAATTGGAGATGAGATTTGGGTGGGGACACAGAGCCAAACCACATCACCTGCAAAGTTTTGGGTTTTGGGTTGATGTAAATGCTTTATAACCTAATTGTGGTACAGTTACAAAGGTGTGTACATTTGTCAAAATTTGTCAAACTATGCACTTAAAATTCATAGTTATAATATGCATTTATGGTTATAATACAAGGCATAAAATTTGATTAAAAAAGCAATGAGCGCACACATACACTTACATCTATATCACATTATAATAATCACAATGTATAAACAGAAGTAAAAACAAAAATCATATGATCATCTCAGCAGATGCAGAAAAAATTCATAAAATTCTACATCCCTTATAATGAAAACCCTCAATAAACTAGGCATTGAAGGAACGTATCTAAAAATAATGAAAGTCATATATTACAACCCCAAGGTCAAAATCATACAGAATGGGGAAGAGTTTAAAGCATTTCTCCTAAGAACTGAAACAAGACAAGGATGTCCACTCTGACCACTCCTGTTCATAGCACTGCAAGTCCCAGCCAGAGCAATCAGGCAAGAAAAAGAAATAAAAGGCGTACAAAATGTGAAAGAGTAAGTCGAATTATCTCGGTTCACTGATAACATGACTGTATACCTGGAAAGCACTAAATACTCCTCCCAAAGACTCCTAGACTTGATATACATGTTCAGTAAAGTTTCAAGATACAAAAGCGATGTATAAAAATCAGCAGCGTTTCTACACATCCATAACATTCAAGCTGCCAACCAAATCAGTAACTCAATCCCATTTACAGTAGCCACACAGTATTAGTCCACTCTCAGGCTGCTAATAAAGACATACCCATGATGGGGTAATTCATAAAGGAAAGAGGTTTAATTGACTCACAGATCAGCTGGCTGGGGAGGCCTCAGGAAACTTATAATCATGGCAGAAGCAGAAGCAAACATGTCGTTTTTCACATGATGGCAACAAAGAGAAGTGCAGAGCGAAGTAGAGGAAAGGCCCCTTGTAAAACCATCAGATCTCCTGAGAACTCAATCACTATCACAAGAACAGCAGGAGGTAATCACCTCTATGATCCAATTACCTCTTACTGTGTCCCTCCCATGACACATAGGGATTATGGGAACTACAATTTGAGACGAGATTTGGGTGGGGACACAGCCAAACCATATCACACAGACACAGAAAATCTGGACTACATTTAACCAAGGAGGCAAAAGATCCCTACAAGGAGACCTATAAAACACTGATGAAAGAAATTGTAAATAACACAAACAAAACATCCTATGCTCATGGATTGGAAGGATCAATATTGTTAAAATGACCGTATTGCCCAAAGCAATCTACAGATACATCACAGTTCCTGTGAAACTATCAATATCACTTTTCACAGAATTAGAAAAAAAATCCTAATGTTCATATATAAATAAACAAACAAAAAGTGCAAATAGCCAAAGCAATCGTAGGCAAGAAGAACACATTTGAAAGAATCACATTGCTTAACTTCAAGTTATACTACAAGGCTATGTTTTGGAGCCTTAAAATCAAGAAGAAAATCATTGTTTATACAATGATCTAATTATATTGTTTATTTCTTATTTCCAATTAGATGAATGTCTTAGTACAAATTATTTTTACATAATGAGATTAAACATTTGAGACTTTTTCTTATATTATTTGGAAAGGCATATGTTGCTCAATTTTGGAAGTTTATTAATGCACAGGCCACTAGGGTAGTGCTTAAAACATTACATTTTTACATATATCAAATGATATCTATGTGACTTTTCAGATGCTAATATTCATTAAAATAATGTATTCATTCCTTGTTATGACTGAATCATACAAGGCTTATATTACAAAGAATCTTTATGTCTGTTCTGTAAAAATTTGAAAGTGACTACCTGCTTGTTTGTTAATCACCTAATACAACATTTTGATCATTGAACATATTCTGTTTTCTGTATGTCCAGTGTGATACCCACCAATTACATGTGGCTATTAAGCCTTGAAATGGGGCTGAAGAACTGAGCATTTAATTATATTTACTTTTGAGTAATTGAAATTTAAGTAGCTACATGTGGCTGTTAGTTATCACAATGGACAAACAGATCTAATGCCTGGGATGGATGAGGTTGGACACTCTTTGCATATATACAACTTTACTATCTAACATTATGGGGGTCATTCTATCTACATCTTCTTACATCCACATCTAGGAGGAAATACCTGATTTAGTCACATTCTGAGCACTTGCTAGACCAACTTTACATTGGTAGAATTATTATTTATTAAATGATACTCTTTTTGAGTATGGTCACCTTAGAGTTTTTCTGCACACTGATATGGCTTATTGAGAAAGCTGAGCCCAAAACTGTCTCGCTGGGCAGAGTTTGAATGAGCATATTTCCTAACAACTTTTCTCACACAAGTTGTTAGGTGATTGGGAGTTTTTGGTATCTGGTTAGTATTAAGATTTAAATTTGAGAAACGTTAGAAGCCCATTGGCTACTATAGCTCAGCCATTTGTTCCACTTCGTATTTTCAGAGTTCACTGTTGGGAATAATGGGCATTGACTATTAACGAACAGTTCATTGTTTCCTATTTTATATTGCCTTAATGGATACAGAAGATATTCTACTTAATAGTAGGTTAGATTGTGAAACATTTTTTTTTTAGTTTTACATCGCTAAAGAAGAGTTTACATATCTTGTTCCTGAATATTTTAAAATGAGGCAGTCATATTCTTTTAGTATTTGTACCTTGCCTTTCAGAATGGTTCCTCCTGTGGGATGTTTTATCATATATGATGTAACATTCATCATGTTCTCAAAACACTTTCATTTTTTCTGTTCTCTCTTCTTCGTTTCTATCATTATATCCTCTCTACTTTTGCTGGTGTTGGAAAGAATAGAGTTAATGGTGCCTATATAGCAATATAGTCTCAGCATATCCACAGTAAACAGGGAAGAGACCATAGATCTACTAGTCTATTGGTGTTCAAACTAGGGTATTCATTTCATATTGTACAAAAGATAGGGATGTCTCTCAAGGCATTAAAAGTAACCGTAGAGGCACTTAAGTAAGTGTCGGTTTTGAAAAAGTGAATAAGTCTAATGTGTACTAATCATTGTTCAAATAAAGTATTTATACTTCATTTATTCACACAAAATTAAAACAAAAAACAAGCTGTCTACTAACAGATGATAAGAATAAAGTCTGATGAAAGAGGTCCCGGTGATATTTGGGATACAACTCAAAAGTTCAGAGAATTTAGTTGCAAAGCTCTTTCCATACTCATCTACTTATCTATGCAAACAAGATTTCCCAGATCTCACATCTAGGGATGGTATAGCTGCTGAACACTTTCATATTCTAGCAACGAATGATATTATTTAATGGCACATTGACTATAAAAAAAGCCCCGTTATCTTAATTTTAAGAAAATTTTAGTTTTTACTTTATAATTATTATAAAATGTAATATAATTATATTTTTTACTAACAATGTGCTAGTCATTATTGACTCCAATTCCAGATAAATTTTGTAAAACTTTAGGATGTTATGTTCATGGAAGTTTTTTTAAAAAATATTCAATTAGCATGCTTTTTTAAATAGAGAATTAAGAAATAATATATATTACAGAAATGTCCTTTGGGGTTAGGTAACATGGTGACCTGAGAAGTTCATCAATGAAACTGTCCAGAATAAAAATATATTGCATTACCACAGTGCATTAGTATTATATCAGTTCTGTGAAGGAAGTGAAATATAAATGAATTTAAGGAGGAAAAAAATAATGTAAAATTTATGACCATTAGGAAAAGCCTTGGAGATACACACACACACACACATACACACACACACACACACAAAGAGAATTCACAGAGGAAAATTATATATATTCAAGGTGTACAATGCAATATTTTGATATACATATACGTTGTGAAATCATTACCACAATCGAGGTAATTAATATCTCTATCACCTCACATAATTACCCGTGTGTGTGTGTGTGTGTGTGCGTGTGTGTGTATGTGGAAATATTTAAGATCTGTTCTCTTAGAAAATTTCAAGTATATAGTACATTATTATTAACTACAGTCACCATGATGCACATTAGGTTTCCAGAGTTTATCTTGTAGCTCCAAATTTGTATTCTTTGACCAACATTTGTCCATTTCCTCTACTCTCCAACCTCTGGTAACCACCTTTTAATCACCTTTCTACTCTGTTTCTATAAGCTCCACATTTTTAGATTCCACATGTAAATGAGATCACATAATATTTGTCTTTCTGTGTCTAGCTTGTTTCACTTAGTATAATATCCTCCAGATTCATGTACATCTTGAAACGTTTGATGGTGGGTATTAATTCTCTGTTGTAGACAGGGGCCATTGAACACATTTATTTGTTATTCTAAAGAAATCCCATTTTTACAACTACTTAAGTATGTGATAGAAATTTAGGACTCAAAATTAAAATTCATTTGTGTATGCATGGGTTTAAAAACCACTTTAAGAAGATATATGAACAAAGTTTTTGAAGGTCAATGACCTAGACCAAAATGGCTAGCAAAACCTCAAACTTCGTTTATGGGGTTTGCAAGTTGAGTTTATGTGTGGAGATTTGGTAATTCTATTGACACTTTACCTGGAGGATGACCGACAAAGTGATCTGAGTAACCTGTTCCTAAAACCATTACAATATTTATTTATTTATTTATTTATTTATTTAGATGTTCTTGCTCTGTCACCCCAGCTGGTATGCAGTGGTGTGATCATAGCTCACTGCAGCCTGGAATTCCTAGGCTAAAGTGATCCTCCCACCTCAGCCCCCAAGTAGCTAGGACTACAGGTTCACACAACCATGCTCAGCTAATTTTTAAATTTTTTTGTAGAGATGCAGTCTCTCTATGTGGCTAGGCTGGTCTCAAACTCCTGGCCTCAATTGATGCTCCTGCTTTGGCCTCCTAAAGTGCTGGGATTATAGGTGAGCTACCGTGCCCAGCCAAACCATTAAGATTTTATACTGATTTTAAGTATGTAACTGCGGCAATGACTGATCGATGATAAGGAATATATAGAGACATAAAGGTTCTCACAATCACAGGGCAATTCAGCCCTGAGTCACAACCCTGAAACATAAATGGAAAGCACTGTTATATAATAGCACTTAGTACAGTGCTTCATGCAATCTGGGTATGAAATAAATGTTTTTAAAATAAAAAGTAATCTTGGACTGCTGATATAAAATTTGATAATTTTTAAGGTACATAAAAAGAGCCCCTTTCTTGTATACTATAAGACATAGACACAATAATTTGTATGTATGTACACAAATGTAGACATCTTTGGACATAATCTTACTTTTCAATTTACAAAGACCCCCCTTGGGATTTTATTTTTTATTTTTGAAAATAATAGCATATAGATGACTCTTCTTTCTCAGCTGTGAAACCCTCTTTCTATCATTTCCATTCCTACCTTGCTGGAGAAACTGGTTTTGAGAAATATTTTGCCTTGAGGTTTTCCTAAAAGTTTAATATTGTAATAATAAGGACATTTTATTTCCTTGTATCAAATTATTATTTTAATAATACTTATCTACCTTGGATAAGTTGCCTTTTCAAATTTAGCTTTAGAAAATATTTAAGGACTGATAATTAATTAATTATATTAATTTGTATACATTTGGAATGAATAATTTTACTAGTTCAATAATTTATTTTGTTGTATTATTCCCTAATTCTTAGTGAATACAACTTTCACTAGATATTCTGTTAAAATACTACAAGAAATAATTGATATCCACTTTACCAGGAATTTGGACGAGAAAGAGCTCTCACTATGTAACAATTTATTTTTCTATATCTTACGGAAACGGAAGAATCCCAAGCATTCCCACGTGGTTAACGCCATCTGTTGTAACTACCAAGATGCTATGGGCTGCTTCTTCCTCAGTCTTTATTTACAATCCAAAATGAACATTTGTCATGTATAAAATCTATAAACAGAAACATGAACTTCCATGCAGAATGTGCAGAAAGGGAGATTTCTCTTACTTTTATGCACAGCTGCCTGTTGTGTGGTATTCTGGAGCTTGGGGAATTCAGGGTTTTAGGTCCTTTTGCAAATCAGCTATAAGAGGATAATGAAACTCATCATAATAAACCTGAATTATTAGGACTGTTGATTCAACAAAGACAAATTATGTTTTGTTTGGTATAGGCTTAATGTCAAAGGTATTTACCTGAATTCTAAAGCTTGGAAATTCAATTATCTGAGAAATAGATATAGCTACTATTAATCAGAATGCCTGATTAAGCAGAACTGTGATGAGCCACCCAAAGATCACACCTGATGAAGAGAATTAGGCAAAAATGTGTATGAAAAAATACTCACAGATGGTTTCTATTTGTGTATCTGTGAGTCTGAAGATCGAGGTCTCACAGTGAGAGCTACATTCTCACATACAAGTTTGCATTTATTAGTATATTTATCACTCTATTTACACAACAAATGTATGTTCTAGCTGCAGTCAGTTCCATAGTTCTCAGGCAATTACTGGAATTCATGTTCTGCCTTTGGATATCATGCAATATTCTCTTCCTTTCACTTTTATACTTTCTTCTGCCTCAAAGTAGAGGAAGTGGGCAAAGTGGGCAGGGAGTCAGGAGTTCGTAAACATGCATCTTTGCCATCGCTTTGTCAACAACTAGCTCTATAATTTTCATCAAGTGACTTTACTTAGTCTTAGGTCAATTTTCTCATGTAACAGTGTGTTGGAGAAGATCACTGTGTGGTTTAACAAAAAAAAAAAAAAAAAAAAAAAAAAAAAAAAAAAAAAAAAAAAAAAGAAGAAACATTTGTACCCTTAAAAACCTTACCAAAAAAATTCTACATTAGATCCTTGTGTGCGAGGCAGATAACAGGAGATTGTTCTGGGTTGAGATCAGAAGACTACAGCCCTGCCCTCTCAGCAGTGCATACGGTACATCTGAGAAGCCCTAAAAACATACTTTCAAAGCATTTGGACGCAATTTTCTCCAAGATTCCTTCCATTCTCCATAAATTATGATTTAGAATAAAATGCAGATCAGTTATTGGAGACTTGAAAGGAAGAGCAGTTGAAGTTAATGAAAATTGCATTTTATATCACTTGTAGATTTCTTTTACTCATATCTTGACATTACCTCTTGGAACACACAATTAAGAGTTACCTTATTTCTATTACTACTGCTTCTGGAATCACTTGTGTTTTGCCAAATTTTCTTTATTTATGAGTGAAAAGAATATCACTTCTATATATTACTGAAAAAATGCATTTTATTTTCTCATTCATTAAGTGAAGGGGCTGGCTTAAATGGTCTCAAAGTCTTTTTCAAAAGACTAGCATTCAACACTTATCTAAATCTATAATAAAGTTGACCAAATTTAGATATAGATTACTGCACCAAGGATGTTTCAATGTAAATGAATTTAATTTAATCTATATTTAAATTAGAGTTAATTACAATAAATTTTAGAGAAAATTTTGCTATTTCTATAATCAATAATTTACCTAATCTTGTCCACTCTTTCTTCTTTTCCACTTACCCTTTACTCCTGCTTTACCACGCTAGACCACCAAAAGCTTAGCTATTTCATTAACCTCCACACTCTGGATTAATCTTTCCACTGATACAACCTATCTGCTCATGTCAGGCAATTCTTTTTAAAGTAGTCCGACTCTGAAATCTCAGAGGCCCTCTTAAATCACCACTGTGGTTTATTGCAAAAGTGACCAGAATTCTTTCCCTCTCTCTGTCCATGCTTTTTGTGATGTAACTTTGCAACGATTCTGATCATGAGATTGGAGTCTATTTTCTGACCCCTTGATTCTGGGCTGAACTTGTGAAACATGTTTTTATTCAACATAGCAGATATAATGATGCAGATCTAAGCCTGTAAGATGGCTTTTTTATTTGTTTCTGCTCTCTTCTGGTACTTTGCCACCTCCGTGTATTCAAATCTGAACTAGAATGGTGGATAATAAGATATTCATGGTTCTGTGACCTTCACCTGCCCAGCTGACAGTCAGCCAGTATATGAGAATGAGGTGATCTGAGACCAGTGAGGCTCCAGTCTACCTACTGGTACATCACGGATGAAAGAGAAGCTCAAGCCAAGATCAGCCAATCCTGGTCCAGTGAGACAGAACTGCTTAACTGACCAACATGTAGCAAATGACTGTTTTCCAAGAAACACATGGAATTCGGTAATTTTAAGAGGATCAGTTTCCAGAGCCTCCATTTCCATGAGTGACTCTCTCTAGAACTGACATGCCTGAGGATAAATGATTCTGTGATCAAAGTTTCATGCTAGTAATTCTCTCCCACTTCCTCCTCACAAGATCCCAATTCAAAATACTGGTTTTGGGAAGCATCTTTATAATGACTACATTATTGTCCCAATAGTTTTAAGAAGTATGGAAGCAAAAATGTTTGACAACCATCACCTTATTGCCAAGCACATTTTCCAACATGCAAACTTTGTTAGTTTTCTTGCTAGTTTAAAACACTCCAGCAGCTTCTCATTATTCATAGGATAAGAGTCAAAATCCTTGGCTGGGTGTGGTGGCTCATTCTTGTAATCTCAGCACTTCGGGAGGCCTAGGCAGGCATGTTGCTTCAGCTTAGGAGTTCGAGACCAGCCTGGACAACATGGTGAAACCCCATCTCTACAAAAAATACAAAATACAAAAATCAACTGAGCATGGTGGTGTGTACCTGTAGTCCTAGCAATTCTGGGAGCTGAGGTGAGAGGTTCTCTTCAGCCTGGGACTGCACTCCAGCAAGACCCTGTCTAGGAAAAAAAAAAAAAGTCAAAATTCTTTACGTGGTGCTCAAGACACACCAAAAACTAGATCTCCTAATTTCCCTATTGTATTTCCTTTAACATAACTGTTTTAGTTGCATTGTATCACTTTTAAGTCTCTGGGGAATCGGATTGCTCTGTCTGTCCTCCTGCTTTTGCTTTGAAAGCCTTCTCCTTACACCTTCCTCTCTGTTTTTCCAAAGCCCACTCTTCCTTACCACTGTTGAAAGCCCAGCTCACATGCTTGCTCCTCCATGAATGCCCATCTGCATCATCCACCACCTCTCAGGTGGAAATCATCTCACTTTTTAAAAATTTTCAGAAGACTTTATTTTAATCTGTTTCAAACTTTTTTTGCTCATTTTATTTTTATTTCTATGTTTACATCTCATGATTGTGATTTTCTAGGAGAGTAAATAGTTCACTCATCTTGTTATCTCCTTAGTGGCTTCTTAAAGGAGACTTAAGTATTTGTTGAATGACAAATCAGTGAATAAGTGATAAACACTTTACCTAGTGAGAAGAAGAAACAAGGGTTAGAGACTTTTTAAGAGCTGGAGTGGGAAAGATCTTAGGCCATTTGTGTTTGCTAATTGGGTTTACTCAAAGGAAAAGTAACTATCTAGTATCTTCATGGCAGGAGGTGATTTTACAACTTGGACCAAAGATACCCTAAGGACGTTAGCCTCCTACTGAAGTTATATGTCTATCTTCCCACCGAGCCTGAGAAATAGGGCCCCATCTTCCTTGTGGATTACATTTCAAAGGGATGGCTTCCAGGTTCATGAGAAAGACAGTCCTGGGTTGTAAATCTGGCAGAGGGTTTTAAAAATATTTATATTTCTAAATGGCAAAATTACAAATAGCAAATTTTCTAAGGTAAATACCTAAGGTGTGGTCAAAGGCCTAGAGGCAAAAAGAAGCCTTCTTAAAGTTTGGCCAAGCCGAAAAAAATAAACCCTAAGGCCATCTTGGTCAATATGAAATGATACTTTGAAGTACAATGTCTGCTAAGGTATCTAAAAGGGTTTTAGAACTAGTTCTTTTATTTAACTATCTTTACGAAAGTCTAAGAATTTTAAATGTCATCTGCTCCAAACTTTATCCCAAGGTAGGAATTCCCTCTTGGTTGACTCTGAGAGTTAATTATTCACAAAATTATTCTCAATTTTACTGACAAAGTTATTATCTCACAAAGCAATTATTCTAATTCTACCTAATTCTAATTTTTTAATATAAACTCTCAGTTTCACTTTCTAACTTTAATACAAAGGCACCTGACTAGCACCTTTTAGGTTAACTATTCCATGGAACATTATGCAAAAATAATATAGTTAAGTAATCCATACTTCTATTTTCAGAATAAAATGAGTACATTACCAGTTCTCTTAATTTGAGAGCATATGTGTAGAACTTACTTTCATCAGAAAATTGTCTGGTGATGCATGTTTTAGAGGCATGTAAAGAAACTTTGATAAAACTTTGGCCAGGCTTAAAAAATATGATTAATTCTTTTTCTTTCTCTAAGTGGTGAATAATATATGAAACTCAGACAATTAACACAGAGGTGTCAAAATAATTGATAGAGATGTTGCCTTATCATAGTTATCAGTACAGTACCCTGCTTGTTTTTGTTACACTTTCCAGTAAATTTCCTTCATGTAATTTTAGGCAGCAAGCAAAGGTATCTAGGGAAATGTGTGAGGCTATCAAAATATATTGCTGTTCTAATGTGCCTGAAACCTCTGTTTTAAATGCAGTTAGTTAAATTTGCCTACTTATGAAGCATTTTCTCCTTACCTCTGTTCCATTGCAAAGGCTATAGTAATCGTTATAAATATTAAGGTGCCATCATTTCCTTCTTTATCTATTAGCTGGAATCCATAAGTCCAGATATCTGCAAGCTCATGCATACTAGATTTATCTTGACCACACTAGGTAGCACATTGAATTCCAATGACACACACTTTGGTAGAGTTAATAACTAATGCAGGATGGAGTTCTATGTTCAACATGAACATAAAATGAAAATCACAAATAGGAAAGCAAGTGACCTTTGAAAACCCCCTGAATCTTCCAGGTTTGAAAGATCCTGCCATTTCTTCATTTGAACACCAGATAAATTTCTTTGTGTTAAGAAATCATTTTATGAAAAAAATACTTTAAATATACAAATCATATGGTCAGCATACAGTATTGACATAACAGACAGAATATCAGAATTATATTTGGCAGTTCGGGAACTCTCAGGAAGAATTATTGGAATAACAGTCCCCATTCATGAAATTATAATTTTCTCTTAGTCTCTCTTTCAGCCTCTCTCTCTCACTCTTTCTCTCTCTCTCACATACACACATACAAACACACACACACAGAAACACACACACACACACACACACACACACACACAAACACAGAGCCACTGGAATTCAATTCTTCTAAGCTATGGGAAATGAACCCAAGATAATTCCCTGTCCTTGTGTTAAACTATGCTGGAACTAAGGAAAAATAATTTTCTGCTTGCCCCAGGAAATACCTGCTTCTGGAAGATAAGAATGTGAACCAACTAAATGGATTACTTATCAGGGCTAACAGCTTCTTGATCAAAACTTGCTTCAAGACCCTTGGCTCTATACACCCATCAATCCAAAGTTGTAACATCTTAAATGCTACCAAATTCTGTTTAGTTTCTAGTCTTGCAAGTCTCCTAGAAAATCACTTGGTTCAGACCCTAAAACCCACAAGTACCTTATCTTAGTTTTCCATGTTGAGACTACTAAGAGTTTGTCAAATTGTGTTTGCCTCTACTGCAGTAAATCTAATAAACACAACTTTGATCAACACATTCTTTTGGTGTCCTTTTTGGGATTCAACAATTGAAAGCCAAATGTTTCTATGACGTGTTTTTACTATATAAGTATATTTAAAATTCTAACTTTTCTCATTTCCCAACTATTTGTACCCTAAGCATGCAGAATATCTTCTCCTAAACTCTTAACCATCAGGATTCATACAAATTAGCTTCTGATTTTTTTTTCAATTAACACCAATATAGTTTGAAATTTGCCCTGAGCCCTCAAAGACTTTGATGAGGCCCAGATTCCCAGCTACCTGTCCTCTTCACTCCTTCACACTTCCCCCTAGAAAGTCAAGTATTGTTCCATGATTCCATGATGTTGCTGCTCAATTATACTTTATAATAGGGGTGTGGACTTGTAAGTAGCCTGCTAGGAACCAGGCTGCATAGCAGGAGGTGAGTGGCGAGACAGCCAGCTTTACCACCTAAGCTCCACCTCCTGTCAGATCAGTGGCAGCATAGGATTCTCATAGGAGTGCAAACTCTATTGTGAATTGTGATGTGAGGGATTTAGATTGTGAGCTCGTTATGAGAATCAAATGCCTGATGATCTGAGGTGGAACAGTTTCAAACCGACCAACCACCTTTGGTTCGTGGAAAAATTGTCTTCCAGGGAACTGGTCCCTAGTGCCAAAAATGTTGGAGACTGCTGCCTTATAATACACATTACTTAGAAATCCCAGTTCTTTGTCTATCTGCTAGACGAGATCCAAAAATTTCAGCCATTTCTCATGCTTTCAGGGGCAATTTTATGGGCAATACTCTTAACCCCTCAACCCATGAATCTCTGATAATTTCCCTTTGCCAATATCTTAACTATGGAATAACTGACTTTGACCATTATCATTATATGGTTTTTACAAATAGAGTTTATTTATATAAATAAAGTTATCATAAATATAATTTATAAGCATGTTTGAATCTATAACCTGATTCTTACTGTGTAAAATTTAGAGCTACAGAAATTCTCTAAACCTAAATTTTCTCCATTATAACAGAAAAAAATAGCAAAATGGTTTAAACGATATCTGCGAATATAATTTACAAGCATACAGTTTCAGAGATATAGTATTTAGTTAGCAATCTATCAATTGACTAGCATGCTTTGTTTACCACAAAACACAAAAAAGATTCATAACCTTGTAAAGTGGATGAAAGAACTACTTTGTTAACTTGAGCTGCATTATTTATTGAAGACAGAGTGTAAGTATGTTATACTCACATATACTAAAATGACAATATCTTCTTGAGTGTTCTAGAACCAATTATTCAAATTTTTCCATCTTTTGGGACCCTCACTTCTCATTCCAGGGCTCTTGCTGCTGACCTTCTGGCTGTGGTGTGCTCATTAGCATCAGAGTCTGAGCCTGAACAAAGCATGTGAGCTGAGATAAAATTCTATTCTCTATGTGACTTCTTGTTAGCAGCCTTGTAAAATATTTGTTAGAGGAAAGACTTTACTTTTGCATTTCTTCTCTCCTCATTCATGGAAGGGCTAAGCAAGGCATAGGCTATAAATACTTAACTTTACGGTCTGTGAACTATGACATAAAATGGCTTCAAAGGGATAGCTGTGCCAAAATGTGTTATACTTAACATCATTAATTTCTTCCATTTGGGGATGTAATTTTGATTGTTGATCTTTGCAATTTATATGCACATGATATTATGTTTACATTACATATAAACATAAATATGTATGTGTATATCTTAAAGAGATCGATATTTAAGGTTAATGGTACTAAGAGTATATGTATATTTTTGTGTAAGCATGTAAAGAGTAGATACCGATACTTTGCAGTTACTGAGGTTAAAAAGAAAATGAAACAGAAATATGTGTAGGCTTTCTATTCTGGACTGACTTGACCCTGATTTTCAAATTCAAATGGACAAAGGATATAAAATGGAAAATCTCCAGATATGATAGGGGCCTTCTAAAAAAGTTTTAAAATTCTTCGTCTTTAAGTGACTGAAAGAGGATTTTCAGTAAATAAGTTTTGATTCAGCTATTACTATCAAATGAAGCACCTTGGGAGGTTTAAATAGCTGGAGGCATTATTCAGAGACAGAGCTTCTCACTGTTCCCTCAGGGCACACATTGTTAGCAATCAGAAGCAGTTAACAAGCTCTCTGCTGTGTTCTCCCTGGTTGCAGCTCTGGAAACTTATGAGTAGTTCTTCAAGAAACACTTGATTAGAATTCCTCACAGTAGTCCAGCTTGGAGGACACAAAGGGCAAATCCAGCTGTGACCATGGCTGTATATAATAAAAAGTTTGGTGATTAAAAAAAAAATAGCTCGTATTGCTGAAGCTAATCCCATAAAAACACAGTGACTTATTAATGAACACTTAAATCTTCCTTTTTTTGTTTTTTGGTAAGTTGAAAGAAAAAATAATAATATGCTTACTGAAAAAGAAACCTCTATATTATTTTATTTATTTTTGATAATTATATAATGCATGGTTACAACAATCATTTAACATTAAATATGCAAATTTATGAGCAGTGCTTTAAAACTAGTAAGTTTATTTTAGTAATTCAACAAGGAGAAATATATTCACATTTCTCTCAGACTGCTGAGGGTCACTTGGACAATTCCACGGGGTCAGAAGTTACTTCAGGACCATGGCAACTTGAATGTAAGTGGTTCTACATTTCCAAGATTAATCAGGAGTGAACCTGTGCACAGGCTTCCCTCATCTGCCTTTCTATTTTCTGAGAAACTGCCAAAGTCATTGCACTATATAATACTCTATGGGAGAAATCCAAACCAGGCTTTCAGAGATAAAGCAAAGAATTAAATTAAAAGACAACATTAAGAAGATAAATAGGCAACCCACATAATGAAATAAGAAAAATTCACATTACATTTATCTGGCAAAGGATTTGTATCTGGTCTGTATAATGAACTCCTACAGATAACCATAGAAAGGCAAACTGTCCAATAAAAATGGGCATAAAGATTTATATAGATGCTTCAAAGAAGAGATATGCAAAAACCAGCAGGCACATTCAAAGTCGTTCATCATTATTAGTTATTAGGGAAGGTAAACTAAAAATATACTAAAATGGCTAAAATTAAAGACTGGCAATAGTAAATATTGACAAAAAACCCAGAGCAGCTAGAACACTCAAATGCTGCTAGGAGTGAAAAGTGGTACACAATTTGAAAAGCTAGCAATTTCTGTAAAGGAAACATGCTTTTACAATATAATCACCCTTACATATTCACCTAATTATATTTCTATATACTTATCCAAGAGAAATGATAATATAGGTCCTCAAAAATCTTTTATAAGAATGCTCACACTAGCCTTATTTATAGTAGCCAAAAATTGGATACAGCACAAAGAATAGTCAATTAAAAATCAATACATAACTTATGGTATATCCATACAATAAAATAATACTTAGCATTGAAAAGGAATGGGTTACTGATGCACACAAAAACTTGGATGAATCTCAATAACACCATGTTGAATGAAAACAAATGGAATATTAATATACACATCAATATGGTTCTATCTAAAAAAACATTATTCCAAGTGAAGTCTGAAAATGGTTGCCTGTGGAAGGGGGTAAATTTTCCAGAAAGGGGCATGAGAGAACTCTCTAGAGTAATGGAAGTGTTCTATATTATGTGTTGGATATTGGAATATAATTTTAAGAAATGTATTGTACTAACACTTAAGGTTTGTCTATTTTGCCAAAAAAAGTTACCAAAAGAAGAAAAGATAGAGGAAAGGAAAAAATAAAATTACAGAAAAATCTAAACAACAGCAAGAAAGAAACATTTTTGACATACCTATTCTATGAATTAAGCATAAAGACACACTTCCAATCATGCAAAACACATTCATGTACACAATATTATCCACTGTGGAATTATTTGTAATTCCAGAATATAAAAAACAACCTAAATGCCCAAACATAAAAAAATAGTTGATTGAACTATTTTACTGCTATTCAACATAGCACCATGGCAGATGTTTTTTGTTTTTGGTTTTTTGTTGTTGTTGTTGTTGCCAGAATCCAGAAACAGCAGCTGTTTTAAAAACTGATGAGTGATTTCCAGTGTGTGTGTGTGTGCACATACATATGCTTACTTTTAAAAAAGAACACAAGATGATGAATAAACAAAAAATTAATAAAGTTTATTATCTATAGAATGGGCCCAAAGAAGAACGGGGGAATATACACACAATTCACTCTGGGTGTGTGTATATGTATGTATCTGAAGGGTTTTGTCTTTTCAAGCCATGCAAAGGCTTTGCCTAGTTTAAAAATAAATGTAATCAGTGGGATGGTAACAACTATAAATTTAAAACAAGCAAAAAATACATGAAACTAACTGTATATCCAAATGATAACAACATGTAGGAACAAAATAAACTACTCTAAGCACTTCCATAGTATAAGCTCAGTCCAAAGATAGAAAGAAAAAAAAATAGAAAAATGTCTTGAACATTACTTTGTATATTCTAAAGCTATTGTGTGTGTATATGTGGGTGTGTGTAGTATACAATCTAGCAAATGAGTAAACATATTGCTGCTCTTTGGAGTCAGGGTTTTTGCTGTAGGATAAAGTGGGTTACAACCAAGGAAAGAAATTGGGAAAGGAGAGGCAGAGCCTTGTTGTATTAGACTAAAATTTGAGGCATCAGGATGAACTAGTGAACCTGCAAGTGAACTATATATAAATAACTATATATACAGAACCACATAGTGAATACACCTGTTTTCCAAATCTTGGTTTCTAAGTACTATGCTCTATTAAAGCCATTCCCTTGCATGATGATTCTAGGGTTGGGAAAGGAGAAATGGATGGATCTGGGAGATCTTTTTGTTTCAGAAAGTAAGATAGTACTCTCTATTAGTCTGATTTCACACTGCTATAAAGAACTGCTTGAGAATGGATAATTTATAAAGAAAAGAGGTTTAATTGACTCACAGTTCTGTGTGACTGGGGAGGCCTCAGGAAACTTACAATCACAGTGGAAGAGGAAGTAGGCATGTCTTATATGGTGGCAGGTGAGAGACAGTGAGCAAGAGCAGGAAAAATACCTTATAAAACCATCAGATCTCGTGAGAACTCACTCTTTATAATGAGAACAGCATGGGGAAACTGCCTCCATGATCCAATCACATCCCTCCCTTGACCACATGGGGATTACAAGTCTCTCCCTCGACACTTGGGGATTATAATTCAAGATGAGGGTTGGGTGAGGACACAGAGCCAAACCATACCATACTTGTAAAATATTGGTAAATAATTTCAAAAGTACATAGGAGCCAGACTTCAGGAAGTTCACACTGGCTAAGTTAAATATATTTATATGTTAAAACATATTTATATGTTAAAGATATAAATACAAGTTAAAAATATATGTTTAACTTTGTCAATTTAATATATTGAATTAAAAAAAATCCATGAGTCAGGTGTTACTAAGAAAATACTATATACATACACACTTAAATGGGGGAAGGACAAAAGCTCTTCTTTGCAGCAACATGAGAAATGAAAAGTGTAGAATAAGTAATAGAGTGAGAAAAGCACTATTTTGTAATTCTCTATTAATAATTTATTCAAGTAAAAATCACACACAGTTGCATTTCTTTGCACAGTTGTATGAATTATGCCTCTAATTGCAATTTTATTGAATGTTCTAAATCATTTCTAAATAGTTTTTACTCAATGACAATACTCATTATCATACCTGCGTGATCTCTCAAACTCTATATAAATTTTTAAGTTGAGAGAATTTAATAAAAAGGTACCTTCTCCACTCAAATTTTGTTACATTAAAAAATTCATAGGCCGGGCTTGATGGCTCACACCTGTAATCCCAGTACTTTGGGAGGCCGAGGCAGGATCATGAGGACAGGAGATCGAGATCATCCTGGCCAACATGTGAAACCCCATCTCTACTAAAAATACAAAAATTAGCTGGGCGTGGTGGCACTTGCCTGTAGTCCCAGCTACTGGGGAGGCTGAGGCAGGAGAATCACTTGACCCCGGGAGGTGGAGGTTGCTGTGAGGCCAAGATCGTGCCACTGCACTCCAGCCTGGGTGACAGAGCAAGAATCTATCTCAAAAAAAAAAAAAAAAAAAAAAAAAAAACATAAATTTTAGATTCTGGAGGGAAAACAGCAGATAGAAGACAGGACTAACGTGCAACTCCCATTTGGATGGAGAACAGCATCTGGAGACTCATACAGTTGTATTAGACTTGAAGCTTTTGCTCCAAGAACCAACACAGGAACATACCAGGAAAACTGAAAGAATTCACAGACCATTTGAAAGAAGTGGCTTGCTGCTGAAAACTCAGCCAGTTGAAAACTGAGTTCCCAAAGAGTGAGAGAGGGAAAAACCTGCCTCCGAACACACATCTTCACTGGGGAACCTGAAAATCCAGATCATGGGAGAAGGATTTAATATTACCTAGAGCTGATATGGATTTAGAGAGCCAAGCAAAATATAAAAGTAGAAGAAACAGCTGGAAGAGCCCTGTAGGCATTCCCAGTCCCCAGCTCAAGCCCAGGGAAACCATCAGTGGTTTTATCTCACAAGAGTCCTTCAGAAAGGCAGCCAGGAGAACTGGGGAAGAGCCACAGGGTGAAGGAAGCTTCTAGCTGAATTTCATAATAATTTTGAATGAGCATGAATTTCCCTGAGCAGAATCCAGGAAGTGCAAGCGGGAAATGCAGATATGAGCTCAGATGCCACAGCCAATGGTGCAGGCAGATGGGGAGGGGCAAGGCCTGAGAACCCTGCTTGCTTTCTCAGTGGAGAGGGTTGTAGCCTGGGAGAAGATCTCAGTCCTGCTCCCCAGATGCCTGGATATAAACTCAGCACTGTTGGTTGAGCACAGTGGGAATGAGACTGGCCTTGTTGGCTGCATGGGAGCTGCGTGAGGCCTGTCACTGCCGGCTTTCCCCCACTTCCCTAGTGACCTGTATAACATAGCAGAGGCAGCCATAATCCCCTTGGGAACATAACTGTATTGGCTTGAGAACCACCTGCTATTCCCACCTCCCCACCACCCCCCCGCCCAGCAGTGGCCACAGCAAGCCCCACTGAAGGAGAAATCTGAGTTCAGACACACCTAACCCTGCCCCCACCTGATCATTTTTCTCTACCCTCCCTGGTAGCCAAAGACAAAAGACAGAAGCTTTTGGGAGCTCTATGGCCCCACCATTGCCTGAGAAACGTAAGTACTTATCCTATCCAATGTAGGGCAAGCTTATATCCCTCTTCTACCACAGCTGCTGGTGCTTTCTTGAAAGCAGCACCTCCTGACTGGAGGCCAACCATCTCAAGCCATTACAGCAACTCATAACAGAACAACCCTGCTCCAAAGAAGAAGAAAAAAACAGCTAATTCCACTGCCTGCATTACCCTGGCTAACCAGAGGTCCTGAGTTTGTCCAGCATTTGAGAAAACCAGAGCACTAAACACAACTACAACCAAGGACTCCTACAGAGTCCACTTCACTCCCCTGCCACCTCCACCAGAGCAGGTGCTGGTATCCATGGCTGGGAGAACTGAAGACAGATCACATCGAAGACTCTCTGCAGACATTCCCCAGCACTAGCCCAGAGCCTGGTAGCCCCAGTGGGTGGCTAGAACCAGAAGGACAGTAATAATCACTGCAGTCTGGTTCTCAGGAAGCCCCATACCTCGGGGAAAGGGGAAAGCACCACGTCAAGGGATCACCCCATGTGACAAAATAATCTGAACAGCAGCCCTTAAGTTTCAGATCTTTTCACTGAATCACCCTACCCAAATGAGAAGGAACCAGAAAAAGTAATTCTGGTAATATGACAAAACAAGTTTCTATAAACCTCCAAAAGATCACACTAGCTCTCCACCAATGGATCCAAGCCAAGAAGAAATCTGTGAATTGGCAGATAAAGAATTCATAATGTTGACTATTAAGCTACTTATATAGTTTGGCTCTGTGTTCCCACTCAAATCTCATCACAAATTGTAATCCCCATGTACTGAGGGAAGGACCTGGTGGGAGGTGATTGGATCATGTGGGCTATTCCCTCTATGCTATTCTCACTACAGTGAGTGAGTTCTCATGAGATCTGATAGTTTAAAAGTGTTTGGCAGTTCCCTCCTGCCTCCTGCTGCCATGTAAGATGAGCCTTGCTTCCCCCTCTTCTTCCATCATGATTATAAGTTTCCTGAGGCCTCACCCGACATGCAAAACTGTGGGTCAATTAAACCTCTTTCCTTTATAAACTACCCAGTCTCAGGTAATGCTTTATAGGAGTGTGAAAACAAACTAATACAAATACTCAAGGAAGTACCAGAGAAAGTTGAAAATCAGCTTAAAGAAATTTAAAAAGAATATAGGATATGGATGAAAAAATCCCCAGAGAAATAGATGTCATAAAGAAAAGGCAATCATAACTTCTGGAAATGAAGGAAAAACTTAGAGATATGCATCACACACTGGAAAGATTCAACAATAGAATCAAACACATAGAAGAAGGGACTTCAGATCTCTAAGTAAAGGCTTTTGAATTAATCCAATCCAACAAAGACAAAGAAAAAAAGATTTAAAAAATGAACAAAGCCTTTAAAAATGTGGCATTATGTTTAACAACCAAACAAGAATAATTGATGTTTCTGAGAAGAAAGATAAATTTAAAGGTTTGGAAAACATATTTGAAGGAATAATTGAGGAAAACTTCACTGGTCTTGCTAGAGATCTAGACATCCAAATACAGGAAGTGCAGAGAACACCCAGGAAATTTGTTACAAAAATATCGTCGACTAGGCACGTAGTCATCAGATGATGTAAAGTCAAGGTGAAGGAAATAATCTTAAGAACTGGGAGGCAAAAGCATCAGATAACCTACAAAAGAAAACTTATCAGATTAATAGCAGATTTCTCAACAGGAAAGCCTACAAGCCAGAAGGGATTGGGTCCCATTTTTAGCCTCCTTAAACAAAATGATTATCAGCCAAAAATTTTGTACCCAGTGAAACTGAGCTTCATGAATGGAGGGATAAATTATTTTTCAGAAAAACAAATGCTGAGAGAATTCACCACTACCAAGCCAGAACTACAAAAAATGCTAAAAGGAGTTCTAAAGCTTGAAACAAACCTCAAATGCACCAAAAATAGAACCTCCTTAAAGCACAAATCTCACAAGGCCTATAAAACAACAACACAATGAAAAAAATCCAAGATATTCAGGTCACAATTAGCATGATGAATAGAATAGTACTTCATATGTCAATATTAACGTTGAATGTAAATGGCTTAAATGCTCCACTTAAAAGATGCAAAATGGCAGAATGGATAAAACTCCAGGAACCACATATCTGCTGTCTTTAGGAGACTCACCTAACACATAAGGTCTCACATAAACTTAACATAAAGTGGTGAAAAAAGATATTCCATGCAAATAGAAACCAAAAGCAAACAGGAGTAGCTATTCTTATATCAGACAAAACAGACTTTAAAGAAACAACAGTTAAAAAAGAAAGAGGAACATTATATAATGATAAAAGGACTAGTCCAACAGGAAAATATCATGATTCTAAATATATATGCACCTAACACTGGAGCTCCCAAATTTATAAAACAATTACTACTAGATCTAAGAAATGAGACATCTACATAACAATAGTGGGAGACCACAGCGAAATTAAATTAGAAATTAACTCCAAAAGGAACCGTCAAAACTGTACAAATTCATGGAAATTAAATAATCTGCTCCTGAATGATCCTTGGGTCAACACTGAAATCAAGATGAATATTTAAAAATTATTTGAACTAAATGATAAGAGTAAAACAACCTTTCCAAATCTTTTGGATACAGCAAAATCGGTGCTAAGAGGAAATTTCATATCATTAAGTGCCTACATTAAAAGTCTGAAAGAGCACAAATAGACAATCTAAGGTCACATTTCAAGGAACTAGAGAAACAAGATCAAACCAAACCCAAACCCAGCAGAAGAAAATAAATAACCAAGATCAGAGGTGAACTAAACGAAATTGAACAACAAGAAAAAACAATACAAAAGAAAAATGAAACAAAGAGATAAATGAAACAAATTAATAGATGATTAGTGAGATTAACCAGGAAGAGAGAAGATTGATATAACCTCCATTAGAAACAAAATGATAAATGCTACAAATTGTTGTGTTTGCCAATAAGATGATCATACAGCTAGAAAACCCTGAAGACTCAACCAAAAATCTCTATATACCAAAATGCAACCAAGGTAAGAATCAAATAAAGAACTCAACCCCTTTTACAACAGCAGCAAAATAACTAAAATACTTAGAAATATACCTAACCAAGGAGGTGAAAGATCTGTACAATGAAAACTACGAAACCCTTCTGAAAGAAATTATAGATGACACAAATAAATGGAAACACATTTCATGCTCATGGATAGGTAGAATCAATATTGTGAAAATGACCACACAGCCAATTGTATAAATTCAATGCAATTCCCATCAAAATATCAGTATCATTCTTCACATAACTAGAAAAAACTATCCTAAAATTCATACGGAACTAAAAAAAGAGCCCAAATAGCCAAAGCAAGACTAAGTAAAAAGAACAAATCTGGATGCATCAAATTATCCAGCTTCAAACTGTACTACAAAACTATACTTACCAAAACAGCATGGTACTGGTATTAAAAACAGGCATGTAGACCAATGGAACAGAATAGAGAACCCAGAAATAAAGCCAAATATTTATAGCCAACTGATATTCAACAAAGCAAATAAAAGCATAAAGTGGGAAAAGGACAGCCTATTCAACAAATGGTGCTGAATTAATTGGCAAGCCACATGCAGAAGAATGAAGCTGGATCTTTGTTTCTTGCCTCATACAAAAATCAACTCAAGATGGGTCAAAAACTTAAATCTAAGACCTGAAACAATAAACATTATAGAAGCTAACATTGGAAAAATCCCTGTAGACATGTTTTAGGCAAAGAGTTTATGACCAGGCACCCAAAAGCAAATGCAACAAAAACAAAGATAAATAGATTGGAGTTAATTAAGCTTTCTGCACAGCAAAAGAAATAATCAGCAGAGTAAACAGACAACTCACAGAGTAAGAAAAAATCTTCGCAAACTATGCATCTGACAAAAGATGAATATCCAGAATCTACAAGGAACTCAAACAAATCAGCAAGCAAAAAGGAAATAATCACATCAGTAAGTGGGCCAAGGACATGAATAAACAATTCTCTAAAGGACATATACAAATGGCCAACAAACACATGAAAAAAATGCTCAACATCACTAATTATCAAGGAAATGCAAATTGAAACCACAGTGTGATACAAACTTACTCCTACAAGAATAGCCATAATTTAAAAATTAAAAAAAAAATAGATGTTTGTGTGGACGAGGTGAAAGGGAACACTTTTACAGTGTTGGTGGGAATGTAAACTAGTACTACCACTATGGAAAATGGTATGGAGATTCCTTAAATAACTAAAAGTGGAACTACCATTTGAACGAGCAATCCCACTATTGGGTATCTACCCAGAGGAAAATAAGTCTTTCTATGAAAAAGACACTTGTAAATGCATGTTTGTAGGGCACAAATTACAAATGGAAAAATATGGAACCAGCCTAAATGCCTATCAACCAAGTGGATAAAGAAAATAAAAGAAAATAAAGAAAAAAATATCACATATATATATACCGTTTGTGACTTCCCATCGTGGTGTTGTGTGACCCTCAGGCTGGTGGGAGCTGAGTACTCACTGAGCAGCCACTTTCCACATCTGCTAGAGGAACAGTGAGACAGACACTTGTGTGACAGAGAGAGGACAGTTAGTGAGGAGGGACAGACAGCTCTTCCATTTGGAGCCTGGCTAGTCTACGACATCACCTTGCTATGTCTTCACCTTCTCAAGCTTTTAAAATTGACCCTGAACATGTGACAGGATCCTATGGTGTTACTCAAAGCTGTGCAGGGTAAATGGTGACATATTTATTCTTTTTCTATCTGTTCTAGAAACAGTGCCTTTTTCATTAATTGCATTTTCCAGGCTGAGAGCTGTATAAAACATTTTGGATTGTGACCATGTACCTTCTTTTTAAGAAAAATAGACTGCTTTATGTTAAAAAAATATATATATATCATATATACACACATATATGTGTACACATATATGTATATATATCATATATACACACATATATGTGTACACATATATGTATATATATCATATACACACATATATGTGTACACATATATGTATATATCATATACACACACATATATGTGTATATATATCATATATACGCATATGTATACACGTATGTATATATCATATATACACACATGTATACACGTATGTATATATCATATATACACACACGTGTATACACGTATGTGTATATCATATATACACACACGTGTATACACGTATGTGTATATCATATATACACACGTGTATACACGTGTGTGTATATCATATATACACACGTGTATACACGTGTGTGTATATCATGTATACACACGTGTATACACGTGTGTGTATATCATGTATACACACGTGTATACACATATATGTATATATCATGTATACACACACGTGTATACACATATATGTATGTATCATGTATACACACACGTGTATACACATATATGTATGTATCATGTATACACACACGTGTATACACATATATGTATGTATCGTGTATACACACATGTATACACATATATGTATGTATCATGTATACACACATGTATACATATATGTATGTATCATATATACACACGTATACATATATGTATATATCATATATACACACATATGTATACACATATATAGTATATATACACATATATAGTATATATACACATGTATACACATATATGTATATATCGTATATATACACACATATGTATGCACATATATGTATATATATCGTATATATACACACATGTATGCACATATATGTATATATATCATATATATACACACATATATCTATATGTATATCTACATATATCTCATGGAATACCACTCAGCCATAAAAAAATGAAATAATGGCATTTGCAGCAACCTGAATAGAGTTGAAGACTATTATAAGTGAAGCAATTTAGAAAACCAAGCAGCGTATGTTCTCACTTTTTTATAAGTGGGAGCTAAGCTACAAGGATACAAAAGCATAAGAATGATATAATGAACTCTGGGGGCTCTGGGGGAAGGGTGGGAAGGGGGTAAGGTACAAAAGACTACACATTGGGTACAGTATACACTGCTTGGTGATGGGTGCACTGAAATCTCAGAAATCACCACTAAATAACTTATTCGTGTAACCAAATACCACCTGTTTTGCATAAACTATGGAAATAAAGAAATTATAAATTTTTGATTAAAAATCATAGTAAATTCAGTGTTTCATGCCTATTTACCTTTTTCATATTTGTATTACCAGTTTTGTCATTTAGTTATAATATTCAATACGTTTACATCATTTTCAGTGGGGTAGTTTTATAGGATCATGTAGTAACCACCATAACCAAGAGAGAGATCACCCTCCTCACTCTAAAATTTTCTTGCTGTCCTTCTGCAGTTGACCTCCTCCCTCCATTCTCACTCAACCTCTGACCATCACTGATTTGTTTTTCTGTCACTATTTTTTGTGTTTTTCAAAATTTTGTAAGTGTATAATAAATAGGTATTCTTTTGTATTTGACTTCTTCAGCTTAGCAATATCACTATCTTAACAATATTTAATTTTCCACCTATAAACACAACATATCATTTCATCTTCTAATTGTTCATTGCAGGTATAGAAATGTAATTAATTTTTATATTAACCTTATATTCTGTAACATGTTAAATTCACTTATTAGTTTCAGTAGTTATTTCATAGACTCTTGGATTAACTATACATAATTATGTCATCTGCAAATAAATATCACTTAAATTCTTCCTTTCCAATTGATTTGCATTTCATTTTCATTTCATTTGTACTTCATTTTCTTGCTTTATTGTGCTAACAATAATGTTAAAAAGAAATAGTGAGTATAGATATTGTTTATTTGTTCTTGATTTTTAGTAGAAAGCATTTAGTTTTTCACTGTTGATCATGATCCTAGTTGTAGGCTTAGATAAAAGGCACTAAGTAAGAAAATTTCCCACTATATGTAGCTTGTTTATGGTAACTTGTAGATATTCTGGATTGCATTATTTTTCTTTGAACACTGTTTCTCTGCTTTTAAAACAACAAATGTAGATGCCTTTAAGCCAATTTAAATAGGAGTTTTCCTTATTTAGAGCTGGAAGAGATTAAGTTATATGATACATTTAATATCAACAAATGGGCATATATAATATGAATCCCAGTAGAGAGGGCTCATAATCAATGATTAACATGTGAATCATTAAAGAATGTACAGTGACATTGTTAATCCTTAGAGAAAACTTACTTTTGGCTTGCACTTGCTCTGTGTGTGTGTGTGTGTCTGTGTGCATGCATGTAAGGAAGTGGGTGTGTGGTAGAAGGGGCAGGACAGGATTACTTTGAGTGTTGTTCAAATTTAACATTGGCAATACTTTTTTTTGGTAGAGATGTGATCTCACCGTGTTGGCCAGGGTGGTCTTGCACTCCTAGCCTCAAGCAATTATCCTGCCTTAGCCTCCCAAAGTGCTGGGATTACAGAGAAGAGCCACCACATCTGGCCAGCAATAAAAATTTAAAAAGCATTTTAATGTATGCACATACGTTAATAGGTACATATTTATACTGTGTATAATTACAATGTATTTCTAATGTATGTTTATAATGTATATAATTATAGTTTTTATAAAGTACATAAGTCAAAGAGTAATATAAACAAATGTTTGTAGTATGTATGCCCCATTTAGATTAATACAATAAAAACATTTTAAGATGTAGTGGAATACATATTTGATTTTAGCCTTACATTTTCTTTTTCTGTTTAACCATATGTAAATACTAGTGGTGTTGGCACAACTGAAGGTCCAAAAATGTGTTTATGCTTGCAAGGGGTCCCAATAAAGGTGAGTGACACTTTGGGGAGGACAAGATTAAGTCTACCTGTTTGTATTGCCTGACTCTGGTTGTGGTATATTACCGCTTCCATGCTGTCTCATATGTAAATAACTAGATAAGCTCTTAAAGAGGTTTGAAGTAATTGTCACTCTGAATAAATTTAATAGGTGTTGAACAGGATAAAGAAGAGATAAAGTTCCCAGGTTTATGAAAAATGGAACAGGAGAGCAGAAAGAGCATGGCCTTTGTAGTCTGACCTGGTGACTTACCTAATTTTATAGCTTCTTCTTGTTCTTTTATAGCATTTAAGGAACTTATCTTTTACAGGTATGAAAATTAAATAAGATTATAGTATTATGAAGTTTAATAAATGATAGCTTTTTATGATTCTTATAATAGACAATCTAACATTATAAGAACATAATGAAATTTATCAAGAGAAGAAATTATATTGTTAAAGACAATAGAAAGTAGATAATTTGGAACTGAATAAAATGGGATTTGAATCTGAATTAAACTAGTTCACTTGAGGCCTTGCTTAAAGCACAGACTTACTCTATAAGAAACTTAAATATTTAATTAACAGTAAATAAGAATAGCCATAATAATTTTACTATTTAGTTGTATTAAGCCATTCCTGCTTTGCTGTAAAGAAGTACCTGAGACTGAGTAATTTATAAAGCACAGAGGATTAACTGGCTCACAGTTCTGCAGGCTGTACAAGAAACATGGCTTCTGGTGAGGCTTCAGGAAGCTTTTACTCATGGCAGAAGGTGAAGCACAAGTTTGCACATCACATGGCAACAGCAGGAGCAAGAGGATGGAGGGGAGATGCCACACACTTTTTTTTTTTTTTTTTTTTTTTTTTTTTTAGACAGAGTCTCGCTCTGTTGCCCAAGCTGGAGTGCAGTGATGCCATCTTGGTTCACTGCAACCTCCACCTCCTGGGTTCAAGTGAGCCTCTCAACTCAGCCTCCCAAGTAGCTGGGATTACAAGGGTGTGCCAACACACCTGACTAATTTTTGTATTTTAAGTAGAGACAGGGTTTCATCATGTCGGCCAGGTTGGTCTCAAACTCCTGACCTCAAGTGATCCACCCACCTCAGCCTCTCGAAGTGCTGGGATTACAGGTATGAGCCACCGCGCCCAGCTGGAGATACCACACACTTTTAAACAACCAGATCTGATGAGAACTCACTATTACGAAGGCAGCACCAAGCCCTGAAGGATCATCCTCTGTGACCCAAACATCTCCCACCAGGCTCCACCTCCAGCACTGGGAATTACAATTCAACATGAGATTTGAGTGGGGACAAATATCCAAACTGTAATAGTAGTTATACAAACAAAAACAGTAAGCATACATGTTATCAGTTTGGAATTTAGTGATTATTTGCTATATTGACATACCTTTTGCAATAATTGTTTAAAAGATAATCCAGCATAATATTATATATGTATACACACAGCCATATATGATTTATATTTAGCATAAGATTTATACTAAAATGACTAAGTTGGAGTCAAGTCTAAATTTGTTCTTCCTATGACTCATGCCACCAGACAGGCATAATCATGAGGTATGTAAAAAATTCCTATGAACGCAACTCTGTCAAAGAGAAAAGATGATCAGAGAATAAGGTAAAACCTGCTTCTAGGGACAGATCTGGGAAATCTGGCCCAAATTTGAAAGCACAGCAAAAGAAAAGCAGACCTAAGAGGTTCAGCACACAGGACCTGTGTTATGCAAAGAAAATAAGACATGCTTAGTAGTCAATCTGGGTGACAGTTGAAATCTGGAGAAGTTTGTGGGTGGTAATTGTCTATGTGGATTTTTTTTTTCCACAAGGGTTTCTCTGCTAATGGGGAATCAGGGGCAGGGAGTGGATACAAAGAAAGAAAATTTAAGGCAGAATACAAATAATAGAGGACAAAACGGTGGAAGGTAATTTTGTACCTGGATTCCAGCAAAATAGGCTACTTTGGATAACAAAAAGGTAAGTCTTAGGTACTGGAGGAGAGTACGTTAGAGTTTATGGGAGAATCAGGTATCCTGTGAAATGTGGTTAAAGGTAAACATATTAACCTATGTGATTAGAGCCAAAATAAGGTAAAGTGTAGGAGTATGCATGTGGGATTTTCTCTAGGCAGTGATGCATGCCCTTTTTAAAAAGGTGGAGCTTGTGTTAAGTGAGTGAATATTTTTAGAAGAAACTTGTTTTTCTGTAGATGCAGAAGGAACATTTTCTGTTGAAACTGTCCATTCCAGATCTGTAAAATAGATGTGTAGTAGACACATCATCTTTATTGCCCCATTACATTTTTCAAAATGATAGGGTCCCCAACCCAGTAAAAATAATTTGATTCACTGTGATTTACAGGTAGAGAGATAGAGAAAATCTAGTAGTTCTACAGAAATATTTTAAGAGAAAAAAAATCACATTCTCACATGGACTCAAATTCATTAATAACAAAGTCTGCCGTAGTTAATGAGGAGCTTTTAGAATCACTATTTTTTAAACCTGCATGATGTTTACATGTATTGATAGATTGTTGTGCTTGAGGAAGAAATGAAACATGAAGATCACAGCTGAATAATTCAGTGCTAGATTTCAAGGGTAGAAACTGTTTTACATTGATGAGGTGTATAGAATTTCTTTAGACTTCATAAAGAGCAGAAGATAAGCTTTCATTCATCTGATGACAAAACAAGACAAGTAGATATATTTGGGTACTCTAACTTTGCATAAAGTATGTGATCAACTCCTTTCAGTGGAGTACATCATTTAAAAATGATTACTATCACAGCTGCTACAGTGATGAAGGGGGTTCCGTAAGAGTTCTATTTTCAGGTATATAGCATGTTATGACATTTTGTAGGATAGATTTTTACTTGCTTTTTCATCTGAAAAATTTAGATTACTCATCTATACCCCAATTACACCACTGAAGATGAAGATTTATGTCTCAGAACAATGTATATATTTTATAGCAACAGACTGGAGAGTGACAGCAGGCTAGTACACACTATTATGGAAATGGTAACCTAGGAATAGATTGCAAAGCAATTCTTAATCATATGCAAAAGGCACTCTCAGTAAGCTTGCAAACAAGACAAAACTATAAATTCTACCATAACATATAAAAATAACAAATCATGATAGAAATCACAGCTGTTTCATGGGTGCAATGAAAAAAAACTTGCTAAACATGAAAAATGAGTTAATTTTAATTTTATCCTTTTTTTCCACAAACTATAAGTGAAGAGACAAAAGGTGGTCAAAAATAGTATATCCCGAGAGTGAAATCAAAGAAAATACCTCTTGTCTACAAACTTCTATAAATAAAAATTAGGTAATATTTTTAAAGTAGCCCATTAAAGTACCATTCTGAACTGGGTGACTTTGGAAAAAATCACACAGAAAATATGTATTATAAGCTGAGATTTTCTCTAGATGAATTTTCATAGTCTATGCATAATATAAGTGAAATAGCTGTACAGAAAAATCCAGGTGTGAAAGAGTCAGAAGTTTCTGATGGTGGGAATCAAGCCATGACTCAAGCATACTGTGAGTGTGCTTCCTGGATTGAGTAAACCTGGAATCACTCTTCCATTATAAAAGCAAATTGTATAAAACACATCCACTATCTAGCAGTGTTCAGCAAAACACATCATTAATAAAAGGAAATGCTGTAATTAACAAAAATTCAGTAATAATGATCATCAAAAGTTACTGAGCATATACAATGTTTCAGGAATTTTTCTAAGCATTGTACATATATAATTTAATTTTCACATTAGCCTCATAAGCTGGGTACTATTTTTTAAACGTTAATTTTGCTGTAGTAAATGCTGTATAACATAAAATTTACCCCCTTAATAATTTCTAAGTGTACAATTCAGTAGTGTTGAGTGTATCCACATTGTTGTGCAACCAATATCCAGAACATTTTTTATTTGGCAAAACTGAAAGTCTACACTAATTACACAACTCCTTATTTTCATCTCTCTGAAGTCCCTGGCAATTACTGTCTTACTTTGTTTCTATGAATTTGACTACTCTAGATGCCTCATATAAGTGGAGTCATATAGTCTTTGTCTTTGTGAGTGATTAATTTCACTTAGTATAATGTCCTCATGGTTCATTCATGTTGTAGCATAAGTGAAGATTTATTTCCTTTTTAAGGCTGAATAACCCATTGCATGCATATAACACATTTTGTTTATCTACTCATCTGTTGATGGACCCTAGAGTTGCTTCTGCTTCTTGGTTATTGTGAATAGTGGTGTTACGAGCACAGCCTTGCAAGTATCTGAGATTCTGCTTTCAATTCTTAAGAGTAGAGTTGCTAGGTCATGGGGTAGTTGTATTTTTACTTTTTCTAAGAAACTACCACGTTGTTTTCCAAAGTGGCTGCACTGTTTTATATTCACAGGGTTCCAATTTCTCAGCATGCTCACCAGCACTTGTTATTTTCTAGCTTTTGTTTGATAGTAGCCATACTTATGGGTATGAGGTGGTATCTCATTGTGGTTTTGATTTACATTTCCTGAGTACTATTTTTAGCCTTATTTTTCAGATGGAGAAGCTATGCCCCAGAGAGGTTATGTAATTTGTGCAAAGGCACCCAGTTCAGGATGGAGCTTAAAATCCAAACACTCTGCCTTCTATGCTTGAGTTTCTGACTCCTGCTTTGCAGTCAGCAATTACAGTCATATTGAAAAAGTGAAGATTTCTGTGCAAGAGCAATCATAACAGAGTAGCTGGTTGATATATACTCTGTACTGGAAATATGAAAGTAGAGAACAATAGAGAGATTGTGAGTTCACCTTAATTGACACCAAAACTGATGAACAGAAATGGCTGGTTTGTCAGAGATTGCACAAGTCAGTGTGTGAATAAAAAGAGTAATGGATAATAAAGGAAGACCAGAAGAAAAACATTTTTCTTAGTCACATTTGGATAGATTTTCTGTAGCTCACGACATGGAAATTGGTAATGTTGTCAATGTGGAAATGTGGCAAATCATACTAGCCTCACACTGGGTGTTATTTGTGACTTACGTGTAAACAAATGCTTGGATGAACGATTTAATTAATATTATATTTAGGAATTTAGATTTACTCATTCTCTTTTAACCTCATTGTTGTCTTTCTTAAGTCCCAAGTTTTAAAGAAATATCAGAATATTTTACAAATGTATTGACCAGGTGACTCTCATTTAAACATTTCTGTCAAGATTCAAGATTCCAATGTCTTTTTTTGGAAATTCAGTGAGTGGCACATAGCTTAAAAATCAGAATGAATACTCAGCAATTACCACCTATTATGCCAAGCTTTCTGCTACATCTTTCACATGTAATGATCTCATTTAATCCGTGCAAATCTACTTAGCAAAGATATTAACAATACAGTTGAGAAATTCCATGCTATATGCAGTTATTACCCCAAGTCTAAATTCTACTTATGAAAGATACAAAATTCAAATCAATTCTAATCTGGAGTAAAATCAGTGTTCTAACCAAATAAGCCTGCCCATCATTTATTTGTTTATATCATCATTTAGTAATTTATCATACTTTAGTAAATGTCTTTCATATGTCAAACGAAAAAGACAAATAAGACACAGCCTCTGATTTCAGTGAGAATGAAGTCAACTTAATAGGCTTTGTACACGAAATCTACAAATAAAAGATCATAACAAACTTCAGTTAATGGATAGGATAAACCCACTTCTCCCAGAACAACTGGAAAAATCCAAATAAATCATAAAGATTATATTGTTAAAGACTCCAGAGTGTTGTAGAAACAATGACCACAGGATAAGTTGAAATTTCATGGAGGAGGACCTTTAAGATAAGCTGACTGCCACTGGACTTCTTTATTTTTATCCTGAGGTTTGCTTTTGATATATGGGAGGCTCAATAAATGATAGCCATTAGGATGATGATGGGGAGGAAGGGGAGGAGGAGAATAATGGTGATTAACTGTTTCATAACACGTAATATTTGTTTCTGGAAAGGTATATTTCTCTGGTTGTTAGCTCATTTGCAGAACCATTTTGACAGATATACTGAGGCCAATGAATAATTACCTCCTTCTATCATACAATGTCATCTCCACCCAGATCTCAGTTTGTTTTTGATACATCTCATGCAAAAGAATGCTCATCCTAGACTTTCTCACTATGTTTTTGGCAATAATGCATATGATAGCTCCAATAACATTACTAGACTGTATTTACCATTAATAAAGAGGTTGTCCCTTCAAAACTTATTTCAATTCTTCATTATACAAACAACATAAGCAAGATTTTCCTTTCTTCTTAATTCCCTCCTTACTATTAAAATTATTTCAAAAGCTGTCATAAATTGTTCCCTTGTAAGTATACAAAGACAGCTGTTAACAGTATGTTCTCTCATGTGTACAAATTCTCATGTTTAAGTACTCTTATGAAAATCCTCAAGGTACAGTACAAAAAGGAAGTTTTTAAATGTGATTTTCGCTAAAGGCAAATTGCATTGAAACTTATTGGCTTTTTACTACACTAGAGCATTTTCTCTTTGAAATTTGCCACTAAAAGCTTTACAATATTTTGCCAGGTATAGTTTTTAATTGTCTTAAATAAGTGCTGAATCCTTTCTCCTTAGGGAGGAGTGGTTGGCAACAGAAACAAGATAATTATTCCTCAATAAATTGTTATTTTTAGGACTTTAAAGTTTCTTTTAATTCTCCAAAAGTGTTCTGATGCAGCAGTTTTTATAAGGAAAACATGTGTGACATTTCTTTCATGACAAAAATGAACAGAGAAGAGTGGAGGAAATATTAATGAATCTCAATGTCATGGATATGGAAATTTTTTTGTGCCTCTTCTATCTTCCATTTCAAATATGATACATATAACATGTTGATCACTTATTCAAAACTGAAGAGTTTTTTCCCTTTGCAAGAAATGTTTATATTTCTTTATTTCTCTGTTAAAGCTTCCATACATTCTAAGTCTTTCTCACAACACCTTTAGTCTTTCTGCAAGGAAATGAGTAAGTATGGAATATCATTCATACTTTCTCATATTTTTTCACAAACAACACCTTCTAGGGTACATCTGTAAAGTCAATACCTGTTAAATAACAAAACGGAATAGTTCTGTGAATTGTTTTTCTGGCAGCATGTTAGCTCTGGTGGTCCTTAAAGCCCATTGCAAAGAGTTGCTAAAAGCTGCCTTCAGGCTGCAGATGGTGAAAAGGAAGAGGAGAGTACATTTGGGCTGATATTGCCTGAGATGCTTTAAGGATTGGCTCTCATAGTCACTGATCGAAGAGATGCTCAAATGTCAGGATGCTCAGGGATGTGACCTCGGATTCCTTGCAGAAACTTCCGTGTGTATCACTTAATGTGATTAACAAAACTTGCTGATGCCACATTGTTGATGGCTCTAGTTTTGAAAATGGCAATTGTGTTTTGTATTTGTGCTTCTGAATATCATAATTTATTTTAATTTCTTCTTCTCTATTTATTAGTTTTGTGCAAAACAATCATGACTTTTGCCATTACTTCAAAAACCGCAATCACTTTTGTACCAACTCAATATATGATCTTTTAAATTTCATACAATATTTCAACCTTGTGCCTTCTTATTAGTGACAAAAATATCTCTTGAATAAAATAAAAACTTCAGATTGGCATAATTTGTGTAATATTCTTTGTGACTGTGAAGTCTGTTTTAACAACAACCAAAAAGCTTTACTATGAAAAGACAATACCTATTGTACCTAGAGTCTTAAGACAGCTCAAAAAATATTGTTTCTAATATTTTTTATTTTTAATTTTTGTGGGTACAAAGTAGGTGTATATATTTATGGGGTACGTGAGATGTTTTGATGCAGGCATACAATATGAAATAAGCACATCATGAACAAATGGATTTCCATTCCCTCAAGCATTTTTTCATTGAGCTGCAAACAATCCAATTACACTCTTTAAGTTATTTAAAAATGTGCAGTTATTATTGACAATAGTCACCCTGTTGTATTATCAAAGAATACTGTTCTTTTAATTGCAACATTTAGATCCACCAATTGAAGGATTATAGAAGGTTACTTATCATATACCCTATAGCAAACAGGGTACAAGTTAATTTTCAAGATACCTTATTAGTTCTGTGGCCAATACCTCCATACATATTTATTTCTGAAAAGCATCCTCTTGGCAGCCCTGAAGTTAGTGAAATGAGACCACTTGTATTCATTTTGGTTTTCAGATACTATTTTAAGCAACTGCATTTTTTACTCACATAATTAAGTCCCTGGATAAATTGATGAAGGAAATAAAGCTTTACCTGAGTCTTTCTAAAGTAACTTGAATTTTCCCAGCTACCACTAGCCTATGGGTATAAATGAGTCTACATTTATGCCAATACTATTATCTTCTAGATTCATCTTCTCTATCAGCTCAACTCTAGAATACTGGCAACTATAGAAGTCTTTGCATCCCTTCTAACTAATATGAGTATTCTCACACATTCTTTGGAACAAAGTCACTTTTTCTCAAAACTTTTGGTGTTCAAGAGACAACTGCTGCCTTTCAGTAGCCATTCCTTCTCCCCACCGCTGTGCTTCCAGGACTGCATTACATTTATTTTTGTAACCCTGGGAAGTATATAACATGTGGTTTAATTGAGTTTTCATTTAAGTAAGACATAATTTAGATATTTAAAAAATTAAGAAGCTTAGGGATGTTAGGTAGGGTATATGAGTGCTACATTTTTTTTTTTTTTTTTACTTTTTAGTATTGAGTCATTCAGTACTGTCCAAAACTAAAACATGTAGTTAAAAAATAATTATTACTTGTGCTAAGAATTTAGATAGGTAAACACATATTTACTAAGGGCCTCTTCTATACCAGGGTCTGTACTGTATGACTAAGGGCTTTATAAATTGATAATACAAGGGGTGCTGTGAACAGGGAGAGTGTGCCCTAAAACTGGAGGTGATTCTTCTCTGCTCTATTTTAGTCATATATTCCGATCATAAGAGAAAAGTAGAGGAAAAAAAATCCCCCTGTAACATGATTTATTCTATTGAAAATGACCTTGTGAGAGCATCATATTATTCATATTGGGGAAAAAAGTGCTTCTTTTCTGTTTCAAAGGGGCTTAGAAAAAAATGGGATTTTGTCTATTCTTTAAAGGTCTACCTTTGTTTGGTTCACACAGAAGCTGCACAGCTGTTTCAACTGAACCTTGATATAGAATTTGCTGGGAAAAAATCCATTTGCTAAATCAAAGCAGTGTGATATTATTCCTCTATAATTATATAACAATTAGAGATACAGAGATTTCTGTAAGCCTCAGAACTGGCTCTGATGCACTAAAAATCCCATGAGACAGTTCTGTAGGATTTTGGCATGATATTAACCTACAAGGACATTTGTCTTACATCTTGCCTTCCTGCATCCTCCCATCCTGGAGCTCATCCCAGCTTCTGGATTTAAGCTCCCAAATGTTGATTATCTTAAGGGAGATATAGAAAGTAAAATGGATAATCTGTTCTACTGATGTATTAAGCTTGATTTTAACGTGTCTTGAGCCAAAAAAATCTTTCCGTACCAAATTTTATATACAGATATGTTTCCAGGAAACTTACTGGAGTGTGGTAAATTATTGAAATTATTGAATGAATTTGATTAATTCATGTGTGAAAGACAAACAGATCTAAATTTTGTAAAAATAGTAATTATCATGACTTTTCCAATAAGGATTTTGAAGATATGGTTATTTATCTTGTAATTTTACTTGATTATGTATTTTACTCTACTATGGTATTTGACTATACTGTGTATAATTACTATTCATTGATACTGTACACTTGATACAAAATCTGAATGTACCTTATTTTTTTTTTAGAAATACACTTGACTTTTCCAAGTTTATACTCTAAGAAAATTTGCAAAAAGATGGGCAGATGAAACAACATCATACAAAACTTCAAATTTAGGAAATTGCTAACAAAATGGGTACTTTTGGATATTATTCAAAATTCTATTTTTTAGTAAAATTTTTGAAGTATACTTACTTTTTAAAGTAGAAAAATCTCAAAATGAAATTGAAATTAGGAACGAGTCATTTTTTTTCTTTCTATGCCAGGCTCTTTCACTTAGGGCCTTTTATACTGTGCCTCTCAGACAGAATTATCCCTCATAGGTCAAGCCTCCAAAAGTTTATTTAGGATTACGTCTAAACTACTTTGAAAATAATTTTCTGTATGCATAGGGGCTGCCTGCCTGATGTTGAGTTTGTTCTGCTAGCCAGTAAGAATTATTTCAATCTGAAGATGATGGTTCCTTCCTCAAACTTATGCTACTTTTATCCCCTGTCAGATATTCATAGGAAAATCTTGACGATTAAGATTTTTCTGTCACCAGGCAAATGTGGAGGTTTACAGTACAGAGAAGAAGATGGGGAATAAAGAAGGTTAGAATTCAGAAGCTAAAAATCCAAAAAAAAAAAATCTTTCTATTGGCTTTATTCTAAAACATTTTTATTTTCAATTGAGCTTAGATAAAACCTTTGTACTTGGCATTATATGCACTACCCTATTATTTTTTCAAGTCATAAATACCAATTAGAAAAACACAAAACCAAATTATGCATTTTAAATTGTGTGCATATTTGTTAAAAGATGCAACTGTATTTCTGTATTTATTTTTGAGGTATAATTGAGAAAGATATCAGTTTTTTATTTAGACCCAGAATAAAGTAAGTAGAACTGGCATAGATTCTGGTATGTGCCATTTTCTTCTCTTTCTCCCAATTCGTTACAGTTTATGTAACTTTGGGGTATAGCTTCTGCAGTCTGATTTCCAAATTTCCATCTATGTGACTGATGAACAAAAGTGGTTGAGTTTAATCTCAAATTTCGATAAATTCATAGACTACAAATCATTTTTTAGTAAGAATTGTAGAGACACAATAGAAGAGACTGGAGAATATATTTCAAGTATTCCTAACTTGAAAGTACTAAGTTTACTGATTTTACTAATAAGAAAAATATCTATTATTCTTTACAGTTTTTGGATTTTTAGCATCTATGTGGTTGTGCTTTTAATTTTTTCCTGTATGAGGTAACTGCAATGTATGTGGATAAGTTATTTTACAATGACATTTCTCTATGAACCAGAGTTACGCAAATCCTAAACTTTAGAAACCCTCAGATTTCTAGTTTATGTCCTTTTGATGGGATCAAAAGAGGAAACAAATTTAATAACTGTCATATAATTAGTACTAGAGACATTTTATATACTTATGTAATTTGGAATATGGATAACATAATGGTAATTTATTATTTGTTTTTACTATCTATTTCCATGCAAGATGAAATAAAATATGTGGACATCTTATAACTAAGCATGATATTTTTCCTAAATGATATTTTGTATATACCATCATCGTGTTAAATATAAAAACACAATAAGCAATGAGTAAATTTAACATGGTTAGCAAATATATTTCATTAATGACACAAGAGAAAGTCTTTTAGAATAAAAAAACTCAGAATCTGTAATTCTTTTTCATTATTAAAGCTCAGTAAATAAAAGTTGTTTAATTAAAGACCACATATTTTCATGTTTTCTTTCTTTTAGATCATTTATAATTATATAAACCCACTGTTTTTTTTATTGGCTTCTAAACATGTTAACTTGTCAATGATAATTATCCTTAACATAATACAACCTACTTATTATAATCAAAGTGTAGGACTTTTGAAGGCATATAATGAGGGTAGAGTGTATTAACTCTGTCTTTTAAGCGTGATAGACATTTAAATCAATACCAAATACAATTAATAACAATTTTAGATAATCAGAAAAAAGAACATGACTGGTGTTGCCCAAATAGCAACTGTGATCATCCCACTGAGGCTGTATATCAAACAATAGGCTGTTCTTTAAATCACTTGGCACCCAACCCTGACTTTATCAAATAAATGTTTCTTATAAAATTCTACAGAGAATTGTTTTCTGCATAACATCAGCTCTTCTATTATAGAACCATAAATATGCTGTTTTCATGAACTGCATATCTGACCTTGAAAATAAGGTCATGATTCAAAGTTATTATATTTCAATTTCCTGAAAGAATGCCATGAAAATATATAGCCTCTTGTTACTGCCTGATTGTTAAATTTGATAGGGCAGTCATGAAAATAAATGCTGTCTTGCATCATCAGTGCTTAAATGTATCTGCATGGATCTAAAGAGAACCACTTAGAAGCCAAAATGAGAGAAATGCCATAAGTAGAATGAGAAATTTAATTTAGTTTGCTTCTGATTTTTATTTATATTCACAAAAATGGATGTTTGTGGTGCAATTTCTGGACATATTTCACGTAGGGCTCTGCTTCTGTTTTCTTAGAACAGAAGTTAAGTGAATAACAGAAGAAAGGATTGATAAAGAAATAACGTGGGTTCTCTGATTTAGTTTCAACTGTGTTTAGTCATAGGACAATTAGTTGTGTTATATGTGTCACCATATGTGTGTATTATGTTGATTTTTTGAACAAAAAATTATCCACATGGTTCAAATATGGGTCTTTCTCTGATCAGACTATTAGGAAAATCTTATCATATATGAGACTGCTTTATGTTACCTCCCACATTAAGTAAGTGTGACCATATGTGGTCTCAGCAGACTATAAAGCACATGCAAAGCCCTCTACTCGAAAACCTTTGCAACTGTATCATTATAGCAGCAATGTATTATTTCAGGCCTAGCTCAAGATTAAGTTATTCTATTAAATAATATAACATGTACATAGAAAACATGCATAACATGCATAAAAGTTGTATATAACTTACGTATCAAAATCATAGCTAATAATAAAACAAACATTGAGTGCTTACTCCCTCAATTCTATTTTTGTGCCTTTCCCTCAGAGGTAAACATGATTTTGGATTGTTTCCTTATCATCTACTGGCTGTAAATATCAGTCATCACATATGCATATATTCCTAAACAATATTTTATTAATTTTTCCTATTTTAAATGTCATTATACAATGTATTTTCTTAAGCAATTTATTTTTTTCCTCAGCCAACAATACTATCCTAAAATTCATACATATTGTTGAATGTAGCTTTTGTTTAATCTTTGTCAGTGCTATATAATTATATTCCACTGTGTGACTGAATATGCTATCATTTATTTATACACTATTCTCTGATGGACACTTGGGGGGTTTCCAGTTTCTCAGTATTACAAACAATCCTCTTATGAATATCTTTATACTTGTCTGCTGGAGCACAGGTGTGGACATTTTCTTAGGTCCTCTATATATGTGGCCTTTTTTTTTTTTTTTGATACAGAGTCTCACACTGTTGCCTGGGATGGAGTGCAATGGTGCATTCTCGGCTCACTGCAACCTCTGCCTCCTGGGTTCAGGTGATTCTCCTGCCTCTGCCTCCCTACTAGCTGGGATTACAGGCGCCCGCCACGACTCTCGGCTAATTTTTGTATTGTTAGTAGAGATGGGGTTTCGCTATGTTGGCCAGGCTGGTCTCGAAGACCTGACCTCATGCCTCGGCTTCCCAAAGTGCTGGGATTACAGGCATGAGCCACTGCACCTGGCCGTGCTTGGTTTTAAAAGATAATGTTGGATTGTTTCTATTGTGTGAGAATCACTTTTTTTTCTGCCACCAGCAATACTTACCAGATCTTATTACTTCCACTCTTAGCCAATATTTAGTATTATATGCATCGACAATAGACTTATTCAAAGTGAATGCAATAGTATAAAGCTGATTTATAGGGTTTCATATTCCACATTGAAAATAACTTATAAAAACTGCCACTTAAAAAGAGTACAACATATCCCTCCCTATTCAAAATACATGTGCATGATATTAGATTTTCCTCATAAACATATCACAACAAATTAAACACAGAAATAAATCTGAGAATCCGGCTGTCTCTTATTAAGCCAGACATTAATAGATTTGTAAAAATGTGAAGCAATGCTACTCTTTCACTAAATTAATTTTGTTTTGAAATCTATAATACTTTTTATAAAATATATTTTTGTTAAAGTATGACACATCTGTTATTTTGTGAAAGACAGTAAAATTTTAATATATCCTCATCTGTATAATACAAACATTTATTTAACAGACTCTTTTAGAGAAATTTTAAATATATGAAAAAGTTAGTTTTTAATGAAATGAAAGTTTGAAGTTATTATTTTAATGTTTATTGTTCAATGTTTTAATTTTTTACAGTGTAAATTTATAGCAAACCAAATATCAATACATATAACCCATAAAAAACAAAAAGATATTTTGGGTCCTCAATAATTTTTTGTTTTGGTTTGTCAGCTTTATTGGGATATAATTTATAAAACTAAAATTTACCAGTTTTGGGGACATTATTCAATGATTTTGCCAAACGCGAACTGCTGTGTAATCATCATTGCAATCATAACATAGAACATTTTTATTTCCTCAAAAGTTCTTCCTCCCATCCACCTTGGCAAGCACTAATCTGCTTTGTATCAGTATATCTTTGCCTTTTCTATAATTTTAAGAAATTCAATCATATAGTTTGTAGTGTTTTCATCTGGCTTCTTTCACTTTGAATACTTTTGAAGTTCATTCATGTTGTTGCATCTATTAGCAGTTTGTTCTTTTTACTGATGAGTAGTATTTCATTGTTTACATATACCACAACTTGTTCACACATATATCAGTTGGTGGACATTAGTTTTTTTCCGTTTCGGGGTACTAAAAATAGTGTTTTTATGTGTATCATGTCACATTTTTGTATAAAAATGTGTTTTTCTTTTGGGTTAAAAACCTAGAAATGGAATTTCTGGGACATAAGATATGTAATTGCTTAACATTACAAGAAACTCACAATCTTTCCCAAAGTAACTACCATTTTGCATTTTAACTTACTATGTATGAGCGTTTCAGTTGTATCACATCATTTTCCAAAGTTGGTTTTGTCAGTTATTTTAATTTTGGTCATTCTGGTATACACATTATAGCATTTACTATTTCTTGGATTTACATTTCCCTAATGACTAATAATATTACATATCTTTTTATGTGTTTGCCATTTGTATGTATTCTCTGGTGAAAAGTCTCTTTAATTCAACATTTTAAATTTTGGGCTCTGTGCATTTTTATTACTGCATGATAAGGATTATAGTCATTCCAGGACTCCTCACTGATGCCAAAATCTGTGGATAATCGAGTGCCTTATGCAAAATGGCATAATATAGACATACAAAATATGTACATCTTTCCACATACTTTAAACCATTTCTATATTACTCATAATATCTAAAACAATGCAAACGGTATGTAAATCATTGTTATGCTTTTTTATTGTTGTATTGCTATTTTAATGTATTTATTTATTTTTAGTATTTTCAAACTGTGGTTGATTGACTCCACATATGCAGAACCTATGAATATGGAGGTTTGACTGTGTTTATGTATTTAGGATATAAGTCCTTTCCTGGATATGTAGTTTTCAAATACTTTCTCCCATTCTCTGACTTGTTCATTTTCTTAACAGTGATTTTTGAAGCACACAATTTTACATTTTGATAAAGTTTAATTTACTTTTTATATCTTACTTAATAAATTCTTGCCCATTCAAAGCCACTTGGATTTTTCAAGTGTTCTATTTTAGAAGATGTAATGTTTTTCCTGCTATTTTTATGTCCTCAATCTATTTGGAGTTAATTTTGGAACATAATCTGTGGTAAAGGTCAATCTTTGTATCTTTGCATATGGATACCCAATTGTTTCACCACTACAGTTTGAAAAAATTATTCTTTGACCATTGAGCCACCTTAGCACTTTGTTGAAAATTAGTTGGTCATGTATGTGGAGGTTTATTTATGAATTCCTTCTTCTGTTCTATGGATCTATGCATTTGTTACATCAAACTACATTGTCTAGATTATTGTAGCTTTATAGTAAGTTTTAAAATTATATAGTATAAATCCTCCACCTTTGTTGTTGTTATAATTGTTTGATTTAGTTTAGATCCATTGCATGTACACATAAAATCTTAATTAGTTTGTGAGTTTGTACAAAAAAAAGAGTGATTTTAATTGGTATTTGTTGAATTTACAATCAATTTTGGGAAGGACTACCATTTAATAATATTGAATCTTTGATTCATGTTTGGTTATATCTTTCCATTTCTTTGTGCCTTTTAAAATTTTTCTCCAAAATATTTTGTGTATTTTACTTTACATGTTTTGATCATATTTTGTCAATGTATCCCTAAGATTTTTCATTTTAATGTGATTTAAATGGTAGTTTTCTTTAAAAATTAATTTCCTATTTTTTGTTGCTGAAATATAGAAATACAATCGATTCTGTACACTGAACTTGTATCCTGTGGAATTGCTAAGTTAATTGTTTAGATCTTGTAACATTTTCTAGGTTACTTCAGATTTTCTACATAAACTTCCATGTTATCTGTAAATAAAGACAGTTTTACATACGTCTTTCCAATTATCATGCCTTTTATTTCTTTCTCTTGTATTATTTCCCAGAACTATGACCTTCAATGCAATGTTGAAGAGGTTGTGAGTACACACCCTTGTCTTTTTTCAAATCTTAAGGGAAAGCCTTCAGTTCTTCGCAATTGAGTATGATGCTACTGATGGTTTTTGTAGGCTCTAGGAATGAGTCTGCCTCAGTATCTCTGCTATGCTGAATCTATACTAGAAAAGTTCCCATACCTAGAAACTTTCTATACCTAGAAAGTATAAAAAGCATTGAAGAGTGATGGATTCCAAGGGTGGCTGCAGGGGCAGTAGCAGTCAGTTACATTCCCTGCCTTTGGGGATCTGACAGCCACATTCTCATGGTCCCCTGAGCTGGACATTTTTTGGAAGATACAAAATGTAGCATTCTGTGAAATAATTTCTATTTAAAAATCAGGACTCTCTCGTGGAGAATAGACTTTAGAAAGGCTACTGAGGGAGTGAGAATGCCATTTGGTTGTTGCAGTATTCAGGTGAAAGATGGTGATGACTGGGATTTAATAGTAATGGTAGATATTGTGGGATTTAGAATATATTTTGAAGGTAAAGCTGAAGGGATTCACAGATGGATTTAATGTGGGATAACAGAGGAAGTAGAAAGTCAGTGATCTATCTGCTTTTAACTTGAGGTGCAGGCTGCTAGAGGACAAGCAGGTTTTGGGGTGGTAAGTCCACAGTTCAGTCTTAGGTATGTAAAGTTTTAAATACTTATTGGAGATCTAAATGGAGATATTGAAGGAAATTGCATATATTAGAGAAAGTGCACACTTTAGCCTGGTGAGCCTGACAATGTGGCTAAGAAAATAATAGAGGCTGTAACAGTACAGTATTATGCCCTCCCAAGGCTAGTGTATTCATAGAAATGCCACCTCGTAAGTGTGGAGTCCAGTTTAACTTCCTCTATTTTAATTTAATATTTTTTTATAACATTAATGTGTAGATAAAAGCTCACTGCAAAAGTAGCATATAAATAATGTGCAAAAAATTATAATAATCATGGGAGCAAATTGGCATCAAGGTAAAAAAAGAATTTTTGCTTTCCTTTGATTATACTGTGATTTGGAACAATAGTGAAAAGTCTTATAATTGTGAAAGAATGTCACTGTGGGAATTAAACTAACTAAAAATTCCAGTAAATATAGATGTTGATATATCTTAGCTACATTATCTCAGTTGATATTTCAGCTGTAAAATGCTTTGCTTACTCAATATTAAATTTGAAAATGCAAGGATCATATGGTCCATTGGAAGACCACATGGTGTGCTCTACAATGCCTTGTCCTGCTCCAGGATAGCCACAGAAACGTTTTGTAGCAAGTTCATAATAATAAACTCAGTGACTGCTTTAGGTTCCCCTGACAGGAATGAATCAATTTCCTCACAAACATAGGCGCTGATATAAATATGGCCACTATTCCATAAAGTTTAACATTCAAATCGATGTCAATTTATTTAATGGCATATCACTTAACATATTGCGTTAGCTTCCATGTTGCAGGTAAAAATACTGAACATTTATTTCTGAAGTGAATGATAATGGTTCATGATGTAAAGCATTCTAAAATTCTAAGCATTCTAAAATATGTGTCAGATTCTGTGGAAACACAGAGAAGCAAATCCTGTAAGACAGTTTTGATCTAAAATATACTGCCAGTCCTTATTTTCTTTGCAAGTTCCACTTAGAGTTCATGTAGTTGATGCTATGGAGTAAAATGTAAGTGATTCCACACACACAAAAGATTAGTTCCCATGTGTTAGGAGACCATTATTTGTATTGAAACACTGGAAATCTTCATATCTGATGGATCCAGGCAATGCTAAACCTCCATGACCCTAATTTAATTTTAGGAAATCCAATTCATTGAGTACTTTCTTAATTTTAGGCAAGATGATAGAAATTTTCCTATCTGTTATATCAGAGGACAATGTTTCCATATTTTTATTATTGTATAATTTATACACAGCAAAATTCAACATTTTAAAGTGCGCAGTTTCTGAAAGTTTTGACAATATATGCGGTTGTGAACTCAGCACAATAATCAAAAAATAGAGTTTCATCATGGCCCCAAATTTCCCCTTCCCTTATATACAATCTTACCTTCCATTCTCAACCTATGGACACCATTGATTTGTGTGTTATTCCTACAGATTGGTTTTCTAGAATGTCATATGAACTAAACCATGTAGCATGTATCCTTCTGAGGCTGGCTTCTTTTACTTAACATGGTACATTTGATATCTACATTACTGGTGGATCATTTGCTCATTTCTTTTTATTGCCAATTAGTATTCCATAATTTGATGCTTATTGGTATGCTTAATTGTAACTAAGTTGAGGTACTATGGTATACACATTCACGTAATGTTTTGTGTGAATAAATTTTTATTTCTAATTTGTTAAACAGCTAGGAATAGAATTTCTGGGTCATATGGTAAGTGAACATTTAATGTCATAAAAGACTGAAAAATTATTTTCCAAAGCGATTGCTCCAGTGTGCATTCCCCTCAATGACGTATGAGGGCTCCAGTTGCTCTGTATTGTCACTAGTACTTGATATGGTCATTATTTTATTTTTAAAGCCATTCTAATAGGTTGTGGTGGTATCTCATTGCAATTTTAATTAGCTGTAGTAAAATTTCAATTGGTATCCTAAAAGAGGCTATGGATAGCCCGTACATAGAAATTTCACATTCAAGTACTTTATTTTAGTTTTGGAAAGTTTAGTTAAGTTCTATGTCAATCAGTGTGCAAATAATATGATTAAGGTTTTTATTTCATCTCTCTGCTTCTCTCTCTTCATTGTTATGAAGTGTCATACACAAAATGGCTACAATTCTGAAGGAGGGAAAAAAGAGACTAGGGCTTTCCTAATAAATAATTTATATGGTTGGATTTTGAATATTTGGGAAATTGCCAAATAACTTGTTATTTTTTTCATATCCTTGACACATGAAAATATAACTTTGATATAGTTTGGATGTTTGTCTCCTCTAAATCTCATGTTGAAGTACAATCTCCAATGTTGGAGGTGGGGTATGGTGGGAGGTACTTGGGGTGATCAGGGTGGATCGCTTGTTAATGGCTTGGTTTCCTCCCCATAGTAATAAGTGAATTTTTGCTCTGTCAGTTCATGCAAGAGCTGATGGTTTTAAAAAAGCCTGGCCTTTCTCTTGCTCCCTCTCTTGACATGTGATGTATCGGCTCGCACTTTGCCTTCTACCATGATTTTTTTTTTTATTATACTTTAAGTTCTAGGGTACATGTGCACAACGTGCAGGTTTGTTACATATGTATGCATGTGCCATGTTGGTGTGCTGCACCCATTAACTCGTCATTTACATTAGGTATATCTCCTAATGCTATCCCGCCCCCCTCCCCCACCCCACAACAGGCCCCTGTGTGTGATGTTCCCCTTCCTGTGTCCAAGTGTTCTCATTGTCCAATTCCCACCTATGAGTGAGAACATGCGATGTTTGTTTTTTTGTCCTTGTGATAGTTTACTGAGAATGATGGTTTCCAACTTCATCCATGTCCCTACAAAGGACATGAACTCATCATTTTTCATGGCTGTATAGTATTCAATGGCATATATGTGCCACATTTTCTTAATCCAGTCTATCACTGTTGGACATTTGGGTTGGTTCCAAGTCTTTGCTATTATGAATAGTGCTGCAATAAACATACATGTGCATGTGTCTTTACAGCAGCATGATTTATAATCCTTTGGGTATATACCCAGTAATGGGATGGCTGGGTCAAATGGTATTTCTAGTTCTAGATCCGTGAGGAATCGCCACACTGACTTCCACAATGGTTGAACTCGTTTGCAGTCCCACCAGCAGTGTAAAAGTGTTCCTATTTCTCCACATCTTCTCCAGCACCTGTTGTTTCCTGAGTTTTTAATGATCACCATTCTAACTGGTGTGAGATGGTATCTCACTGTGGTTTTGATTTGCATTTCTCTGATGGCCAGTGATGATGAACATTTTTTCATGTGTCTGTTGGCTGCATAAATGTCTTCTTTTGAGAAGTCTCTGTTCATATCCTTCACCCACTTTTTGATGGGGTTGTTTGTTTTTTTCTTGTAAATTTGTTTGAGTTCTTTGTAGATTCTGGATATTAGCCCTTTGTCAGATGAGTAGATTGCAAAAATTTTCTCCCATTCTGTATGTTGCCTGTTCACTCTGATGGTAGTTTCTTTTGCTGTGCAGAAGCTCTTTAGTTTAATTAGATCCCATTTGTCAATTTTGGCTTTTGTTGTCATTGCTTTTGGTGTTTTAGACATGAAGTCCTTGCCCATGCCTATGTCCTGAATGGTATTGCCTAGGTTTTCTTCTAGGGTTTTTATGGTTTTAGGTCTAACATTGAAGCCTTTAATCCATCTTGAATTAATTTTTGTATAAGGCGTAAGGAAGGGATCCAGTTTCAGCTTTCTACATATGGCTAACCAGTTTTCCCAGCACCATTTGTTAAATAGGCAATCCTTTCACCATTTCTTGTTTTTGTCAGGTTTGTCAAATATCAGATAGTTGTAGATGTGTGGTATTATTTCTGAGGGCTCTGTTCTGTTCCATTGGTCTTTATCTCTGTTTTGGTACCAGTACCATGCTGTTTTGGTTACTGTAGCCTTGTAGTATAGTTTGAAGTCAGGTAGCCTTTCACCATGATTCTAAGCTTCCTGAGGCCTCACCAGAAGCAGATGGCAGCATCATACCTCTTATATATCCTGCAGAACTATGAGCCAAAATAAACCTATTTTCTTTATAAATTATCCAGCCTCAGGTATTTCTTTACAATAATGCAAAATAGACCAGCACAACTTACGCAACTAAGAAGATTTTTACCTGGTAATGAAGGCCAAAAGATCTTAGGGCAAACTTCATAGATAGATACATGAAAGAGCACTCATACAAAGTTTCTACTTTTACAGACTTCAAAAAGGAGAACATTTTATTTACATTAAAAATCAATTAAATTCCACTACATAGGGATGAGTTATCAAAATTTATGGTTACTAAAAAGCTAGCACTTCCTGAGAGACATCTTAATGAAAGCATATCTCATTATAAATCCTCCAAAAGAGAATAAAAAACAGCAATATACTTTTTAAATTTTCTTATATTTTTCTAGGATTCATGGGGAAAAGTTTCATGGAATACACAAGACAATTGCTTTAAGCTACCTATTGAATTTTTTGTCTTGCATTTGTTTTGGAGAGAATACACATCAAAATGTAAGCATAACCCAAATCATTATGCTCAAGAAATACATTAAAGAATAAATGCATGTAAATTATGAAACCATTTTTGAAAGGTTTATGTAAGAAGAGGCATGCAAAGGTATCAGAACAAAACATAAAAATATGGGAAGTAAGATTTATAAAATGCTCACATTATTTAAAACTTTCATTTAGTAAGGAAATTAATATAGGAACGATTTTATCAAAATTTATTAAAAATAAGCACTCACTCTTATTAATAAAAATTGCATAGGTGATTTGAGTTAAGACAATATGCCTTTCCTTTTATTTCTAGAAAGGGCAAGGATATGCATCTATTTGGCTATTGTTAGTTTTGCTTGTTTTGAGCTTATTGATTAAGGTAGTGTGTAATATTTTTCTTAAAAAATTAATTATAAAATGCATTCATATTATTTGTGTACTCAATTATATTCTAATTAGTGTAATTATAAAGGAGATAGGGGGTGTGGTCCACCACATGCCACCCGTGGTATTACTTACTCAACGTTGTTTTAGATCCACTCACCTTTTAAAACTTAAATTCCTACTTCATCCTCATCTCAATTAATAATATCTATAAAATCATGTGTATAAAATTTAACTCAATTATTTTTATTTGCATTAAAATAAACACATTTTGCCTGTATAAAATATTGGCTTATCAGCAAATTAAAATAATTTTCCATATCACTGCTAATGTACAGCATATCACTTACTGGTACAATATGAGAGTTATTTTCAGCACTAGTATCCTTCCAAATTATGTTAACTGACATTGTAAGATATTTAAAATATAATAATGTATTTCATAATTTTAAAAATAAGTTCTTTTTTGAAGCTTAATACAAAATAGAAAATTGAAATCTATACAAGTTTTTCATTTTTATGGTTATAGATTACAATTACATATATGTAATAAAATTTATTATAGTAAGTTTTTACAACCTAAAAAGATGCCTAAAAATTGAGCAAAGAACAATTTTTAGAACTAAAGGATGGTAATATTATATTGGCATTGCATTTTATTACAAAACTGATTTTTGACGCATTCTTGAAGAACTAAAGACTTGCAGTTTTACTGAATTTTATTAATTAAAGATGCTCCATATGTTGTGCATGTTCAAAATCATTATAACATTTATTCAAATTTTAATACAATATAGACATGTGTAAGTATGGTCATGAATAGTTTTAAGCTAGTTTTAATTACTTCTAGTGAGGTGTATACTTTTATAAAGCTCATATTTTAATGCAAACTTCAAACTTTGTTAAACCTTAGGTAATCATTTTTCCCCCAAATTGCTACATAAAAGCAAGAACTGTCAAAGAGAGAATAGATCATGAAAAACAATCAAAACATCCCTGAGAAGACCTGATTTTAATGCTTTAATAAATAGTTGAGTGTAACACAGTATCCTTCAAATTTTACTTAGCACCACACTTATAGTACCATAGCTCCATTTGACCCTATAAAATGCTGTTAATGGCTCTATTTACTAGAATTTATTGCTACCAAGATGGAAGGCCACAGTGCTATGAAACTAGTAATGCAGCAATATGCAACCTCAAACTCTGTAACATGGCTATATTTTGAAATCATTAAAATACAGATGAGGATTAAGCTGAAGACTGATTTTGTGATTGCTTTTAGGATATTGAATAGTTCTTAAAATATGTGTATGGGTGAATATGTATAAATAACTTGCATATTAGTGTATTTTAAAATTGCTGTGTTGGGAAGGGTGTTTTCTTCAGCCCATGATTTCCCAGTTATTTTTAAAATGTTCTGTGATTCATCAAGTAATCATTTAAGTCCCTGGTTTCCACTCATAAATACATAACTCTCTACATTGTTTCCATGAATTTTCAGGTGTTACTTTTTTGTGATATTTAAAATGTTCTAGGACTGAGAAATGTTCCCATTATAACATTTTGCATCACCTGTTTGCTTCATATTATTGTGGGGTATTTAAAATCAGTAGATATTATTGTTCTAGGCAAACTTTTTTAATGGTATATATTCATATGTGCATACATTAACAAATGTTTATATCTATATATAATTTCTTGGATTGAAATCTTGACTTTGTGTTAACCTATTCTTTCAGGATATGAATGAAAACATCTCTACGTCTAGAGAACATGCTTATTATCTACAGGACAAAGCACCACATTATCTAGTCTATTTCTATAGAAATTAAAATCTATTGAAACATTAAAATTTGATATTTCAAAGTAGAATTGATTTTTAGGAGAGATATTTCACATATTCTTCATATTTGATGTTACCCTCTCTCTGTTTAGAAAGGTTGCAAATTATTTATCCTTTCTTTGGGCTTCCTGCCTTTACTTAGCTCACTGCCTCTTAGAGGCACTAAATGGACAAAAGAGGGCCCTTCGCAGACCACTTGGTTTTCTTCTACTGCTCTATACTCATTGATCCATAGACACTGTATTTTTACAAAATGTTATGAAGAAAATTATTACTTCCTACACTTGTTAGAATCAATGATAAAATTCTGGGAACATCTTGACATTATATTTCTGTTTTCACTCTAAATTGTCTCAACCACGCCAATGACCTCAACTACTTTGTATATTCATCAATAGTTTTCAAAGATAAACATTCCCTTCTGACCACTTTTGAGCTACAGATTCTCTACTCTTCAGGTCCGCTTTGAAACACCTTAAACTTAGTATTTTCCAAACCCACGACTTTTTCTTCTTAGCCTAATATGCTCCTGCACACCTGTTCCCTTTCTGTGTTAATGGTATCACTATGGCACCTGAGTACTCTCTAAACAAATGCAGCCTTCTAGCTGGCTTCTCGAATTTCAGTCTTGCTTTCTTCAGTTTTATTAACCACACTACAATTGGAATGTGATCTAGTTAAAAGACAGATCTTAACCTACCATTCACTATTTTAGAAAACTTAATACTTCAAAAACATCTATAGATAAAGTTCAAGCTCCATGTAGGAGCATACAATTTCTACCTCGGAGAGGTGGAGGGACAATTTTGCATACTCCTTTCCTTGCTTCTCTTAGCAGCTCACTTCTGCCTTTGGGTTATGTTCAGCCATTGGGAAACATTGTAGCGGAATAGAGTCAAGGACTAGAGTTAGAAGAGGAGAACCATACTGCTTTAACTACTATAATTTTGTAACCCATTATGAGATATACATATATATATATATGTACACACGCACATATGTATATATATATATATATACACACATAGGCACACGCACACACACATATTTTTTTCCAGGAAGTGTAATCCCTCCAGCTTTGTTATTATTTTTTTTCAAGATCGCTCTGGCTATTTGGGTTTTTTTGTGGTTCCATATGAATGGTAGGATTTATCTTTTATATTTTTATAAAAATGTACATTGATATTTTGATAGGGATTGTATTGAATCAGGAGATGGCTTTGACATATATGGACATTTTAATGACATTAAAGTCTTCTAATCCATGAAGACAGGATGTCTTTCTATGTATTTGTGTCTTTTAAAATTACTTTAATAAATGTTATATGGTTTTCAGTGTATAAGTCCTGGTTATCCCTAGATACTTTATTATTTTTAATGCTATTGTATATGGAATTTTTTAAAGTTTTTTGTTGACATTTCATTGTTAGTGTGTATAGAAACACAACTTATTTTCGAATATCAATTTTGTAGCTATATGTTTACTGAATTGTTTATTCTACCAGTTGTGTGTGTGTGTGTCTGTGTGTGCATGTGTGTGTGTGCATGTGTGTGTGTGTGCAGGCAGCATCCTTAGGGTTTTCTACATATAAAATTATGTCTTTTGCAAACACAGATGATTTAATTTCTTCATTTTTAATTTGGATGTCATTTACTTCTTTTTCTTGCCTCTTTACCCTGGCTAGGACCTCGTTGAATAGAAGTGGTGGGAGTGACCACCCTTACCTGCTCCTAATCTTAAAGGAAAAGCTTTCAGTTTTTCACTGTTGAGTATGATGTTAGTTGTGGGCTTTTCATGTGTGATCTTTATTATATGGAGGTAAATTCTTTCTATACCAGTTAAGAGTTTTTATCATAAAAGAGTGTTGAATGGAACAGAATAGTGCATAGAAAAATTGCACACAGGTACAGTTAACTGATCTTTCAAAAGAGTATAAAAAATAAACACAATAGGGAAAGAATAGTCTCTACAACAAATGGTGTTTGGAAAACTGAATATAACACGCAATGTAATGAAATTAGAACCTTATCTTATACCATACATAAAAAGATGCAAAATTATTAAAGATTTAACCATAAGATTGAAAACAGTAAGAGTCATAAAAGAATACATGGGGGAATCTTCCTGACATTGGTCCTGGCAATGATTTTTTTGTATATGACACTAAAATCACAAACAACAAAAATAAAAAGTAGACAAGTGGTACCACATCAAACTAAAAAGCTTTGTACAGCAATAGAGACAACCAACAGAGTTTGAAGGCACCCAACAGAATGGTAGAAAATATTTGCAAACTACATATCTCACAAGGGGTTAATACCCATATATATATATGTAAGGAATGTCCACAATTCAACAGCAAAGACACAAATAACCTGATTTAAAAATAGGCAAAAGACTTGAATAGTCATTGCTTCAAAGGAGACAAACAAATAGCTCACAGGTATATTAAAAGATGCTCAGTGTCACTAATCATCAGGGAAATGCAAATTAAAACCATGATGAGATACCAGCTTACACCCTTTAAGATGACCACTATCCAAAAGAGGAATAAAAAAGATAAATATTGGCAAAGATTTGGAAAATTGGAGTCTTTGTACACTATTGTTGGGAATGTAAAATGGTGCAGCTGCTATGAAAGATAGTAGAGACGTTTCTCAAAATTAAAAATAGAACTATCATATGTCTCAGAAATGCCACTTCTGGGTATATAGCCAAAAGAATTGAAATCAGGATTTTGAAGAGATATTTGTATTTCCATGTTTATTACACTAATATTCAAAATAGCCAAGATATGGAAACCACATAAATGTCTATTGAAAGATGAATAGAAAAAATGTGGCAAATACACACAATGAAGTCCTGTTCAGTTTTAATAAAAAAGTAAATCCTGAAATATGTGACAACATGGATTAACCTGGGGGGCATTATGCTAAATGAAATGAACCAGTTACAGAAGGACAAATACTACATGATTCCACTCATATGAGGTATACAAAATAGTCAAACTCATAGAAACAGAGAGTAGAATGCTGGTTGTCCAGGGCTGGGGTGAGAGGGAAATGGGGAGGTCCTGTTTAATGGCTATGAAGTTTCAGTTTCAGTTATGCAAGATGAATAAATTCTAGTGGATTGTTGTGTAACATCGTGCCTATAGTTAACTATTCTGTATTGTGCACTTAAAATTTGTTAATAGGGTAGATCTCATCTTAAGGGTTCTTATCACAACTTAAAACAAAACAAAATAAACAACATACAAAGAGAGAGAGAAACTGAGGAGAAAGATCCCTTCCCTTGTCTTTTGAAATGACTGCATGTTCTTTGTTTCCTCCTAAGACGGGACAAAGCTGAGGACAGCTTTGGCAAGGTTTCCTCCTCTCTTTGTACCTCCAGCTCTAAGAGTGGTAATAATTTCCTGCAGTTACTGATCTCTGGGATTTTTCCCATTCATTTTTTTGTCCTCCTTGCTCTTCAATCACCTTTTATTCTAGTTGTCATTCTTCATTTAGTTGAGTGGAATGGGCTCCCTTTACCTGACTGAAACTTGAATGATAGAAATTTTATGTAAGTACCTCTCAATCTGATCTCAGTGATTAAAAGTAAGGACCTTATTAGAGCCAGGCTTGCCTCATCTGTATAATCATTAGTCATTTGGGCAAATCGCTTACAACTTTCTGGGCCTCTTTTTTCCCATCTGACTATCTGGGGATTCTAACACATGCCCCACAGGATGGTAGAGGATTAATTGAGAAATAATTTAGAGTTTAGAATTAAATGCATATTCGGCACAGTACCTAGCATCTGGCAAGCACTCATTACATGGCATTTGTTCCTGTTCCATGAAGGACTATATGCTCCCAGAAGGCAACAGTAGAATCAGGACTTTCAGCACTGAAGCAGCAATGCCTAGCCACGTACAATAAGTAAATGCTCAATAAATATTAGCTGGGTGAATAATCAACCTCTCTTTTAAAAAGTTCTCATGCAGGTGTCGTGTCTCATACCTGAATGATTGTGTTAAGTTCTCAACTGTTTTTCCTGCATCCCATCTTTTAGTCTTCTTCTATTCCATTAGATTGATCTTTAAGATTGACAAATTCATCTTAATTCTCTTTCAAATACTTACCTATAACTTTTAAAATGAAATGTAAACTTCTTAGCATGCTTTGGTTTATGTTGTACTTCTTTTTTCTGAATCCTTATTACAATACTAGGCTCGCATCTTTACCACTTTGTGCCTTGCTTTATGACTTACTTGCAATTTCCTGAGTGAGCTGGGCATCCTCTTGCCCAATTCTATTTGTATTAGCTTATTGCCCTCCCCATAGCCTTCTTCTTAATTTCAAAATAATCTTAACTGTGTTTTTACTCAACAACTCGGCTCAGGAGTCAACTTTTCTGTAGATCTTTTTTTGAATCCCTTCCACTTTCACATGTATTTACAGACCCCCTCAACCCCCACACCACCCACATTGTAATTTTTTTGATTATTTATGTCTCTCTAAATTGATGGTAAATCCCTTTTTCCTAGGTATTTGGCATATAGCAGTCATTCAATAAACGTTTCCTTCATAATGAATTAAGAAATGACTGAGAACTGGACCCTTACATAATGCCAAAAGATGCATCTTTTTTCTGAGTGAATCATCCTGTTAATCTACCCTTCTAAAAAGATTACTCAACCAAATCGTTTTTCTTATTAAAAAAAATCATATGAACTACTTTGCTAATGTTCATACACTGTTTATTATCATAGTTCTTTGATCCATTATTCTGGAAACCATGCTCACTCTCCCCCTAAAATGTAACAAGCTTCTGAAAGTATTTTGTTCTTATGAATATATTATATGGTTTTCATAAATCTTGTTTATGAAGTGTTAACAACCTATTTTTTGCTAATTCTTTTAAAAATGTTATCCAGATTCTGGGGAAAATGTCTGAGGGAAGGCAGGAATAACTTGCAGCTCCCACTCAGATGGACAGAGCAGCGTGTGGAGACTCCCATCGTGAATTTTTGCTCCAAGAACTATTGCAGAAACATACCACAAAAACCAAGAGAATCCATAGACCGTTTGAAGGAAAGAGGTGGATTGCCCCTGCAGGCTCTGTGGGACAGCTGGAGAACTGCGAGTCAGCTTGCTTTCTCATCTGGGAGGCTTATAGCCTGGGGCAAGTTCTCAGCGCAGCTCACAGGCTGCCTAGAAATACGCTCAGTGTTTTGCGGGGCACAGTGGGAGTGAGACAGGCCTTTTGGCCTGTGGGCTGCATGGGAGGTGGGTGAGACTGCCAGCTTTCCTCCAGTTCCCTGGTGATCTATGTGACACAGCAGAGGCAACCATAATCCCCAATAAGAACATAACTCCATTGGCCTAAGAACTACACCCTCATTCCCCACAGCAGCCACAGCAACCCCCACCAAAGGAGAGTCTGAGCTCAGACATGCCTAGCCCTGCCCCCACCCGATGGTCTTTCTCTACCTGCCCGCCCTTATAGTCTGAGACAAAGGACATAATCTCTTGGGAGCTCTAGGGCCCAGCACACCACCTGATCCTCCCTATACTACCACAGCTGATGCACTCTTGAAAGCACCACCTCTTGGCTGGAGACCAGCCAACACAAAACTAGTACATTTGACAAAAATACAACCAAGGACCCTCAGAAAGTCCCACTTCACTCCCCTGCTACTTCCACTGGGGCAGGTGCTGGTATCCATGGCTGAGAGACCTGAAGATGAATCACATCACAAGACTGTTTGTAAACATTCCCCAGTACAAGTCCAGAGCTCAGTATCTCTTCTGGGTGGCTAATCCAGAAGAGAAATAATAATCACTGCAGTTTGGCTTTCAGAAAGCCCCATCCCTAGGGAAAAGGGGAGAGCACTACATCAAGGGAGTACCCTATTGGACAAAATAATCTGGACAGCAGCCTTTGATTCCCAGATCTTCCCTCTGACGTAGTCTTCCTAAGTGAAAAGGAACCAGAAAAACAATTCTTGGTAATATGGCAACACAAGGTTCTTTATCACCCCCAAAATATTACACTAGGTCACAAGCAATGGATCCAAACCAAGACAAAATCTCTGAATTGCCAGAAAAAGAATTCAAAAGGCCAACAATTAAGCCAATCTAGGCTTTTGAATTAACCCAATGCAACAAAGACAAAGAAAATAATTTTTTAAAAAAAGAAAAAGGAACAAAGCCTCCAAGAAGTTTGAGATTATGTTTAATGACAAAACATAATAATAATTGGTGTACCCATGGAAGAAGATAAATCTAAAATTTGGAAAACTTATTTGAGGGAATAATCGAAGAAAACTTCCTGGGCCTTGCTAAAGATCTAGACATCCAAATATAAGAAGCTCAGAGAACACCTGGGAAATTCATTGCAAAAAGATCATTACCTAGGCACATAGTCATCAGGTTATCTAAAGTCAGGACTTTGGAAAGAATCTTAAGAGTTGTGAGGCAAAAGCCTCAGATAACCAATAAAGGAAAATTATCAGATTAATGGCAGATTTCTCAGCAGAAACCCTGCAAGCTAGAAGGGATTGCAGTTATATTTTTAGCCTCCTCAAGCAAAATAATTATCAGCCAAGAATTTTGTATCCAGGGAAATTAAGCTTCGTAAATGAAGGAAAGATAAAGTCTTTTAAAGACAAACAAATGCTGAGAGAATTTGCCACTATCAAGCCAGCATTACAATAACTGCAAAAAGGAGTTCAAAATCTTGAAACAAATCCTAAAACTATACCAAAATAGAATCTCCTTAAAGCATAAATTTCACAGGATCTATAAAATAACAACACAATGAAAAAAATCCAAGGTATTCAAGCAACAAATAGCATGACGAATAGAATAGTAACTCACATCTCAATACTAACATTGAATTTAAATGGCCTACATGCTCCACTTAAAAGATACAGAATGGCAGATGGATAAGATTTCACCAACTAAGTATCTGCTCTCTTCAAGAGACTCGCCTAACACATAAGGACTCATGTAAACTGAAGGTAAAGGGGTGGAAAAAGATATTCCATGCAAATGGACACCAAAAGCAAGCAGGAGTAGCTATTCTTATATCAGACAAAACAAACTTTAAAGCAACAGCAGTTGATAAAGACAAAGAGGGACATTATATAATAATAAAAGGACTAGTCCAACAGGAAAATATCATGATCTTAAATATATATGCACCTAACACTGCAGCTCCCAAATTTGTAAAACAATTACCACTAGACCTAAGAAATGAGATAGCAACACAATAATAGTAGGGGACTTTAATACTCCACTGTCAGCACTAGACAGGTCATCAAGACAGAAAGCCAACAAACAATGTGCTTAAACTATACCCTAGAACAAATGGGCTTAACAGATATTTGCAGAACATTCTACCCAACAACTGCAGAATATACATTCTATTCATCAGCACATGGAACATTCTCCAAGATAGACCATATGTTAGACCACAAAACAAGTCTCAACAAATTTAAGAAAATCAAAATTATAGCAAGTGCTCTCTCACACCACAGTGGAATAAAATTGAAAATCAACTCCAAAAGGAACTCTCAAAACCACACAAGTCCATGGAAATTAAATAACCTGCTCCTGTATGATCATCAGGTCAAACATGAAAGCAAGATAGAAATTTAAAAATTCTTTTTTTTTTTTTTTTTTTTTTTTGAGACGGAGTCTCGCTCTGTCGCCCAGGCTGGAGTGCAGTGGCGGGATCTCGGCTCACTGCAAGCTCCGCCTCCCGGGTTCACGCCATTCTCCTGCCTCAGCCTCCCAAGTAGCTGGGACTACAGGCGCCCGCCACTATGCCCGGCTAATTTTTTGTATTTTTAGTAGAGACGGGGTTTCACCGTTTTAGCTGGGATGGTCTCGATCTCCTGACCTCGTGATCCGCCCGCCTCAGCCTCCCAAAGTGCTGGGATTACAGGCGTGAGCCACCGCGCCCGGCCAATTTAAAAATTCTTTGAACTGAATGATAATAGTGACACAACCTATCAAAACCTCTGGAATACAGCAAAGGCAGTGCAAAGAGAGACGTTCATAGCATTAAATGCCTACATAAAAAAGCCTGAAAGAGCACAAATAGACAATCTAAGGTCCACCTCAAGGAGCTGGAGAAACAAAAACAAACCAAATCCAAACCTAGCAGGGGAAAAGAAATAAAGGTCAGAGCAGAACTAAATGAAATGAAAACAACAATAACATAAAAATACAAAAGATAAATGAAACAAAAGTTTGGTTCTTTGAAAAGATAAATAAAATTGATAGACTATTGATAACATTAACCAAGGAAAGAAGAGAGAAGATTCAAATAAGCTCAATAGAAACAAAACAGGAGATATTACATCCAATACCACAGAAATACAAAAGATTATTCAAGGCTTCTATGAATACCTTTATGTGCATAAACTAGTAAACCTAGAGGAAATGGACAAATTCCTGGAAATATACAACCATCTTAGATTAAACCAGGAAGACATAGAAACTCTGAACAGACCAATAACAAGCAGTGAGACTGAAATCATAATAAAAAAATTGCCAATAAAAAAAGTCCAGTACCAGATGAATTCACAGCTGAATTCTATCAGACATTCAAAGAAGAATTGATGCCAAAAAGAAAAAGAAAATTACAGACCATAGTCTGTGATGAACATAGATGTAAAAATCCTCAACAAAATACTAGCTAACCAAACCCAACAGTATATCAAAAGGATAATCCACCATGATCAAGTGGGTTTCATACAAGGGATGCAGGGAAGGCTTAATATCCACAAGTCAATAAATGTGACAGACCACATAAACAGAATTAAAAACAAAAATCACAAGATCATCTCAATAGATACAGGAGAAGCATTTGACAAAATTCAGCATCACTTTATGATTAAAACTCTCCTCAAAATTGGCATAGAAGGGACATACCTTATGGTGATAAAAGCCATCAATGACAAATCCACAGCTAACATTATACTGAATGAGGAAAAGTTGAAAGCATTCCTCCTGAGAACTGGAACAAGACAAGGATGCCCATTTTCACCACTTCTATTCAACATAGCACAGGAAGTCCTAGCCAGAGCAAACAGACAAGAAAGAAATGAATAACATCCAAATCAGGAAAGATGAAGTCAAATTGTCATTGTTTGCTGATGATATGATCATATACCTTGAAAACGCTAAAGACTTATCCAAAAAGTTCCTATATCTGATAAGTGAATTCAGCAAAGTCTCAGGATATGAAATTAATGTACACAAATCAGTAGCCTGCTATACACCAACAGTGACCAAGCTAAGAAACAAAGTAAGAACTCACCTCTTTTTACAATAGCTGCAAAAAACAAACAAACAAACAAACAAACTTAGGAATATACTTAACCAAGGACATGAAAGACCTGTACAAGGAAAACTACAAAACACTGCTGAAAAAAATCATAGATGACACAAACAAATGGAAACACATCCCATGCTCATGGATGGGAAGAATCAGTATTGTGAAAATGACCACACTGCCACAAACAATCTACAAATTCAATGCAATTCCCATCAAAATACCACAATCATCCTTCAAATAACTAAAAAAAAAAAATTCCTAAAATTCATGTGGAAGCAAAAAGAGCCCATATAGTCAAAGGAAGACTAAGCAAAAAGAACAAATCTGGAGGCACCACATTACCCAAATTCAAACTATACTATAAGGCTATAGTCACCAAAACAGCATGGTACTGGTATAATAACATGCATATAGACCAATGGAACGGAATAGAAACCCCAGAAATATAGTCAAGTACTTACAGTCAACTGATACTAGACAAAGCAAACAAAAATATAAAATGAGAAAAGGTCACCCTATTCAACAAGTGGTGCTGGAGTAACTGACAAGCCACATGTAGAAAAATGAAACTGGATCATCATTCACCTTATACAAAAATCAACTCAAGATGGATCAAAGACTTAAATCTAAGACCTGAAAACATAAAAATTCTAGAAGATACATTGGAAAAACCCTTCTAGACATTGGCTTAGACAAAGACTTCATGACCAAGAACCCAAAAACAAAGGCAACAAAAGTAAAGATAAATAGATGGGACTTAATTAGCTAAAGAGCCTCCTGAACAGAAATAAATAAAGAGCAGAGTAAATAGACAACCCACAGAGTGGGAGAAACCTTCACAACATATACATCCAACAAAGGACTAATATCCAGCACCTACAGGAACACAAACAAATCAGCAAGAAAAACATATCCTTTCAAAAGTGGACATGTATAGACAATTCTCAAAAGAAGATATACAAATGGCCAACAAACACATGAGAAAATGCTCAATATCACTAATTATCGGGGAAATGCAAATTAAAACCACAATGCAATACCACCTTACTCCTTCAAGAATGGCCATAATCAAAAAGTTTAAAAATAATAGATGATAGTGTGGATGTGGTGAAAAGAGAACACTTTTACACTGTTGGTGGGAATGTAAACTAGTAAAACCACTATGGAAAACAGTGTGGAGATACTTTAAAGAACTAAAAGTAGATCTAGCATTTGATTCAGCAATCCCACTAGTGGGTATCTACTCTGAGTAAAATAAGTCATTATACAAAAAGATACTTACGCAGACATATTTATAGCAGCAAAACTTGCAATTGCAAAAATAAAGTACAGCCTAAATGCCCATTAATCAAGGAGTGGATAAAGAAAGTGTGATACAAATACACACACACATTTATATGTGTGTGTGTTTGTGTGTATACTGCTCAGCCATAAAAAGGAATGAAATAATGGCATTTGCAGCAACCTGGATGGAATTTGAGACCACTATTCAAAGTGAGGTAACTCAAATGGAAAACCAAACATAATATGTTGTTGCTCATAAGTAGGCGCTAAGCTATGAAGATGCAAAGACATAAGAATGACACAATGGAGTTTGGCGTTTCAGGGAATGGGTGGGAAGGAGTGAGGGATAAAAGACAATACTTTGGGTAGAGTGTACACTGCTCAGGTGATGGGCACACCAAAATCTCCGAAATCACCACTAAAGAACTTATTCATGTAATCAGACACTACCTGTTCCCCCAAAACCTATTGAAATAAATAAAAAAAGAATAAGTTCAAAAGATCTACTGCACAGCAAATAAATAAATAAATACATAATAAATAAATGATAAATAGATAAATACAATGTTATTCAAAATTAACACCAAATCTTCTTGGCTTGTTGTTTGCAGAATCCACTATTTTATTCTTTTTAAAATTAAAATTGCATAGTTGTGTTTCTCTGTCTGGCACTATTCTTGTAAAATTTTCTGATTTCTTAAAAGTAACTGACATCTCTTCATCTCTGTGTTACCACAATGCCCTGGAATAAATTTCTTCTGGCAGTAGAACTTAAACTCATTTAGAGCAGGGAAGTGGTCTTGCAAAATTTCTTCACCTTTTGGATTTCAATTTTTTTGATCAATGTTGATTTACACTTTAGTCCAAAGTTCAAGTTCTTGGCAGAGGAGATTGATCCCAATTCTTGTGTTGTAGAAATGATGCATTCTGACTTCTATGAATGTGGCACATACACACATAGACACAAACACACAGACACACACAATTTCACCTTACATATCAAAGAAAAGAAGACTAGTTGATGATAACTTTCTCAAATATCTTTCCTCACTAATTGCAATTCTAGAAATTACCAGAGGAGCAGAGTGTCATTTTTTTCCTTAACCTTTTTTCAATTTAAAAGCAATGAGGAAAAGAGCGAAGAGACTACTGAGTGGCTACCAGGTAAAAAGTACCCACTGATTAAGAATTTCTATGCAAGACCTTGACTTCATATATGTGAGACTTATTTTTTTGTGTGCCTGTGTTGAAGAAATGAATTTTGCTCCTAGATATAAGAAAGCTCATTTTCTTTTTGTTTTCACTAAATTAATAATTGTGTAAGTGTGTATGTGTGAATTGAATAACTGAAAAATCTCATATCCTTCCTAGAGTGATTACATGCCTAAGAGAAAAGCTGTAAAGAAATTCCAGGAAAATGAATATGAACATTCCTATTGTCCTGTACACATCTGGACACTGCAAAAACTTGAACCTTCCATAGATATTGTTAACCATGAATAGACAACAAATTTCCATCAATGACTGGTAACACAGTCAATCTTTAATATTTCATTTAATGAGTTATATAAAAAAGATGAATTACATTTAAATCATTTTTATTGTAGTCGATGTTTTGTTATTTTTATTTTTAAAAACCACAAACTTGCTGTAAATTTTCTTTGCCAGGGAAAATGCTTTAATTCTATTTAACTAACTCTATTAATTATATTTAATTTCCACTAAAGATAAATAATACCATAAAGCTAATTAAAATAAAATGGAATAAAATAGATTGTTAATGAATTAAGCCTTTGATAACATAAAATTGCATGATTTCCTGTTTGCTTTTTTGCACAGGAAAACACTAGGTATGATTTAATTTCAGTCATCAATGAAATCCATGTGTTTGTTTTATAACTGTCCTCATACTTCATGGTTGTATTTAAATTGGCAACTTTCTTCTCTTATTAAGCCAGTGTTATGGTTAAATAGTAACCACCAGGGAGCCAAGGGAGTTATTAGTAGTTAAGTTTTAGCAAAGTCAAAAATTATATGGAAGCCAAGGAATAATACTTTAAGTTGCCTTAGAATTATGCAGTATCTAGAATATGGGGATCATTAGAAAATTACTGATTTTTTAAAATTAGTAATAGTTAATGAAAGATATCAATTTTAATTGCAGATATAGTAAGTATTTTAATAAGTTATGAACCATTTATACATTTTTTGTGGGTGTCATCTAACAACCCCGGTAGTAGCAAACACATACCAATTTCTAAACTTAAATTTTAATGTATAATATTTAGGTAAATTATAATAAATTCATATTATTTGTTAATTTTCCTGATTATTGAAGAAATATTCATTCAGTGTAGGAAAGCAAGATTACTGAAAGAAGTATTTAAAAATAAAAATCACCTGTTATTCCAACTCTCAGAAATACCTGATTTTGCAAGTTTAAAATACCTGTATACATCTAAGTCTACATATATACACATGCACAGATGTATAAAGATATCTCTTTTTTTTTTTGAAACAGGGTCTCAATATGTTGCTCAGGCTGGTGTCCAATTCCTGGCCTGAACTGATTTCCCACCTTGGCCTCTCAAACTGCTGAGTTATATTAAACCTTAAGGCATTGCATGGAGCTAGACATTTCTTACATTGTAAAACTTCTTCAGTGACTTAATATATTAAGGTTTTTTAAGTTTTTGTATATTTCTAATATATTTTACTAATGATTTGAGTGATAATTAGCTACCTTCATATACATCAGTTTGAAAAGATATCAATATTTATAACTTTAAAAGATTTCCAAGGTCAGTTTTTTTATTGCTGTGGGGCAAATACAGGTAAACAGAATTCATTACTCTAAAACTTCTCAGAGGCATTCATATGCTAGTATGTCTTGTGAATTTTCAAAGGAAATATAATATAGTCTTCCCCAACTGATTTTATCATGAAATCCTGCTCTTTTTCCCTAGGAGCATCTTATGGGACTATATTTCCTTCAAACACAATTGGGAAAATGCTGACTCAGGCATCTGGCCGGATTTTCAAGGAGAGGTTAGATCTTGAGAGTGAATTCTTTAAATAATTGACTTTAGCCTTATTGTGTTGTTCAAGCATTCTGAAATACAGTGGGTCTTTCCTAGAAAGATTACTATTTTGACTTGTGACTATAGATTTGCCTTTTGGGTATAATTTCATTCATACTTTTGCCACTGATACTAACCTGGCACCATTTCTGGTACATAATATGACACAATAAAAATATATTGATTATATAAATAGATTGTTTGTAATGTTTATGATTATGAAGAGGATAATGATAACTATTGTGCTGAGCTGAAGGAAGAGGTAGATGAGGAGGTTATCATTTATTTATTTAGTTCACTACTATTACAGTAGGAATTATATATATATATATATAATTTAATCTCCTGCATAACCACCTCCTTGGCACAGGTATACCTTTCCAACTTACACATGTAGAAACCAAAGAGTATGTTTGGGTAACTGGCCCAAAGTTATACGGATAGTAAGCCAAATATTTAGTGAATATTATGGCTGATTCTATAATTTCTGAGTGTTTTAGCTGCTGTTTAATCATTATCCAACATATCAATAAATGGAAGGAACATAGCATACACACACGCGCACACACACACACACACACACACACACACACACAAGCAGTTGGCCCTTGAAGAATGCAGAAATTAAGGACGCCATCCCCTGCCCAGTTGAAAATTGCGTATAATTTTTGACTTTGCTAAAACTTAACTACAAATAGCCTACTGTTGACCAGAAGCCTTACCAATAACATAAACACCCAATTTATACATATTTGTATATTATATGTATTATACATTGTATTCTTACCATAAAGTAAGTTAGAAAATTAAAATTTTATTTAAAAAATCATAAATAAAAATATATTTACTCTGAAAGTGGATTATCATAAAGGTCTTCATCCTCATCGTTGATATGTTGAGTAGGCAGAGGAGGAGGAGAAGGAGAAGGGGTTAGCCTTGCTCTTTCAGGGGTGGCAGAGTCAGAAGCGGTGGAGGAGGTGGAAGGGGTGGCAGGCCCACTTGATGTAATTTTCATAGAAAAAATTTTGAGTCTACATGGGTCTTCATAGTTCAAGCCCCTGTTGCTCAAGGGTCAACAGTACTTAGTCTTAAGCTATTTAGGATGATGGAATTATGCAAAATTCTAACATGAATAATTGAATAATAAAAAAACTTCAATAATTAAAGAGTTCATAAACCTCATTAATGAAGGCAAAGACTAAGTCCAGAAAACTCAAATAATTGAATTGCTCAAATTCTGACTGATGTCTTCAAAATAATTGTTAAACAGACAATGGGATATTAAAATCATGTGAGATATAAATCATATTCATAAAATGAACATGTCTAGAAGCACAACTTATCTAAAGAATATGAACATAATTTTGCATTTACTTCTGTGTTATTCTCTAATCTGCTTCTTCTGTTCCCTGTTGAGAAGCAAGCCCAATCCCAAACTTTTTGGTTACCATCCCCTGGCTTTGGTTTACTAGTTGTATTAGTCCAGTCTCTCATTGCTATAAAGAAACAGCTGAGACTGGGTAATTTATAAGGAAAAGAGGTTTAATTAGCTCATGGTTCTGCAGCCTGTATAGGAAACATGACAGCTGCTCAGTTTCTGGGGAGGCCTCAGAAATCTTACGATCATGGCAGAATGCGAAGGGGGAGCCATTATTTCACACGGCCAGAGCAGAAGAAATATAAAGAGGAGACAGGTGCCACACACTTTTAAACAACAAGATCTCTGTCATGAGAACAGTACCAGAGGGGTGGTGCTAAACCATTCATGAGAAACCACCCCCATGATCCAATAACCTCCCAACAGGCCCCACCTCCAGCACTGGGGATTATATTTCCACATGAGACTCGAGTAAGGACACATATCCAAACCAGATCATTCCACCCTTGATCCCTTCCAAATCTCATGTTCTTCTCACATTGCAAAATACAGTCATGCCTTCTCAATAACCCTCAAAGTCTTAACTCATTCCAGCATTAACTCAAAAGTCCAAAGTCCAAAATCTCATCTGAGACAAGGCAAGGTCCTTTAGTCTATGAGCCTATTAAATCAAAAATAAGCTGGTTACTTCCAAGATACAATGGTGGTATAAGCATTGGGTAAATAATCCTGTTCCAAATGGGAGACATCAGCCAAAAGAAAGGGGTTACTGGCCCCTTGCAATTCCAAAACCCAGCAGGGAAGTCAATAAATCTTAAGGCTTCAAAATAATCTTTGACTCCATGTCCTATATCCAGGGAAAACTTGTGCAAGGGGTGGGCTCCAAAAGCTTTGGGCAGCTCTACCCCTGTGGCTTTCCAGGGTTCATCCTCCAAAGCTGCTGTTAAGGGCTGGCACTGAGTGCCTGTGGCTTTTCCAGGCTGAGAGTGTAAGCTGCTGGTGGATCTATCATTTTGAGTCTGGAGGATGGTGGCCCTCCTCTCACAGCTCCACTATGTAGTGCTCCAGAGGGGACTCTGCATGGCGGCTTTAACCCCATGTTTCCCCTCTGCACTACCCTAGTAGAAGTTCTCTGTGAGGGCTCCACTCCTGCAGCAGGCTTCTCCCTGGACACCCAGGCTTTTCCATACATCCCCTGAAATCTAGACAGAAGCTCCCAAGCCTCAACTCTTGTACTCTGTGCACCCACAGGCTTAACATAATGCAGAAGCTACTAAGGCTTATGTCTTGTACCCTCTGAAGAAGTGGCCTGAGCTGTACATGGGCCCCTTTCAGCCATGGCTGGAGCTGCAGTGGTTGGGACTCGAGAAGCAGTGTCCCCAGACTGCACAGGTCAACAGCGCCCTGAGCCTGGGCCAGGAAACCATTCTTTCATTCTAGGCCTCTGGACCTATGATGGGAGGGGCTGCCATGAAGATCTCTGAAATGCCTTTGAGGCCCTTTCCCATTGTCTTGGTTATTAGCAATTGGTCCCTCTTTACTTATGAAAAAAATTTCTACAGCCAGCTTGAATTTCTCCCCTAAAAATGGGCTTTACTTTTCTACCACATGGCTGAGCTGGAAATTTTTCAAATTTTTACACTTTGCTTCTCCTTTAAATATAAGTTCCAGTTTTATGTAATTTCTTTGCTCATGCTTATGAGTGTAGGCTGTTCAAAACAGCCTGGCTATACCTTGAATGCTTTGCTGCTTAGAAATTTATTCCACCAGATACCCTAAATCTTACTCTCAAATTCAATGTTCCACAGATCCCTAGGGCAGGAGCACAATGCTGCCAGGTTCTTTACTAACTCAGAGCAAAAGTGACCTTTATTTCAGTTCCCAATAAGTTTCTAATTTCTCTCTGAGATCTCCTCAGTCTGAACTTCACTGTACATATCACTATCAGCATTTTGGTCACAACAATTTAACAAGTCTTTAAGAAGTTCTAAACTTTCCCTCATTTTCCTGTCTTCTTCTGAGCCCCACTCCAGTCTTCCAACATCTGCCCATTACCCAGTTCCAAAGCCAATTCCATATTTTCAGGTATCTCTATCAAAATACCTCACTACTGGTACCAATTTTTGTATTCCTTCTCACATTGCTATAAAGAAATACTGGAGACTGTGTAATTTATAAAGAAAAGAGGTTTAATTGGCTCATGGTCCTGCAGGCTGTACAGGAAGCATGGCAGTATCTGCTTGGTTTCTGGGGACACCTATAATCATGACAGAAGGCAAAAGGGGAGCCAGCATTTCACATGGCCAGAGCAGGAGGAAGAGAGAGAGGGGGAAGTTACTACACTTTTTAACAACCGGATCTTGTGAGAACTCTATCATAAGAACACCACTAGGAGGACGGTGCTAAACCATTTATGAGAAAGCGCTCCTATGATCCAACCACCTACCACTAGACCCCAACTCCAGCACTGGGAATTACATTTCAACATAAGATTTGGATAGGGACACAGATCCAAACCATATCACTATTTCTATTTCATACATTTGTGTCATTAGTGTATCGATTATTTTTGTTTGTTTTAGAAATATGTAAACATGTTGGATAACTATATAGAGCCTTTTGCAACCAGTTTTATTCACTCATTACGTTACCATAATTCGTCCACATTTTTGGTTACAGTTGTAACTTTTATTAATTTTCATTGTTAGGTAATATTTCATTGTGTGAACACTATTTTTTTTCTATTCTACTGTAGAAAGACTTGAATAATCATTTCATTTCTGGGAATTTCAGTGTTTATTAAAAATATACTGACAGTAATTTATTTTTAAATATATAAATGGGCACATTACAGAGCGTCTCCTTTTTTCTTCATGTATCTCAAACTCTATATTTTTCTATATCCTTGACTTTCTGTACTACAATTTTCAGCTAACTAATATTATTTCTTTGGTTGTGTCTTTATAAAATATTTGGTTACTTTCAAACTTGTCATGTGAGATCATCTTAGTGTTGGAACCCATTTTTTTTTTACTATGCATATGGATTATTTTACATTCTGATATCTCCATATGGACAGCCAAACTGTCTCAGTTTCAGTTGAAATTTGGGGCTCTTGGTATCAGTGTCTGCCCTTGAAGCAATCTGACCTTTCTAGTGTGCAAACACTGCCCTGGTTTCAGCTCACACTTCACTTTTCAAAAGTTCCTCAGCATCATAATGGGAAGATTTTCTTTACTTATTGTAGGTCCAGTAATCTACTTGAAGTGATCTTTCTACTAAGATCTAATCACCTTTTTCAAAATTTATTTATTCTAGCAGATAATTCTTCAGAATTTTTAATCCACCATGCCAGACCAGCTTGGTTAGGGAGACCCTAACCCAGCGGCACTAGAGGAATTAAAGACACACACACAGAAATATAGAGGTGTGAAGTGGGAAATCAGGGGTCTCACAGCCTTCAGAGCTGAGAGCCCCAAACAGAGATTTACCCACATAGTTATTAACAGCAAACCAGTTGTTAGCATTGTTTCTATAGATATTAAATTAACTAAAAGTATCCCTCATGGGAAACGAAGGGATGGGCCGAATTAAAGGAATAGGTTGGGCTAGTTAACTGCAGCAGGAACATGCTCTTAAGGCACAGATTGCTTATGCCATTGTTGATGGCTTAAGAATGCCTGTGAGTGGTTTTCCGCCCTGGGTGGGCCAAGTGTTCCTTGCCCTCATTCCCGTAAACTTACAACCTTCCAGTGACGGCGTTAGGGCCATTATGAACATGTTACAGTGCTGCAGAGATTTTGTTTATGGCCAGTCTTGGGGCCAGTTTGTGGCCAGATTTTGGGGGGCTTGCTCCTAACACACCATATTGCTATTAACTAGCAATTTGATTCTTCATCCTGATCTTGACCCCTCTTGGGATTTTGATAATGGTGCCAACTGTATTCTTGCACAAATGCAACTTGTTCAGAGCATTGTGGCTTGGCTTTGTCTATGACACAAATTCAAAGGCTGTGCCTACCAGGGTCCAACAGATTCAATTATTAAGAGTGATGTAAAGAGTGTATTTTTGAGAAGACTATTTTCCAGCTACTATATGTATTTTCCTGTAACCTCTCTTCCAGAAGATTACCTACTTTATAGTTACTTGCCTCTGAAATTTCACACAGAAGTTTGTGATAGCCAAACCCCAAGAAGAGAGTTTTTTTTTATAGGCTCTGTAAACATGTTGTAAACATGTGGTGGAGGGTGGTTGTGTGAAGTAAGAAGAAAAAGAAAGATACTTTCCCTGGTCTGGTGAGGGAAATGAAATATGTTATTTTATTACATTTCTGAGAGATTAGGCAGTAAGAGAAGCCAGTTGTATGGTATATCTCAGGTGATTCAAGCTTAAGTCCTGGACTTCCCTCAGTAAATCTTCCTTTATCTAACAGAAGTGAAGGAAGCATACTACAATAGGATGGCAAGGGATTACTATGGACTGGGATGCTGGAGGCATCAGTGGGGGTTATATAGTAGCGTTTGAGCCATGATTTTAAAATTGTTGGTCACAAACTCTTGGTCATATGCATTACATATAGGATTCATATGTAGGAGTTTTAATGTTAGAAAAATTTCAATCAATTTTTAGAGTCTAATAACTCTAGTAGAATAATTTTGTTTCACTTTTGTTGGAAACATTTGAAAAATATTGTATCATTTGCCTGTCAACATTTTTTGGGATCATGTGATCCTCACAATTGTGGAGAACATTTATAAGTAGAAGATAGAACTTCTTTCCAAGGGAATGAGATGAAGTCAGAGGAGTTTGTAAAAATACATCTATGGACAGATTCTCATACCACCTACTCTAGCCATTCCTGTGTAAATCAAAATAATAAGTGTTTACTATTTGCAGCATCATTGACTTGTTTATTTCAAGGTTAATTAAAAATCCAATTCATGTTTAGCTTTTGTCATAAAATCCTGCACAGGTAAGAAAAAAATTAGCATTGTAAATTGGCAGTCCTTATGTGTATTTGAATTGCTCATTTTCATTGGATACTTCTGTTAATTATTTTCTATTAGAACTCTTTCAATTTTGTGTTGGAGTTCTTCTTTTTTATGTTAAATGATATCTCTAATATAGACAGTCTTGTAATTAAATATTTCATCCCCTTGAGCTTCTTTAGGTAATGTAAGAAAAAGTATAGTTTTAATTAAAGAGACTATACCAGTTCATAAAAACATTCATATATATTGAAATTATCAAGCTAACCTAAACTATTGAGATCACAAAATTTAAGTGTATGGTTATAAGTGTTTTTTGGGAATGCATGTTTTCCCTCTTCCAAAAATGCATGGCTGTCATTTTATGAGAATAATTATTTTTCCATGTGCTATATTTTTCTAACTTTTGTATAATCCCCAAAGAATGAAGTAATATTTCTTTAGAATGCCATTTGGGTCATTAATAACAATACTGAGAAAAATATAATTTTGTATCTTTAGATCATTGCATAACATATCCCTGTTTAAATAAGCTTAGTATAAAAGTAAAAAGTCATTTCTAGTTATCACCTAGTTGTCTGATATACTAGTGCAAAAGTACAAGTTAAGGACAAGTGGCTACTGTGTTTTTCCTTTAATAAGTATAGACTTTTATATGTGTATATGATAATTTATGCTCCAAATTCACTAGAAGCTGTAAACAGCAATTATATGCTATAGTGTCAGTTATCCCACAGGTATTGGTTTGTTAGTTAACTATTTTATTAATTAATAGATACATCAATTTATTCATTTATTATTTAATTATCATTTATCATTTATTACAGTTCTAGTACTTACTGTGTACTGGGGCCATCATCTTTCATTTTAAACACGTGCAATTTTTTAATGTTTATACTGATATTATTTATGTTATAGGCATATATATTTCTAGGGAGGCCCTCACTTATTGGAAATACATGGTGAAAGAGAATCAACATCGTATAGACTTTCAATGTAAAATGTCAAATTGTCTTCCTGGAATGTTATCAGTTTGCACAACTGCTGGTACTGTATGTGGGTCCTATTCCTAGTCACCAAATATTGTGAAGCTGGTGAGAGACAGAAAATATAGTTAACATGTTATATATGTTAACTGTATGTATTTATAACTACTATATATATGTAGATCTATATGTAGATAGATATGTAAACATATGAAATAGCTATCTATCTATCTGTCTATCTATCTAATCTATTTATATAATCTGTTTATCTCTGACCCGCAATCTGCAGCAACCAGCCCTGGAAACCAACTTATTATCTATAAGTCAGACATGTACAAAGTCAGACCATTCTCTCTAGCAACCAGCCAAGTAAGCCAAACAATAATCTCTGTGACAACTGGTCCCAAACTACCATGGCTTGATAAATAACTGACAGATTCTCTTCTTTTTGCCTCTACTTCTAACTTAGAATAACCAAAGAGAGCCAAATATGTACCACTAACTAGTCATATAAAAAGCTCTGCTTCTAGTTCATCCGCCTACAGTTTTCCCGTGGTAACATGCTTCCAATCAGGACATACTTGAAGCCTTCCCTTTTTTTCTACTCTAAAGCTTTCCCACTTCCCTGCTTACATTTGAGTCTCTACCAAAAGCAAGTGATGGTGGATGACTCCCCTGCTATAGCAATCTCTGAACAAAATGTCCTCTGCTTGTTCTCATTTGGATGGTCTCTGTTTATTTCCACACAGGGTATAATTATGTTGATTTTTATTCTCTAAACAAAATAATGGCATTTCTTTGATTGTGCTGACTTTTTGATTTGAGTGAATGAGCATATTTTCATACCATCAGTCCTTTTATAATAGAAAATTTACTACTTTCTTATTTATTTTTATTTCAATTGCATTAAATTATAATTACATTATATTTTTAACCTGTATTACTAATTTTATAACTATTTTTGTATAACTATTTTTACTAATCCAAGAAAATTTATTATATTTTGTTTATTTACTTTAACATGTATTAGATTTTTAGTGAAATTTTTGGGATTACTAAGCAGAAAATTCTATCACCTACAAATGCTTATGAGTTTATCATCTCATTCAGGTAATATTTTTATTCTTTTTGTACTATTGGCCTGGCTATTCCAGACAAACATTTTTAGAAAGTGATATTAGCAGCATTCTTATATTTTCCCTGAGCTAACAGAAATACTTTTAGGAAATCACCAATAATGTTGTTATCTATTGTTGTTTTGGCATAAATGTTAATAAAGTACCCTTCTATTTCCAGTTTATTAAGAACTATTATCAAAAATTATTGTTGATGCCTATCAACTATTTTGGTATCTCTCTGTATAACTAATTTATCCTTTGACCTGTTGAAGTGATGAAATACAATAGTGGGTTTCCTAATTTAACCATAGACTCTTAAAATTGTAGGGGTGGGTTGCCCCTCCACACCTGTGGGTGTTTCTCGTAAGGTGGGACGAGAGATTTGGAAAAGAAAAAGACACAGAGACAAAGTATAGAGAAAGAAATAAGGGGACCCGGGGAACCAGAGTTCAGCATATGGAGGATCCCGCCAGCCTCTGAGTTCACTTAGTATTTATTGATCATTTGTGGGTGTTTCTCGAAGAGGGGGATGTGTCAGGGTCACAAGACAATTGTGGGGAGAGGGTCAGCAGACAAACACGTGAACAAACGTCTTTGCATCATAGACAATGTAAAGGATTAAGTGCTGTGCTTTTAGATATGCATACACATAAAAATCTCAATGCTTTACAAAGCAGTATTGCTGCCCGCAGGTCCCACCTCCAGCCCTAAGGCGGTTTTTCCCTATCTCAGTAGATGGAGCATACAATCGGGTTTTATACCGAGACATTCCATTGCCCAGGGACAGGCAGGAGACAGATGCCTTCCTCTCGTCTCAACTGCAAGAGGCATTCCTTCCTCTTTTACTAATCCTCCTCAGCACAGACCCTTTACGGGTGTCGGGCTGGGGGACGGTCAGGTCTTTCCCTTCCCACGAGGCCATATTTCAGACTATCACATGGGGAGAAACCTTGGACAATACCTGGCTTTCCTAGGCAGAGGTCCCTGCGGCCTTCCGCAGTTTTTGTGTCCCTGGGTACTTGAGATTAGGGAGTGGTGATGACTCTTAACGAGCATGCTGCCTTCAAGCATCTGTTTAACAAAGCACATCTTGCACCGCCCTTAATCCATTTAACTCTGAGTTGACACAGCACATGTTTCAGAGAGCATGGGGTTGGGGGTAAGGTTATAGATTAACAGAATCTCAAGGCAGAAGAATTTTTCTTAGTACAGAACAAAATGGAGTCTCCTATGTCTACTTCTTTCTACACAGACACAGTAACAATCTGATCTCTCTTGCTTTTCCCCACAAAAATAAACTATATTTAGTTATTACAAGTCTAATACGGTGCTAAATTAAAATGGGAGAGCCTTGAGAATTTTATTAGGTGTTTCTTTTTCTCTAAAATTTAAAAACATAATATAAAAGTCTAAGCTATAATATTAGGCTTCCCTTACTCTTAGTAGTTATCTTCCAAATCTAGAGTGTAAAAGAGTATCCAAATCTAGAGTATAAAATGGAGTATACAAATAGTATCTATTTGTCTCTGCTTCAACAGGATTTACAGAATTTCAGAAAATGGTGGAAAAATTTGGACAAAATTTCACAGAAATTGTGGGATTTGTGCTGGCTGTTCAATGAAATGCTGGATATTCATAAACAGAAAGAAGGAGAGGAGATGTCATGAAATCTTCAAGTGTAATTTAAGGACAGGGAATTTTAAAAAGGGGTAAACAAAGATAGAACCGTGTTTTATATGTTCTGTGAGCAATACTTGGACCTTTCCAGGAGGTCTTCTAAAAGAAAAGCAATGAGAGATATAAATGAAAGAATAGATTCATATCATATTTAGTAGGGTGTTAAATATTGAGGAGTCTGAATTTTATTAAGTAGTTTCTCAGTCGGGGTAGATATGGAAAATTATATTTTAGGAATATAACTGCTGTGGTAGTGTGTGGGCTGAATTATAGGAACATAATCTAGAAGAAGAAAGATTAGTAAGAAAGTCACTGCAGTCCTCCAACAGTGGTTTAGCATTCTTGCCATGTGTGAAAAATCTGATTAAAAATTATCTGTTTTGTAATAAGACAGTTGTTTATAATGACAGTTTGTGCATTTTGGACAGTGATTTCCTAATTTTACCCTTGAGTTCTTTGAAACTCTTGGGTAGATGTCAATTGCCCTGTCAATTTATCTACATAAACAGATGTTTCTAACAGAAACCTTTAATTTTGTATCGGGATATGTGATGCCAGAAAAAGAATTTAACTTAACCCATTTGCTACAGAAGAAATATTTGTTGCAGCTGTATTTTATTTAAAGACACATGATGACGCTGTAAGAATTTGAACTTCATGGTCAAAATTTTACAACTGAGATCCTTTTTATAATGTTAGTTTATGCTAAATATCTAAACATGGTAAAATCAAACATGATTTTAGTCAACATCCTCTAAACATTTCTATTGTATGGCTTTAGTTAGCACAGTATAAAGCCATTCCTCAGAGAAAAGTAGACTTAACAGACTCATAGATTTTCTTTGTGACTTTTCTATTAGAGATAGTTTCTTATTTGAGGATAAAATATATTGAAAGTGATGGCAAAAACCGCAATTACTTTTGCACCAACCTAATCTTAAATTAAAAATTTCTGTACAGAGCTTGAGACAAACCTGTAGGCAACATAGATCCAAATCTCCTCTCTACACTTGTAATAAATAATCAAAACAAAAAAGAACACTTGTTAATATCTTTCAGGGAATAATAGGAGCCATGTGTTTTATATTGTATCAAGTAGCACTTGCAGTACGAAAGCTACAACCAAAGAATTTTGAACAGGTAAGAACTCATGGGGTATTGTTCTCATGAGCCCTTCTTTAGGAAACAACTAGATGATTTCACTCAAACAAAAAAATCACTGAGGCACATTTCAGCAAAATGTTTGTATATATTTTACTGCAAATCTGAGACAAAATAAAGGTACACATAAGAGTAGCTGATTAGATAGGATGACATATGTCCAGGCAAGTATAGAAATTGTATAAGTAATGCAATAGGGGTTAGGTCCAGGAATGGGAGGAAAAGGTGAGCAGTAGAATAATCTCATTGTTTGCCTCTTACATGATAGCTCACAAATCAAGTTTTAGAGATATAAGCATATTTATCCACATAAAAGTAAACATAAAGAAAAATAATATTATTGATTACAATAGATATGAAGGAGAGGGAAATGAGGAAAGAGAATAAGTCAATAATGATTTACTTATAGGCAAAAATTCAATATTGTTTAAAAGGAAGGGGCTCAGAATATTGCACTAAAGCAACTGCTACAATGAAAGTACACAATTTCTTGTGCACATCAAGGTTTACACAAAATGAAAACAATATGAAAAATTGGTGCCAAACAATGATAGAGATAAGAAAATTCCTAGTAATATTAATACATGTAAACCTACCAATTCCTTGTAATATTAATAAGTGTATTATTTGTGTCAAGTAACTACAAAGAAAAAAATTCCTAGTAATATTAATACATGAAAACCTACCAATTAAAAATAATTTTCAAAAGATCACAAATCAAACCAATTGTATGTGGCTTGCATGCCTAAGTCAAATGATTCATATAGTTTAAAAATGGGAAGATGGGCAAAAGTAATAAGTAAAACAATAATGACAGTTATAGGCAAGGATTTTTACCCAAATACTTAAATGGGGCAGAGTAGTGTAGATGCCGTCACTTATACCTTTTTGGCTTGGAAGAGACTAAAAATGTGATAGAGTCAAAGTGGTACCTCACTCTGAAAGTGCCCTAGGAGTTTCATAAGCCTTCACATTGATGTTTTGATAGCAGATTCCTATATTAAGGATTAGAATAATGTCTTCCAAAAGATATGCATATTGAAGAAAATTCAGGAAATACGATCACGTAGAAAGAAGACTAGGGAACACACAGTTGCTCTAACCAGTCATAAAGATTGATTTTTCAAGTATCGTTGTGTGTGATACTTTCATTTTCAGGTTATTGAACATGTATGCATGCAACATATATATGCATAGACGTATTGCATATATGCTCTTTAAAACAAAGTTGGAATATATTAAATATACACCTCTGTTATGGTAACATACTTATCCATCCCATTAGGGCATATGGACACTGATGAGAGCAGGAACATTGTTAACTTTTTGTGAACTATGATATATAATAGACACTTTGATTCTATCCTATCTCTTATGTCTACTCCTGCTGAATTTTGCTGATTTACATTTTGTTTTATCTCCAGAAGGTTTGATTTTTTCTGAACTTTTTTTCAAAATAATCTCTGTATTTATTTATTTTAGAAACTGATTATTACACCTGAAAACTAATTGTTACACTCAAGAAACACTATTTAAATATTTAGTTTGAATTTATATTTTCTTTGAATTTTTACAACGAACTAATATCCACTCCTCCTACATATCTCCATTCAATCTTTATAAAAATGTGATATTTTAAAAAAAATTACATCAAGTATTCTTCTAGCATTTCTTGTTGATTTTATTCTTAGTCACTGAGTTTTTTTGTTGTTGTTGCATATGACAGTATTGTTCTGTTTTCTCATCTCCTGAAAACATAGAAGAATGTTGATTCTTGAATTTTTGCTTTCTACCTGAGGAATACTAAACCCAACAATAACAGGCAATAGGGAAATAACTCCCTACTCAATAAATGGTACTGGCATAACTGGCTAGCACACATAACTGTGTGCCATATGTGAAAGAATGAAACTGGATCCATTCCTTTCACCATATACAAAAAGTAATTCATGTTGAACTCAAGGTTTAAACGTAAGACCTCAAACTATAAAAATCCAAGAAGAAAACTCAGGAAATACTCCTTCAGACATCAACCTTGGCAAATAATTTTTGACTAAGTCCACAAAAGCAATTGCAACAAGAAAAAAAATTTGACTAGTGGGACCTAGTTAAACTAAATAACTTCTTCACAACAAAAGAAAGTATCAACAGCATAAGTAGACAACCTACAGAATGGGAGAAAATATTCTCAAACTATGCATCTGACAAAGTTCTAATAAGCAGATTCTATAAGAAACTTTGTTAATCAAGAAGCAAAAAACAAGCAGCCCCATTAAAAAGTGGGCAAAGAACATGAACAGACACTTCTCAAAAGAAGACATACAAGTGGCCAACAAACATATGAGAAAAATGCTTCACATCACTAATCATCAGAGAAATGCAAATCAAAACCATAATGAGACCATCTCACACCAGTCAGAATGGCTATTATTAAAGTCAAAAAACAACAGATACTGGCATGGCTGTAGAGAAAAGGGAATGCTTATTCACCATTGTTGGGAATTTAAATTGGTTCGGCCACTATGAAAAACAGTCTGGAGATTACTCAAAAAAACTTAAACCATAGCTACCATTAGAACCAGCAATCCCATTACTGGGTATATATCGAAAAAAACCAGGTCATTACACCAAAAAGGCACATGCACTGATAAGTTCATCCCCATACCATTCACAATAGCAAAAAGATCAACCTAGTGGCTCATCAGTGGTGGACTGGATGAAGAAAATGTGGTACATATACACCATGGAATACTATGCAGCCATGAAAAGTGTGAATTTATGTCTTTTGCAACAACTTGGATGGAACCAGAGGCCACATTTCTAAGCAAATTAATGCAGGAACAGAAAACCAAATACCATATGTTCTCACTTATAGGTGGGAGCTAAACATAGAGCATATATGGACATAAACATAGGAACAATGAACACTGCAAACTACTAGAGTAGGGAGGGAAGAAAGTGGGCATGGGTTAAAAAACTACCCATTGGGTACTATGCTTGCCACTGGGGTGCAATATACCTATGTAACAAACCTGTACATGTAACCCCTGTATCTAAAATAAAAGTAGAAATTTTTAAAAAATTACCTCATTGGTTCTAATAAATCCAGCTATACTACTTAATTTTCTAAAGTACCAATCATTTCTTCATAATACTAACTATTTAGGTTGATATTATATATCAACAATATTTATTTAGTTTTTTTTTAACTCTAGTTATAATGTGTGGTTGTTCATGCTTACATCCTAAACCTGTCATGCTTCCAGCTCTGCAAATCTATAGAAATAGGTATGATGCAAAATTATCAGACTGTATAATAAACATTTTAATGTTTTGACTACACTTAAATATATCATGAGAAATAAAGTAGTAAAAGTATATTAAATATTATACTTGATATCTGTATGCTGATAAATGAAAATGCATATTTTTTATGAAATAATTTTGTTCGATCAATGCCCTGCAGCCATAGATTACCAATTGAACAAGTTGTGCTTATTAATCACTGCATTGAAGAAGAACACATACTGTGGGGAATTATGGAGTGTCTTATTAAGAGAGTGTTAAAGAGGAGTTATTACAGGATTTAGAACTGTGTTAGTGACTTTGGGGAAGGTTTAAGCAAGTACAACTTTCTGAATTAGATGATGTCAAGAAGGTGGAATAATTATGTGATTTTTTAATTTTTAATTTTTAAATTAAAACATATTTTTAATTGACAAATAATAATTGCACATATTCATGAGGTACATGGTAATGTTTCAATACATATAATGTATAGTGATCAGATCAGAGTAATTAGCACATCCATCATCTCAAACACTTATCATTTCCTTATGCTGGGAACATTCACTATCCTTCTTTCAGTTATTTGAAATTATATAATATAAATTATTGTTAACAATGTCATCTTACAGTGGTATTTCAGAATAGTAGAACTTATTCTTCCTACATAGCTGTAATTTTGTATCCTTTAATAATCTCTTCCTATATCTCCCATCCTTCTTCTCTTCTTTGCTTCTCATATCCTCTGTTCTACTTTTTACTTCCATGAGGTCAATTTTTTTTTTGGCTTCCACATATGAGTGAGAACATGTGGTATTTAACTTTCTATTCCTGGCTTATGTCATTTAATGTAATGTTTTCCAGTTCTATCCATGTTGCCACAAATGTTAGGATTTCATTCCTTTTAATGGCTAACTAGTATTTTATTGTGTATATATACCATACCCCATATATATGTACATATTACATTTTCTTTTTTCATTTATTTATTATTGGACATGTAGATTGATTCCATATCTTAGCTGTTATGAATAATGTTGAAATAAACATGGGGGCACAGATCTGTCTTTGATATATGATTACCATTCTTTGGATAAGTGCCCAGTAGTGGGATTACTGGATCATATGATAGTTCTATTTGCAGTTTTTTGAGGAACCTCCATACTGTTCTCCATAGTGGCCACATTAGTTTACAATCTCACCAACATTATATAAGGGTTCCCTTTTCTCCATATCCCTACCAGCATTTGTGGGGTTTTTTTATGTGTGTTTTTGATAATAACCATCCTAACTGGGGTAGAATAATACCAAATTGTGGTTTTAAGGTTTGCATTTCTGAGATGATGAGTGATGCTGAGCATTTTGTTTTCATATATTTATTGGCCATTTGTATGTCTTCTTTAGAGAAATGTCTGTTCATATCATTTGCCCATTTTTATTTGGATTGTTTGTTCTTTTTGCTGCAGAGATGTTTGTGTTCCTTGAGTATTGTATATATTAATCCCCAGTTAGATGTGTAATTTGTATATATTTTCTCTCATTCTCTAGGTTGTCTTTTCACTTTTTTGATTGTTTCCTTTGTTGTGCAGAGCTTTTTAGTTTGATATAATTCCATTTGTTTATTGACTTTGTTGCCTGTGCTTTTGAGGTCTTATTTAAAATATCTCTTCTGAGGTCAATGTCCTGAAGCATTTCCCCTATGTTTTCTTCTAGTAGTTTTAGCATTTTGGGTCTTACATTTAGGACTTTGATCCATTTTGAATTGATTTTTCTATAGTGAGAGGTGAGGCTTAGTTTCATTTTTCTGCATATGGATACCCCAGTTTTCCCAGCACCACTTATCGACGACTGTCCTGTCCCTACCGAGTGTTCTTCGCAACTTTGGCAAAAATCAGTTGGCTATAGATCTGTGCTTTAATCTCTGGGTTCTCTATTCTGTTCCATCAGTCCATTGTCTGTTTTTATGTCAGTGTCATGTTGTTTGGGTTACTATAGCTTTGTAGTATACATTGAAGTTTGGTAGTGTGATACCTCCAACTTTGTTCTTTGCTCAGGATTGCTTTGGCTATTCAGAGTCTTTTGTCATTCCATACAAATTTTAGGATTTTTTTTCTGTTTCTGTGAAGAATGTTATTGGTATTTTGAGAAGGATTACATGAAATCTGTAGATTTCTTTGGGTAGTACAGTCATTTAAACAATATTAATTCTTCTGGTCCATGAGCATGGGTTGTCTTTTCTTTTGTTCATATTATCTTCAATTTCTTTCATCAATGTTTTATAGTTTTCCTTGCAGACATCTTTCACCTCCTTGGTTAAATGCTTATCTTAATAAATCCTACCTAAGGAGGAAAGACTGGAGTGAGGCTAAAGCTATGATAAAGCTTTGATTAAAAAAAGCAGTATTTATCCATTTGTCCACTGATGGACTGATGACAACATAAGTCATTTCCATATCTTGGTTATTGTGAATAATGCTACAATGTACATGGAGGTACAGATGTCTTTGTTACATACTTATTTCCTTTCTTTTGTATTTATATTCACAAATGGAATTGTCAATCATATGGTAGTTCTATTTTGAATTTCTTGAGGAACCTGCATACTGTTTTTTATAATAGCTGTAGTAATGTATATTTCTACCAACATTGAGTAAGTTTTCACCTTTCTCCACGTCCTTGCCATCACTTGTTATCTTTTGTTTTCTTGATAAAAGACATTCTAACGCTTTAGTTACGCCACAATGTATACATATATTGGAAAAATCACATTGTACCTCATAAACATATACAATAAAAATAAATTATTTAAAAAAATAAAATGAAGATACATGCTTTAAAAAAAAAAAGAAGCAACAGACACTCAAATTTGTCAGAGTAGGAGATTATTTTCTCTTTGGTTGTGGCTTTTTTCCCCCCTCAGATATGGTTTCTGAGTACTCTTGTTTTTGTCTTGTTTTTCCATGGCCACAGAGTAGCCTTGTCTGATGATGTTTTATAGATTTATTTATGTGCATCAGGAGATCTTCTAAATCTAGCTGTGAGTGCCAGACTGGTTTCCAGATGCTAGAGGGTACTTTTCTTCCTCAGAATCATTATAGGCTAAGCCACAACATTACTACCCTACGGGGTTTGCTTTTACTAATGTCAGAGAGTACTGTGTTTCAAAGGTATGTTTTTTTTTTGTATGTGGGTGTATATGAATTTATCCATTTTAATTTCTATTGTCCTGCAATGTTAAATATGGTGAATATATTCCTGAGGTTTTTCAAAAGTAGTAATCACAATTTATCAAAGGACTAAATTAGAACAACCATTCAGTCTAGCAATCTCACTACCGGGTATTTACCCAAAGGAAAAGAAACAATTATATCAAAAAGATATCTGCTTTTGTATGTTTAATGCAGTGCTAGACACAAGAGAAAACATACTGAATCAATCTAAGTTGATCAATGGATGATTGGGTGAAGAAAATGTATATATGCATCATTGAACAATATTCATGCATAAAAAAATGAAATCATGTCTTTCACAGCAACATGGATAGACCTATAAGCTATTATCTTAAGTGAAACAACTCAGACACCGAAAGACAAATAGTGTGTTCTAACTTATAAGTGGGAGCTCAATAAGTGTAACATGGACATAGAGTGTGAAATGATAGACAATGGAGATTTAGAAGGGTAGGGCATTGGAGGGAGGTGGATGATGAAAAGTTAATGAATACAATGTACATTATTCTGGTGACGCATGAACTAAAAGCCTTGACTTTATCACTATGCAATATATCCATGTAACAAAATTAAACTTGTACCTCATAAATTTATACAGATAAGAAGATTTAAAAACCAGAGTTTATTCCAAAATATAATAATTAGAGATTTGGACGGTTGCACAAATTTGAAATTTTTCTCTTTTATATTGACACCAATAATAACCATTTGTAAATTCAGGTTTGAAGTTCTGAAATTCTGTATTCATAAAGATATTCTGAATTTCATATCTATGTCCGTGTGTGTAATGCATGTGTGTGTATTACTAAAAAAAACTAGGTAATTTACATTGCTGGTAGCTAAGGCTCTTCACTTATATAAGTAGTTATTATGCAAGTCAATTATATATGACTTCACGTAAAATAGCATAAATATATATACACACATTAATTATCATATAACAGATGTAACATGGTTAATGAGATATTTTTTTAAAGTAGGTGTTATATATCTTGGGATAGAATAAGAAACAGTTTTCTCTCAAGTGTTATAGATGAATTATGATTGTAAATAATATTTTAGTAATCTTCTTTTAATAACAGAGAAAGCTGTGAGAAAGTTCCCATGCAGTTTATGCAGCCACTTTTGTGAGTTTTTTAAACAAATGGATTTTAAATGAAATATTGATTATCTACTAAACACAATAATGGATATCTACTAAAATACAATAACATTTACTCAATTAATTAAGTCTGGTAATTTTCCTGCCCACTGGGATCATGTTGTAATTTAGATATTTCCTAGGACTAAAAAATAATAGCTGCATGTTTTCAAATTTCAACATTTAGGATATTAAAGATATCATAACTAATCCATGTTCTATATAAGTTAGTGTTTCTGTTCATTAAATACAAAAAAATAAGCTGTTCTGCTATTACGCTGAAGAAGAATAAGGCCACATATAATAAAAGACCTTACATTTAGATAAATGTTTAGCTTTAATCATCAAGTCAGCTGGGAATTTATTTCAATCAGCAACATTTAAAACTCCAGAATCAAGAATTACTTCTGAAGAATGTCTTTCTTTTTGTAATTCATTGTTATTATGTTCAAAACAAAGTTTTGAGTGATTAGAAAGCGACAAGCTCAAGTAGAAAAAAATTAATGAAAGGATGAATAACAATTTGCAAAAAGATAATTCTCAAGCTGAGTAACTTTAACCTGATAACAATTATTTTTGTCTCTTTGTTTTAAGTAGTCTATATATATGTACGAACAAATTAAGCAAAATATCACAGAATTAGTAGTATTTTGCACTAATAAAGTATACTTCAAGATGTTAAATATGTAAGATATTTGCAGGGGAGAAACAAGAATGTAACCTCATATATACTGAATTATGTGTGTGGAGGTTTTTATCCATTTTGAGCAAAGGTATTAAAAATATTAGAGAGAATGGCTTATTTTCACTTTTCAGAATATCTTAGTGATATTTCTTTCTTTTCTCTATTATCTTTTACATCTGTATTTTATTCACAATTGGTCATTTGCTATACACTGGCAAATGGTGCTAGCTTCATTTTTCCTTGGTGCTCTTACCTGCTAGTTTTCTTTTTCCAAGCATTTCTTTTCCTCCTTACATGATGATATGCATTCATTCCGGAACCATGATATGAACACTTAATTCATATTGCATATACAACGAAAATGTCAGTTGGCATAGCTTATAGTTATTTATGCTTATTGCTTTGATATGATTAAAGTGGTCCTAAGCAGAACTTATTTTATGTTTATTTAGAAATATATCTATTATTTTGAACTCTTGCCTGTAAGTTGTTTATTCACTTAGTCCACCAGAATAAAAAAAAAAGTGCATTCTTTATAGATGTTTTCTTAATGCCACCTAGGAAACGCATCATATAAAGAGTTAGAAACAATCCACCAAGAAAGACTTAACAGAGGTTTATGTTGCTAATTAGAATTGGACTGACTCCATCCTGATTATTTCAAGTTCATAAACTTGCTCAAGGGAAGCTATCTTTAGAACCAGGGTGTGAAATGTGGAAAATTTTAGTTGTCTTTGAGTTTTCAATGTGCTGTTGTTCAGAACATATGGGCATCTTATGCATATGGAATAGCTAAAAAAAACTAATGTCTCCCAGAGAGTATATGACAACAAGAGTGCTACTAGTAGCGAGATTTCTTGTTCTCCTTTTCAGATAGACAAAGGACTCCTCAGTGTCCTAATTTGTGATGTGGGGTGGGGTGGGTGGTGGGGAGGGGGGCGTGGAGAGCCATGGTAGTGATCAAAACATGGTGAGGGAGTTGTGAGTTAAGTGATCCTTCTAAAGTTAAAGTAACCATTTAAATTATAGTCTTAACTAACTGCACGCAGGTTTATTTAAAACAATTGCTGCCTCTTCAGTTAATTTATACACAATCACATACATACTACATAAATGTACTTCCTCATTCTTTCTCCTCAAAATCTCTATTCTTTGTCCTGCCAGAAACATCCCATCCCTCCGCTCTGGGGATTTTGGTAGATGTAAGTTCACACTATAAATTCTCTCATAAAAAGTGTTTTTTTGGTGGTGGAAGGGTTGGGGAGAGAGAGAGACTAAAAAGAGTGAAACTGTAAATGCCCAATGGGTTCACCTTGCCTGCTGCTTAGACAGAGTCAATTTATCAAGTCAGGTGAATTGAAATGGAGGAAGAGTAATTCACGCAGAGCCAGCTGTGCTGGAGGCCAGAGTTTTATGATTACTCAACTCAGTCTCCCAGAGCATTTCGGGATCAGAGCTTTCAAAGATAATTTGGCAGGTAGGGGATTCAGGAGTGTGGAGTGCTGATTGGTCAGGTTGGAGATGGAATCATAGGGTGTTGAAGACAACTTGCTGTCTTCTGTTCCTGGGTGGGATCACAGAACTGGTCGAGCCAGATTACCAGTCTGGGTGGTGTCCGCTGATCGATCCAGTGCAGGGTCTGCAAAATAGCTCAAGCACTGATCTTAGGTTTTACAATAGTGGTGTTATCCCCAGGAGCAATTTGGGGAGGTTCAGACTCTTGCAGCCAGAGGCTGCGTGATCCCTAAACCATAATTTCTTATCTTGTAGCTAATTTGTTAGTCCTGCAAAGACAGAATGATCCCCAGGCAAGAAAGGGGTATTTTGGGGAAAGGACTATTATCAATTTTCTTTCAGAGTTGAGCCATAAATTGAATTTCTTCCCAAGGTCAGTTCAGCCTAGGCCCAGGAATGAACAAGGACAGCTTAATGGTTAAAAGCAAAATGGAGTCTGTTAGGTCTGATCTCTTTCACTGTCATAATTTCCTCAATTATAATATTTGTAAAGGTGTTTTGAATACTTCTTCATAAAATCCAGGACTATCAATTTTAGAATTAAATGTATGTTCCTTTAAATGTATTCTGGGGGAATGTCTTAGTTACTCACATGACAGTACTGAAAACTAAGAAATAATGCAATTTCTGTCCCTTTGCTGGTGGGCAAGAGAGGGTATTTGTGGTAACAGCTGGGATTGTGTAGAGATTTCTGACTGTCGTGCAAATTTTCAGAGTGAATAAAAAATATTTAAATGTTTCAATATTAAAATGTTTTCAAATGTCTTGAATTTTCTCTTTGGTTACTTATCTAAGCATCTGAAAGCATACTTAAAATACAGTATTAGAATAAGTGATTATTATATTTATTTATTTATTTATTTATTTTGAGACAGAGTCTCACTCTGTCGCCCAGGCTGCAGTGCAGTGGTGCAGTCTCGGCTCACTGCAAGCTCTGCCTCCCGGGTTCATGCCATTCTCCCACCTCAGCCTCCCAAGTAGCTGGGACTACAGGCTCCCGCCACAATGCCTGGCTAATGTTTTTTTGTATTTTTAGTAGAGACGGGGTTTCACTGTGTTAGCCAGGATGGTCTCAATCTCCTGACCTAGTGATCTGCCTGCCTTGGCCTCCCAAAGTGCTGGGATTACAGGCGTGAGCCACTGGGCCCTGCCAGAATAAGTGATTATTTAGCTATGATTATCTAGCTATGATTATCCTTAACTCATTTGTATATTCACATATCTATGTTTATTTCCAACTGATCTTCAGGCAATCTTCCGAGCAATCTTCAATCTTTCCTCCTTTTAATCATGTGAGGCCTTTAACTGTTTGGCTGTTTTCAATCTCAGGTATTTCATTTATCATGATTATTTAGTGACTGTTGTATCACCAAAATGTTTTGTTATTGTTAATGTTACGTGTAATAATAATATAAAAGCTACTACTGTTAGAGTACTTTGTGATTTACCAAGCTCACAATGCCCTGTGTAAAATGTAAAACCCAATAGTTATTAACATTTAATTATAGTTTCAATTAATTTCAATTAATTGAAATCTTATGTAAATGAAATGCAATTACTTTAAAAAAGTTTAATATACAGAAATTTAAGGAAACTAAACAGAACATAAGTTTGTTTGCTTTTAGTACTTTTTTCTATGATTAGATGATTTACACAGTGGCAATCATAATATATATATATGCATTTTTAAATTTTGCTTTTTGATTTTTCATTATATGAAAATACTGTTCTGAAATCTGGACTAAACCTTTTGTAAGAAAGAAAGAGTGCCATAATTGGTCATCATTTTAAAAATTGTTTTAACTAATCAATACTTAAGGAACAATAAACTGCTATATGATTTGTGAACATATCTTTCTTAGCAATTTAGAATAATTTTTAAAGATAATTTCTCACTGTGTAAAAATGCAGAAAAACAAGCTTTCTCCCAAGCCAATAAAGAGAAGAAAAGTAAATAGTCACAACAGTTTTGGAAAGCACTGTGGAAATATGTTACAAAACTGTCAATACTCTCATATGATTTGGCCCAATAATTCTACTCCTGGGAAACAATCTCAACAGAACAATAATAAAAACAGAAAATAGAGGCAAAAATATGCATTTTAGAATCTTTTTAAACATAAAAATTAGGAAATAGTGTAAATGCTGAATAACACAAATGGTTAGGGGGCTTGCAGTCTATTGCCTTAATTCAATATTATGCATTGATTTAAAATGTTTGCCAATAATATGTTTCCAACAAATTCCAAAAATATCCAATTATTTTGTAATCTCTTGCATTGGTTCTTCTCCATGTTTCACTTTATACTCAGGTTGGTTTGGCTCATGTTAACAATATCTAGAAGTAGAGAGACTCCTTAATACTCTGTTAAATGAAAGTTTAGGGCTTTAATTAGAACAACTCAACTCTCTTGTTTCTCCCTGAACTAGTTTACTGTGTCAAAGAGGAGTGAGGTGGGAATCCCAGGAGCTCATGACAGATCAATATCCTACACTGTAAGGCTGCTATGTAACGGGGAGAGATTATAATGAATACTGGGTAGGCAATCTACTATGGTTTCAGAAGAAAACTTGTGCAAATATAGGAGGGAAACCGTCATTTAGCAGATCTTCAATAAAAGAGGAAAAAAAAATACAATGACATTTATTGAGCTTTTGAATAAATCAATTTTTCATCTTATCAACAATCTGGCAAAATTGGTACTACTGTCAACATTTTACAAATGGGAATACGGAGGATTATTGGGCAGAATGAATGTGTCAAAGTTATAGTCACTGTATTTAGAATCAGTTTTAGCTGTAAATCCTATGCTTATTCTATAGCTCATGTTACTTCCTCTCTGGTGGTAGCAGTAAATGGAATAAAGCATGGATTCCTTTTAACAAACTTGTAGAATAAGTAATCTTTTTAAAAAAATTTTAAACTAAGACATTTTTTAGGTTTTATCATTATGGGAAGAAATATTAAATATATACTTTAAAATAAAATTATTAGATATATGCGAAAATAATGCGTGTGGGTGATGGTGCACAGTCCCTAGGTTGACTGAGGAATATGGGCAACTCCATGTAATGAAATAGCTTACACACTAATCATAGGCCCCTGGCTGGGTATATTGGAATCCTATACACAAAAGAGTAGCAAGTATGTAACAGTAAATTGCTTTCCAGCATTGGGAAGAGAAGCAATCAATAAGAAAGCGTATTACAAACATATCAAAATGCTGACATGGAAACATAACTAAAGAACATTCTAGAAAGTCTCTGAAATATTTCTGTCTAAAATATTTTCAAAATTTGAATTTTTTTTCAAAACTGATATAGAGGAACCCTAGCTTTTTCAGTCCAAGAAGTTCACAATAAAAATTTATTCTTTTTAAAAAGTAACTTATTATTGAATAGAGTTTATGGCAAACTCCAGCCCTATAGTCATGTTAGGATCTAGGGTCCAATGGCCATGCCCCAGCTATGCTGTAGGGATGTTTATGACTTTGGCAAGTTAATTTACTTCATTGTGTCTCCATTTCTTATATGATATGGCTGCATTGAATTATGTCTAAAATTTTATCTGGTTCAGAATAACTATTATTTCATAATTCTACCTAAACAAATAATTATTCCAGTAGTGTATGCACATTTTATTTTGAATTGTGTACTCATAAATGCATGAGAATTGACTTGACAAATATTGAGTTTCTACTCAACTGGGGCTCTATGTGTGCAGTGGCCAACAAGAGGTGTGGACTATTTTTCTTTACTGAGGTAGACTCTTTGAGGTATGAGCAAATTAATTTTTTCCTAATCTTTATCTTTAGCCCTAGAGGAATAAATATCCTATCTATCTATCTATAAAGATATATCCTTCTTCATATATATACATACATATATGTATATATAGAGAGAGATATGCTTCATTTATACACACACACACACACAAGCATACACACCCACCCACCCACCCACCCACACACACACATATATATATAGAGAGAGAGAGGGAGAGAGGGTTCCAGGTATTTTTTTTTCTTATCACTTTTATGTTTTCATGTTTAAAAAAGTGTGCATGATCCAGACTTTTCATTTTAATGCTTAAAAAAGTCTAGGTTGATCTAAATTAAAATTATAGTTTCTCTTCCAATGTAAAGCGTATCTTTCCCACACTCTCCCCAGCTCTACATCTGATCCTCACCTTCCCTTGTCTCCCCTTTTCCCACTCACTACCTACTGCTAATAGATGGTGTGATGGTCGAGAAAAGCTTCTCAGAGAAGGGTTAATTACAGCTGAATATTCCAGAAAGAGGGAGCAGCATGAGAAATTACTTTTTAAGTTCATAAACTGAAAGCCAACAGGCGCCATCCAGAATACAGATATGTTTTCTCTGATCCTGCCATGCTTTAAAACATTTGTACCTAATTGTCAATGTTTATAAAGTTGGATGATTTTACATTATAATATAGATTTCCAGTTTCTTTCATAAATTAGAAGAGCCAGGACCCCTGGGCCAGTGTATTAGTATGACCCAATACCTAGAGCTGGGCACAGCTGCCCCCTCCTAGCCTCATTATTATGTTCCTGACATTCACTAATGGATCATACCAGGCTTCTTTGCTTAAAGATCTTTCTCTCATTGGCATTTGGGATTTGAATGTTAGCCTACAGGCACAAGAAACTACAAGTTCCTTAATATGTATTTTAGTTAGCATTCTTATTTAGAAACACTGGGACTTAGTCTAACAAATTTAGATGGAAAAGCAATTTGTTAAAGGCTGGTAGGTCGTTTACATAAACTGTAGGAGGAGCAGAGAATCTGGCTTAGAATATATGCAGCCAAATACCACACCCCAATCACAGCCAGGTGCCACGATGACGGGTGCTGTTTCACCCTGCGACACAGGCTCAATAGCAGGCGTCATGTCAGGAGGCATTTTATGGTGTCAATGGGCGTCTGGCACTGTTTCCTGAAAGCTCTTTCTGTACAGCATTCCACCACCCTCTCCAGCAATGTGTGGTCTGCTCAACGCCATCATCCTCCTGTTATTTTCTTCTGAGCCATCCTTTGAAAGAATCTAAGTATACATGCCTATATTCTATCTCTAAGCAAGGCTACACAGGCAAATGTGGGCATCTACTTGATGGGCTGGGATTCATCAACTGGGAAATCAATACAATATTGAAAATGTGTTCAAAAGATACTTAGTACTGAGAAGGACAACAGTTAACGAAGAGGCTTGCCTAAAGACATATAGTGAGCTGTCCTAGTAAGGGTGAAATTTGAAGCCATTTCTTCTGTGTCCCAAGTCATTATTTTATGCTTGCCTCTCACTCTATATTTAAATAGAGGGATATAAAGCTCTAATCCTAAGGAAAGGGTCTGAAATGGGCTTTTGGGAACTGTAGGGAGCTTTTTATTTTTAATTAAAATATCTCCACCTGAAAACCAATATTTCTTAAAACATGCACTTACTGAACACCCAGTGCTTCCTGTATATAAACTTGCATGTAACTAGAAGATATTTGACACTGATGGAAGAACAGGTCCCTAATGGACTGCTGTTAGTTCAGGGAAGGCATGTAATGTTAACAATGAATGCAATTATCTTCCTCTCTATAGCATAGATATCTTATTCTAGGATTTATACTTCATGGTGCCCCACAATTTGTCCCATAAGTACCACCTGGTGTTATTTAATCTCATATTGAAGCCTTAGATTTTCCACTAGAAATTGAATTATTCTAAGTAATAACAACAGTGTATTTTAGCTGTTTGTATATAGGACAAACAGGTAGATAGTATAGGATGTGAAATTGTTGACAGAATAAATGCGTGTGTGTTTGTGTGTATTTCAAATGAGTAAATGCTTTTAATAACAGGCTTTCAGATCATCAGCATAGTTACAGCAAGCAGAGCTGAGAGAGTTTCCATATCCTCAATCATACCACATTTTTTCCACATCATAATGAGATAGTACACTGTCCTCCTTCTTTTGCCAAGATAAGTAGAGGTATCAATTATCTGAAATGTAATTTAATTCCTTTTGTGTGTCAGGCTAATAGAAACCCAGAGATACAGATGAGGAAAAAACAGCCATAATCAAGAAATCATAAATAATTACATTCAGAAGTCTAGTCTAAGAAGCTTGTTCAGACTTTTGTTTGTCTTCATCTAATTATGGGATTTACAAAAGTGGTGATTACATCAATGAATAAATGATCTTTTCACAAGCCAGAAGAAATGTAACTGACTGTTTGATCACTGATCACTGCTGAGGGAAGGCCAGGAAATTGAGTGGAGGAGGCAGAGCAGTGGCTTAGAGCAAAGGGTCTGGAATGAAAGTGAGATAGGAAAGAGCACCCAGGAGAGTGAATTAAGTGTCAGAGATCATCGACTTTCTCTGCCTTATTTTATTACAAAATGTGTGGAAGGAAAGAAGTGACTGAAAATGAATAGTCTTTCCTCTGGCAATATTGAAGTAACCAGCCCGTGTTAGAAGTTGTGCTTGCTTTCTCACTTAATGCACAGAGAATTTGTAAAGATGAGAATACTTCAATATATCATTGGTCTAATTATTAGAGTTATGTCATTTTTGAGATAAACACATCAGGATAATTGTAGAGTGCCTCCCTCTTTCTCCTCCTTCCCCCATCCCTCACAAGCACATCATTTTAAACATATGTCTACATACAAGGGACACTGCATACCAATAGAAATTGACCCTGAGACTTAGGGGAATAAAAGAGTACACTCTTTTATTCTTTTAAATACTTAAAAGTGCCAGAGAACTTTATAATGTCTACTACTATTGCTCACTGTGAGTTTGATTATAGTTAAATATCTCGTAAGATTATCTCTTACAAAAAACCAACCAACCAAGCAAACAAACAAACAAACAAAAAAACTTCAGAAAACTAAGTTTTCTAAGTTTCCCATCTATTGAGAAATCTATACCATTTTTCCTATCCTGAAAATTTCTCTTTCAACTACCAGGTTTGTCTTTCATTGTACATTCTAGTATTTGGTAGACAAGTCTGCAATGATCTTACAATTTCATAGCAGCACTAGGATAAGAAAGCCTGCATAGGCCATTTGGATAGGAAATAAAAAGTAATTTATTTTACATATTTATAGTCTTTCCACATTCAGAGAAAAAATGGACACTTGTGCATTCTTGACTGGTTTAAAACCTGGTCTCCTGATCTCTAGACATTTTGTGCTTAGGTAATAGATGCCGTGGAAGAGGACAGGCTCAAGGAAAATGCTGATACCAGAAGACGGTGCATAGGTTCAGTGAAGGAGCACAGCCACCCTGGAGTCAGGGTACCATGCTTGCCAGCCCACAAAAGTTGCTGAACAGGTGCCCTTTGTTTAAGCTGCACCTTTTTTTATTTTTTTTTTTTTTGAGACGAGTCTCGCTCTGTCACCCAGGCTGGAGTGCAGTGGCGCAATCTCGGCTCACTGCAAGCTCCGCCTCCCAGATTCACGCCATTCTCCTGCCTCAGCCTTCTAAGTAGCTGGGACTACAGACGCCCGCCACCACGCCCGGCGAATTTTTTCGTATTTTTAGTAGAGACGGGGTTTCACCGTGTTAGCCAGGATGGTCTCGATCTCCTGACCTCGTGATCCACCCGCCTCGGCCTCCCAAAGTGCTGGGATTACAGGCGTGAGCCACCGCGCCCGGCCTCAAGCTGCACCTTTCTTTATCTTTACAGCATTTCACAGTATTCACCGGGTCGCCCTTAGAAGCACTCACCTTGCTTGAACCAACGCCAGAACAACTAGGTTCTCTTTATATTTCTGATTTTTCTACCTTCTTACCTCCCAAGCTACTCTTTCTTACCTACACTGAGGTTGTTTTCCTGCTCTGGGGGCATTTTGTTGCAGTTGTTGTAATTGCAAATAGATTAGCTTTGTTAACATCTGTTTAAATTCCTAAATCAGCAATCTTCATTCCCAATCTTCCTCAGAAGCTCAAGACACACATTTCATTCTATTGAATATTGAATACTACCACTTAGATTTCAGTTTTAAAGTGGCTCCTGTGAAGTCTACATTTTATTGTTATTATTACTCTTGAAAATTCACATGGTTTATTCATTACTCCTTCACTCTTAGCCTTAACCCTTAAGTCTAGTGAGTTGCAGGTTTTGTTTCATTTATTTATTAGTTTTTAAAGATGATTGCCAGATTTACATCTGTGCTTTGCATTAGTCTGACTTGTGATTCCTATTGTCACTACTCTAGTTTAGTTTCTGCTTTCTCAATACCTGCATTATTGCTAATGGTCCCTTGTATTCTGTCCATTTCACTGATTAGTCAAACCTTCAGGAAATTACCACATTAATCTTTCTAAATTACCATTCTCATTATACAATCCAGTCTCCTTTCATAAATCTTCAGCAATGTGCTGTTTTATAACAAATGCTATCTAAACTTATTCGAAGTTCTTGAAAATCAGATGCTCACCTGTCCCATCTTATAAGGTTTCATATTATGTATCCTGCACTGTTGATATAATATTCATCTTTGTGTGTTAAAATAATACATCTCTTTCAAGGATGTGTTCAAATACCATGAAGCATCCACAAGTACCTATTCATTAACTGTCATGGACCTGAGTTCATCCCTTCTATCTTCTCCTGTGTAATTGTATCTCTCTTTCCCTAACAGTGTATCCATTTAATTTCCCTCCTAAGCTTCTTTCAGACAATGACTATATTATTATGCCTAATCCTTCTTGTAGTAAGTTTTGTTAAATATCCAAGGAAAATATTCATATAATATGTTATCATAATAACATAATGAATTACCATCTTAAAATGACATTGGAACAGATCATCTCTTATAATCTCCACAAGTAAAATGAGTCCATAAATGCAAGAAGCTTAAAGACAATGTCTTCAGATATCCTAGTATAAATACCTAAATATATCTTTTATATTTCTTAATAAAAATTGTATTGTAAAATAAATTTCTAATAATTTACATGAAATAATGTTACAAAGTAGAATCCTGCCACATCAGTTGGTAACACCTCAGAGGTGTCCACAACTATCCTGAACAGGCAAAATTGTTAACTTCTATTACTGCATATTATTCCATTCTATTTTTCTTCACTCTGTTTTTTGGTACTTTGTGATGGTAGAATCTCATGGTTTTCAATAAAAATTATGTGGTAAATCAGTCTTAATTTTATTTTGTCATTTCCAATGTTATACATTTGTACATATTATATTTATTTATCTTTTCTAGGCTTTGTTTGGATTGGCCCCATATACCTTTGAGCCTCACTGGAAATGTTTTGTTGTTGAGGAAATTCTCTAAGACCTTAAGCCTAACCATTATATCTAGTATTCATTAAAGATCCTCTGCCTAGGCATTAGTTGAGGGTGAGGAAATACGTAATATGACAGTTAAAGCAACTATGCAGTGAAATTCTCAGGTGCATTGATGTTTTCAAGTGCAAACTATTAAATACTACGTGGGAGAAGATCATGCGCTTATCATAGGCCAGCCCTACTGCTTATTATTAGCTTAGCTCTGAATATGTTGTCAAAACTCTCAAAGGGTCAGACTCTTTTTTATATGAGAAATGAAGATAATAATGCCAACCTCATAATATTGTTATGATGAATAATAGAGATAATATAAGCCAAGTAAGCAAAACTTAGTAGGGGTTCAATCATTATGGCTACGCTTTCTTAATGCCTGTAGTCACATGGATTTACATTTTCAGTATGCTTTTCTGAAATACAATGCATAACCAGGTATTTCTTTATTTGCTTTTTAAGCAAGTATATTTCTAGTAACCAAACCATCCACTGACAGAGGTCAAGAATCTTATTACATGCTTGAAGTTGCTTGACCAGAAGAACCTTGCTCATTTATATATTTCTTGTATGTCACAAAACACCTGAAACCTGGCTACTGCATACTCTAAGTTCATTGAGTAAAAGTAAAGAGGACAAAAGGGAGATGAAACCTCAAAATTATTCCCAATGATTTTATCAAAACACAATACAACAAAAGTGAAAACAGATTTTTCTAAAACATCACATGGGTAAGAAAGGTTTCACAGTCTATGAGAAATAGCTTCATTTAATAATAAAATTTGCTTATAAATACAAGAAGCAAGATCAAGAAGCATTAAAATTTGCTTATAAATACAAGAAGCAAAATCTGTAAAACAATGAGACCTAGGTAATGCTCGATAATAATTTAGAAGTCAGTGATAAAACATGTGTGCCTTTTGTTGCCTTTGTCGCTCTTACAATTATCATAAACCTACATTAAATAAATATATTATTTTCTTCCTTGAATTGAGACTGGTTTGTATAATTTAATACTGTACTTTCCATAGTCAGTGTATCTCTTGAAAATTTCTAGAGAATTTGGTTAAAGAACCAATGTTCAGAAACTTTCCTTTTTTATCTGTGGCTCTTTAGCCCCTGCCCCTGTGCTAAATCAGGCTGTGAGGTTTCTCCTCTTTTCTTACCCAAGTGCTTGGGGCAATTTCATGTGCTGATTCTAGTTGAAAGTTCTGAATTAACTTATTGTGATCCATATATGTGTGTTAAGATCCTCTGAAGTAAGATCTAACCTGCATTTCTCCACTTACAAGTCTTACCTGCTTTGGGACTCAAGAAAGTTAACTTGTTTCTTAGTACCCACTCTATGCCAAATAATTTACATATTATTCTATTTTTAATTTTTACTGCTATGTAATTATTCAAAGAGGATATAATAAAGTGCAACTCTTACAAAGTGAGTCCTGATTTTTTTTCTAAAATTTTAAAATGTTGTTCTTTTCTAAGATATTGTACTGTGAATATTGTATCTCAAGATGTTTGTTCTAGAGCAATTGAGACAGGTAAAGTTGAGTGTTACCATAGAAGATTGGTTGTGTTAAAGTAATTTATTTTAAATCAGTAGTAAAGTGTTTGATATGTTCTAGTAATTACGATCATGGGTGTTCAATCCAGCTGGAATATGAATACCTAAATATTTCAAGAAATCCCAAAACAAATATGAGGCTACTCTTTTGCTTTTGAAAAATCGTATTTAAAATTTTTGAGAAATTATTTTACTACAGTTAGGAGGATACCCTTGAATGTCCTTGAAGCAATAATTCAGGAACAGCTATGAGTGGATGACTCTAAAATGTACAATTCATAAAAAAAGTGATTGCTTTGGAGAGGCATAATGTAGCTTCTGAGTTTAAAAGAGAATCTTACCAATGGCAAGGTCTTTATAAACAGCCTGAATCAGTAAGACAGATTTTTACTCAATATGCAAAGTATATTAGGTCACTGATTCTTATTTTTAACCATCTTTATTATATTCAGATGCAGGTAATACCATTTGTAACACTTCCTTTAAACAAGAAAAGTAAGAGTTCTCCATATTGTTCATCACCAGTCACATAATCATCTCTAACTTATTCCACAACAGATTAGTTCTCTGTCCAAACCCTCTGGGAATATTATAGCAATAATTTCATGTCCAACTGGAGGGATTCTGATCTTCTAAATTAGTTCTGACTGTCATTTCTCTTAATAATTTAGTGTTTTTCTGTCTAAATCAATCTATTAAGAGATCTGTTTATCAAGTTTTATACTTCTTTTCCTCTAGCTCTAACTTCAAATGTTATTTTATTTATATAGTATTATATTAATCTAATAAATGCCATATAAATAACATTTATAATAATTTGTGGATTATAATTCTTATTTTCATGCTGTATGAGTACTCAAACACATATTGTTCTGTCTCTCTTTTATTGTTTATTTTGATATTTCACATTTTGAAATATGTCCTTGTTCAGATGACATCAAAATCAACATTTTAGAACTTTGGAGATAACAGAAATAAAAAGATGCTATCACTTTTGCTACGAATAAAGTTTAGATTTAATACAATGACCTATAATCTAGACAAATATCAGGTTGAAAACATAATAGCAGCTCCGAAATTAGACCATTTATGTCAGAGTTCATGAAGCATATACTTCTCATATGTTTCTTGGTCCTGTATGGACATTTTTTCAGATGTTCTGGACAAAATATGTAGAATTGGAAAAGAAGCATAATCAGAGCTTAACCAGGGCTGGTAATACCTGAAATCATGAATGAAGAAATGTTGTACAGATATCAGATTTTTAGAATTATCAGGCACTTGGGTGATGTAAAGCTGCTCAGGAAACTCCTTGGCCCAAACTGACTATCTTTCTAAATATCACAAATAAATAGAAAGTACACTAAAACATTATCACTGCTGTGAAAAATCAGATAATGTTATGATACTCATGCCAAGGAGAAGGAGAAAGTAATGCAATTGAGTAGAAAAAGTGAGGATAGATATAATAAGAAAAAAAGAATTCTAATTTAGTGATCAATTACACTGGATTTTTTCTATGGTTCTTCTGTGTGTATTGTTGCGTGTTATACAACACAATAGAGGGTGATCTTAAGCAATTGAAATAAAGACAGAAAAGTTGCAGTGAACTGGAGGCTTGAAAATTTTTTGAGAGTAGGATAAACTCTCACTGGTATTCCAAGCTTTATTGCTGAATACAAGTGCTACTCTCTAGGGAAGCAGTTCCATTAAGAATACAGAGAATCCAGCTCTATTGGAAAGTAGATAATGCTCACTACCATATTTTATTATAGATTTTGTTGACAGATTTTTACTACCTCTTGTTAATTGGACACTGGCTAGGTACAAACTATATAGATGGGCAGGAACATGTGATTGAGAATTAGCGAGCAACTTATTAAAAAAAGTTGGCTAGAAGAATGGTAAAAATCATTTTAAATGGAAAAAAGTATCCACTTTAATGGCTTGTGGACTCTTCATTGTTCTTTCATCTGTAGAAAAGCATGATTGGATGAGAGTGGGGCATAAGTGGAGTACATAGTTTGTGCAAATTAGATCTGATATGTTGTGCCCACTTTGTGTGAAAAGTAATGTGATAAACCCTAACTGAATTGGGATTTCATAGTTGGAGAAGAGACCAACTATTCATTTAAAAGTATTTATTAAGAATCTTTATGCCAATTTATGTTTCACATGTTAAAGGGCCAATAAGAAGGAAACACTACCTGCTCTCAGGGAACACATGTTCTAGTGGGTAAAGAAATAATGGCAAGTAGTATATAACTTTTTATAAAGTTCTGGTACCTCATAAGCAGATGATAGAAGTGTCTCATATTCCAGAATATGAGGGAGCATGAGAGGAATAACTTAGTTTGTCTGGAGAGGTTATAAAGTACCTTAAAGAGAAAGGAATATTGGGTTGAAATTTACAAGGACAAGTAGAAATACATTTCATTTAGTATGGAAGTTAACTCATTTCCTGAGAGGGTGTTGCAAGTTGGTTTCTCTGTAAAGATGGCTCTGAAACAGATTAGCTTGAAGAGTGCTTATAAAGGAGGACTTTTGGGTTCAATCACTATGAAAACAGAGAAGGGGAGCAGGATGGGATAGAGGGAGAAATCTAAATGTGATGGGCGCCTAATAGATATGTAAGATATCTATTACATATAAATTACCTAGGAGATTTTTTAATCTAAGATATGTCCAAAATACTTAGTTATATTTTAAAAAATAACATTTATTGGTGGATTCCTAAATACTTATATATTTGTTTTTATGTGTGTATGTAGATACCATACACATGTATTTTTACCTATGTATAGACATCCATATATATTTACATAGTTTATCTAGAAACATAAGAGCAATGTTGCTTTCCACTTAGCAGCTAGCAGTCATTTTTCATGTTAGTACAGATAGTTTACATATATGGATATATGATACTTTTTAGAATCTCCTCTAATGGGCATACAAGTTATTTGCAATTTTTACCTATTACAAACCTTTACGCCATGGTAGTTCCTTGTAATAGACATTTTTTTGTGTGTACCAAAAATTCAATTTCCCATCTGCCTTCGTAAGAGAATCATAATTCTGTTCAGGAATCTACTCTTCTACGAGGCCCTTCTGTCTCAGCTTAAGGTAGCCATATTCATATCCAGAAGTGGGTATGATTGGTCTAACAGTAATCCTGCCCACTGAAGGGGTTCAGGACATGCTATTCCAAAAGATGGCACTTTGGCATTTGTGAAAACAGCAGAAGCAGGAAGATCATTCTCACCTTCCCCTCTCCCACCCATCTTCCTTGAAGCAGGTTATAAAATCTAGGAAGATCACTCTCTGACCTACCTCCCTTCTCCCCTGAGGGTTGTAAAACTCTTGTTTAAGAAGTGCCTACCCTATACCCAACGAACAGGAATGTTCTTGTCTCTGAAGACTTAGGGACACAGAAGAAAATCTGAACACACAGGCCTTGCTATAATAATTTCTCCCCAGTTTATTATCGTTAGATCATTCTTCTTTTGTCAATCCTACTACTCCACAATTGTCCACTTCTTCATCAAATCAAACATAAAAAACACACACGTTTACCTGCTTGTTTGGGTATTCATGTCCTTATGAAAGCTCTCATGTCTTATTATATATATATTATTAATTTGTATGCTTTTCTCTTGTTACTCTGTCCTTTGTAATCGGGGCCTCAGCCATGAACCTAAGATGAGAAGGAAAGATACTTCTTTTCTCTTATACTACTTTGCTAGTGGTTAGCTGAGAAATAACCTATTTGGGTACATTGATGTGAAGGGAAATTTTCTGAGCAAGTTCTTAGGCACACTTTGGGAATACTTCCAGAAGCCACTTTTTGTCTTTCTTTCTTTCCTTGAACTTTTCTATCATTGATTTCAAACCTAGAAATGCTGTAGGCACACACGGAGAAGGACAAGGCTAAAAGGCAATTCAAGCTGAAGCCACAGGGTGTATCAATGGGGACACTGTACTACCTCTGCAGATGTGTGAGCAAGTTCATTTCCTTTTTTAAAAAATCAGTTTGAGGAGGATGTCTTGTAACTAGTAGATTAAAAACAATGACATTCTTTACTTGACTATATGAAGCAGAAATTTTAAAAATCAAGAAAACATGAGAATAGGTTATTTATTTATTTTTATTGCTGTATACCTAGCACTTAATGATATCTGGTGCATATAAGTATGTAAGAGATGAATGCATAAATTCCTACTTATGAGAGTCTTGTGACAAAGCCCACACAATTTTAATAATAAACTTTATAATTCTACCTGCCAACATTTTAATTCTTAAAATGGATTTAAAGAAATAAATATGTGTACATACTAAATACTTAAGTATTTATTTCAAAGGTTTACGAGTAATAGCTTTGTTAAAACAAAAACTTTAGAAAAATTAAATTTAACTTAGTGTATTTGGGCAGAGAAATGATTATTGAATTGCACAGCACCCTGAAACACAAAGGTTCAAAGAGCTTCACCCAGCAACATGGGCAGGGAATAGTTACAGACAGTAAAAGAAGTGGTATACAGAAATAACTTGATTGGTTGTAGCTGGATGTTTGTCTTATCTGGACATATTTTGGCAGTTTGCAGCCTGTGATTGGCTGAAAGCCTGGCTGCTATAATTGGCTGAGACTCTGTTACTTGATATAGAGCATTTTCTTAAACATGCATTTTCAAAATACATTGTTAGGTTTCAGTTCATAATATATGGAGGTAGTTTTAGGCCAAATTTAATTTAACAGCTTCTTTGTTGTTTTTGCATAATATAAATATTTTCTTTAAAAAAAATCTGCCATGTCAGCAGATGGGATGCTTTGGTGATGAAAAAGTCATGTACAAACAGTACATCTGTTATGGGATGCTGTCAATGTCATATGTTTTTTCAAAAAAAAAAAAAACCAGAAATGAATGATAATGTAACACATGTCCTTGACATTTTTTTTGGCCTCACATATTTTATTTGGTTGTAAAAATTGTTCCACAAAATGTGACAATTTATTATGATATGGAGTTAAAATTATTTACCTATATTTTTATAAAGAAAATACTACCATTTATATACTCTCTTAAAACATAATCAGAGAAATAATTAACTCACACTATTATATGATTGTTATTTCTCTAACTAGTGTCATATAAATCCCTTTAACTTTAGCTAGACATCAGTCATCTCTTTAGAAACTCACAGTTTGAAAGATGAGTGTAATTCTCCACAACTATTTTTAGCTTGTGTTCACTATTCCTGTATCCATTTCCCTAACGCTAACAAAAAATTGATTATTTTCTCTGGCTGCTAAGCCAACATTACAGTTCTTATCAATTCTAGGCTTCAATATTTTTAATATTTAATGTATCTAAAATTGGGGTGCATCTTACAATTGATAGTACATGATGATTTAAAGTTTTTTTATTTTATAGTAGTATAAAATAATTAGGCATCATAAAATCATTACTATCTTAATACATATAAAATTTAATAGATATATTTAGAATGGTCGTTTGAAAATATTTCAACTACCAAGCATTGTGGGTCCATTTTGTTATAATAGTCTCCATTACAAAACTCTTATGTAAACTTAATTGCTAGCTGATTACTGCTCCTACCACAGCTTTGGTGATCTCTTTGTGGCAAATAATCCTGTGTTGACAAACTTTTTCTTTTTGGAGAAGAACCACTCCATCCTTACATTATCTATGATATGAGTTGGCTGTGTCCCCACTCAAATTTCATCTTGAATTGCTGTTCACATAATCGCCATGTGTCAGGGGAGGGACCTGGTGGAGGTAATTGAATCATGGGGGCAGTTATCTCCATGCTGTTCTCCTGATAGTGAGTGAGTTCTAACAAGATCTGATGGTTTCATAAGGGCATTTTCCCCCTTTTGCTCAAAACTTCTCCTTACTGCTGCCATGTGAAGGACGTGTTTGCTTCCCCTTCCACCATGATTGTAAGTTTCCTGAGGCCTCCCCAGCCATGCTGAACTGGGAGTCAATTAAACTTTTCTCCCTTATAAATTACCCAGTCTCGGGTATGTCTTTATTAGCAGGATGAGAATGGACTAATACAATCTAATTGTTTTATTTTGTTCTGCTTGAATATTTATTTAAAAATATAAAGAATTGAGCCATTTGAGCAGGAGTTCTCAAATTTTATTACATAATGGAATTATCTGATACGCTTTAGAATGTTCATATGCCCAGGCCATCTCCCAAGCCAACTAAGTCAGACTCTCTGAGGGAGACCCCAGGTTAGTTTTTTAAAAGCTTCCCAATGATTCTTAAGTGCAGCTCCATTGGAGAACTAGTGTTTGAGTGCCTTTACCTATTGTCAAGTCCTGCCTTACCCACATTTAAACATTCAAATTAACTTTATCTAATCTCAAAACCCATCTAACAGAGTAACTAGCCTCCAAATTAGTTAAAAAACTCTCATAAACAAAAATTTATTTTAAATTCATGAAAGACCTTTTAATGGTTTTCTTGCTAAATTTAAAGAAATTCTTATCAAACTTTAATTAATTGCACATATACGGGGCATAACCTATACTGAGACCTGCATGATGTAGGGAGAAATATGCTTAAAATTAAATTAAAATCATATTAAATTGTAGACTATACTGGAAATGTTACTTGTAACTTTCTTTTAAGCGTAAAAAGAAAAAAAAATCTAGAATACCTGCTTCTCTGGTATCTTGCATTCCCTTTCAGCAGCTATCCTAATTGGTCTTTCTTGTATGAATGTTAGTTTTGATCAGTCCTGACCTGTCCTAGCTTCCTTAGTTCAGCTCTTTTTCTGAGTCTGGAAGGGCAATTGGCCCTATCCTATGAGACATGACCCTATCCTCTGCGACCAAATAATTGGTTATATGATTTTTTAAAAGCTTTTGTCTCTGGGTAATAAAATGGGGAGCAGAGGCATTTTTTTCAGAGTTGATCTGTCTTAGCAGGAGCCCTAGAAAACTGAGAATGACAGCAGCTGTGTCACTGCTCTAATGGTGTGGATTCAAGCATAGCACTAACAAGATGCACAGGCAATAGGGGAAAATAGTCACAGGAGAAGGCAGAGGTTTAGAAATGCTGCTCTGATTGTGCTCAGATCTTGTCATTTCAGAATAGGGACTCCACAGTGCAAATGTGTACCCGGAAGTGTACAGTGAATTTACAGTGGTGGCAAAACTCAAGGTGCACTAGTTGTCACTGACGGTGGCAAAGCTGGCAATTCTAAATAATTCATTGCCTGAGCGATAGGGCTTAGAAACTGACAAGGCATTGTTGGCAGGCTTAAATTTAAATACATACATACAAATATAATATAATATAAATAATATATATACATATATAAATTTCATATATACATTTATATAGTACACTGTAGCAAAATGACAATTCAACAATGAAAGAGTGCCTGGAAGTGTATTGTTGCAGGGATACAACTGCACAAGGGATGTTTTTATGCTACACAACACTTACACTGATCACATGTGAGGGTGTGGTAACTTTAAATTGTAACTTGTAGTTTCTGACAAAGTTTTTACCCTTCCACCCTATCCACCATGTATATTTAATTACAGAGAATGCCCTAAAAATGTTCAAGAAAATCAACTTAAGTTTAATTTAACATTCCACCCTGCTATTGCTTCCCACTGAACACAACCACACACAGTAATTGATGAAATCACCTGCTAACACTGACTTATCGTTGTCTTTTTCTATTTTTCAGAAAACAACCCATTCAGCAACCTGGTTTTTTGTTCCTGTCCTAGCAGGAAGTTTAAAAATAACTTTGTTTTGTATAAATTAGGTTTAATTTTGTCAGTATAATAGCATTAGTGTGAGATTTTTTAAAAAGCAGGCTTCACAATTAATGCTTCTCATAGACATTGCTACTCATTTACGTATAAATGAACAAATGCCTGAGTAAATGCCTGAACAAATGAATGAAGGAGTGCGTGTAGTGAGACGTCCTAATGAGGCTACTCATTTGCCTTATAATTATCATTTGAATTAGTCAGGAGTTTCAGAGGAGTCATTTTTACATTCATCTTCAGTTTTCTTTTGACAATACTAAAAAATTGGAAAATTTAGCAATTACCCAATTTTCATATGAGGTATTTTCCTTACTCCTCATGAAGCAGTAACATAAAGTAGTAAGTAATAATAGTGACAGCTAAGCGCCTGGTGGAGCTTTAGGTACCTCATATGGTGCATCCATTTTCTCTCTTTGATATAATGTAACTACCCCAAAGAATGTTTATAACATTCTTTGATATAAACAACATTTTCTCAATCTTATATAAATTGCTGTTAAAACACAGCCTGAAACTTGTTTTGTCTACCTACCAAAAAATCACTACCCTTGACTAATGGTGTTTTGAAAACATGGCACTACCATTGAATATAATTAATAGTAGTAGCTTTTATTAAATGTTTATTCTAGACGTAGGTTACCCCGCTTGTATTGTCCCAATATCCTTTGAGACACATGCTATAATTATTTACCTACTTTATAGATTAGAAAATTGAGGTTTGGAAATACTGAGAAATTTGATCAAAACCACACAGCTAGCAAAGGATTCAGGATTTGAATTCAGAGGCTTACTTTTAACCAGGATATTATCCTGACACTGATATTAGATTTGTTATAAGAAATTACTGTGTCAATTGTACTTTTTAGAGTTGGGTAGAAATAAATTGAGCTTCTTGTGAAATTAGGGTTAGAAAATATTTATTCACCATCAGCTATTAGTCATTGGGAAATTTTATGAACACTTAAGAGAAACAGGTTCTTTTCTCGAATATGTTGATAAGACTTTTATTCTATTTTTGTGTCTCCAGAACCTAACACAGTGCTTGGTATGTATTTTATAACTGTTATTACTAAACTATTGAAGTTAGATTAAGATTGTTTGAGAAATATATACATTTTTAGTCATTTATTTATTCATCAAATATTTATTGAGAGCTAGACACTGGGCTATTGCTAATCAACAGGCTTGCTATATTTTTGGGCAGAAAAATCACAATCTAATCTACCGAGGAGGGAGAAAAGGTATTTTACTCTTCCAGGTATTTTATAACTGACTAAACATAATCTGTACTTATTAGAGAGAAGGGAAGAACTTCCCAGTGAAATGTATCCTTAACTACTATTAACCTACACTAAGGTTACTAAATTTGGCTTACTCCTTACTGTATTTCTCAGGGGTCACCTGACTACTTCAAGTTTGTTATAGTTTTTGAAGCATCTGGATTTAGAAGGGCGATTGTCCCGCTGAGAACCACGTACTTAGAAATTTTAAAGATCATTGTGAGTTTACAGATAATTAGTGGTTGTTTTCTCAGCCAAACATTCTTTCAGGCTGCTATTAGAGAGGCAATCCATAGTACTAGAAGATTTGATAAAATACTCTGATTACCACGTCATACCCAGTTTGGTGAATTTTGGAAATTATTTAGATATTATGATATCAGATATGGATTGTGCTAATCTAATTCTATTTGTCTTAAAAAAGATAGTTGTTCTATTTGTCTTAAAAAAGATAGTTGTATACTAAGATGTACATATTTATAGGCTCTGTTCTCATCTATATGCAGCTTTTGAGAAGATAGGTTCATAATTTTGTGACTGTTCATTGCTTATTCAATGATATTTCTCTAAGAAAAGACCACAGAAACAAGTCATCTGTGAATTAAAACAGTGCAGTAAAATGCATAGAACCAAATTGCCACACATGCAAAGGTTTATAAAAATATTTAAAAATTCTCATCCTAAACTTGAATGTTTAATAAATCTCTTCTTCTGCTTTAATGCCAATTGTCTGGAAAGTTTTGGGTTTCATTTCTACTTAGATTCAATAACCTCAGCACTGGCTTGGTGATTCCTCTCATCCTGTATCTGAGGCTTTTTTTATTATCTTCATAGTTTTCACGTTTAGCAGCACAGTGATGTCAGTGATGTTGGGGTTATTGAGTACAAGAGTACCTGAGGGATGTGCTCTAATTTTTTATTTAAAAAGGTAAGTATTCGGTCCCCTTTTCTTTCTCAGCTTCTCTTCTTGGCTCCGTGACTCAAGCCCTGACTGATTTTTCACTCTTCAGAAGCCAGTCAGAAATATGCCTCTGCCTACTCTGCCCAATTATGTCAAGAAATGAAGAAAAAAAAAAGGAGGATAGTGGTGGAGGAATTTTAAATATAAGCATTGTGAAAGTTACTTCTCCTAAAGGTGTGAGAATGTCCCAAGGGCATTTTCTCTTATTCTTAAATATGTGTGTGTTGGGGAGGGCCCTGGGTGGTGGGGGGGGGTGTGGTTCCGGGCTTCTTTTCCATTTTATTATTTTACTTTTTTTGAAAAAAAAATAAGAATTGCAAAAGCTTAAAATTAGGATCAGGCAAAATCCTGTATTTATTTCTCACCCAAGCAGCTTCGCTTCCAGAAGGGTAAGGTTCATAGGGGTTTAAACTTGGCTGCAATGGCTTTCAATCCAGCCTGTACATTAGAATCACCTGGGGGGTTTTAATGACTTGATGCATGTGCCTTGCCCTGCCTAGAGATTCTGGTTTACTGGCCACACATGGGGCCCAGGATGAAAATTATAAAAGCTCCAGAAAGGATTCTAATATACAAGCAGGACAGAACTGAGAAGCTCTCTGTTTATTCTAAACAGACTATTCTGGTTTCATAGAGATTTGGATGAAGAGTGGAGATTCAGAGAAATTTTGTTTACTATTGTCAGGACTGAGCAGGTGTACGAATTCACTCTACTCATTTTCTTAGACAGAACTCTCTGGGAAGCAAATGTAAGTTTTATCCTGAGTAGACATGAATTTCTCATGGCTACCTATTCTCCTCATCCTCACACCACCAAAACCATGACCCCTGCTTTTTCTTAGGGACCTGGTCACTTAGAAGTATAGTCAAGGTTTTAGTTCTCTTTCCAGTATGAAATATGTGAATAAGGTCTAATTCTATGTGCACTCATGGGGCTGCACAATTCTTTCAGTAGCTAAAATGAATTTTCCCTGTCATATGGCATATATACGTATTTTTACTCCACAAATATCAGACATACTGTGATTCTAAACAATAACGCTCAGGGGTGTTTGATGTACTTGTGCATGATCTGAACTCTTGCTACATGAATGGACAAAGCATTTTCAGTTTGTACGCTGTCAAAAGATGTACTTTACCACTCTTGAACTTTGAATCAAACCTCTGCTTAAGAACAGATTCAAAAATTGAGAAGAGTGGAAAAGATGTAATATATTTTGAGGTGCAAAACCTGATCTTATAAATAGTAATTACCACTTTGGCCAGGCACAGTGGCTCACGCCTGTAATCCCAGCAGTTTGGGAGGTGCAAGCGGGTGGATAAGCTGAGGTCAGGAGTTCCAGACCAGCCTGGCTGACATGGAGAAACCCTGTCTCTACTAAAAAATACAAAAATTAGCCCGTCTTGGTGGTGCACACCTGTAGTGCCAGCTACTCGGGAGGCTGAGGCAGGAGAATCACTTGAAGCCAGGAGGTGGAGGTTGCAGTGAGCTGAGATTGGGCCATTGGACTCCAGTCTGGGGAACAGAATGAGACTCTGTCTCAAAAAAATTAAAAATAAATAAATAAATAAATAAATAATAGTAATTACCACTTTGAGCTGCAACTGGCCCAAACCAACATACAAGCAAACAAAAAACCCACTACCAAAACCAAACAAGGAAATGTTGAAAAAAGGCAAGCTGTATGAGGCAGCTCCCTATCTCATTCAGCACCTCCAGTATTTCCAAAAATAATTTTAAAATTTTAGAACAATTTTGGATTTGCAGGAAAACTGCGAAGATTGTGCAGATACACTCCAGGTACTCTACACTCAGCTTGCCCCATGATTACTCTTTTACATTGGTAAGGTGCATTTACTACAATAAACACATGTTGATACTTTGTTGTGAACTAATGTCTATACTTTATTCAGATTTCCTTAGTTTTTACTGAATATCCTTTTGATGCTCCAGAATCCCATCCTGGATACCACATTCCATTTAGTTGTCATGTGTCCTTGGGCTCCTCTTGGTTGTGACAGTTTCTCAGACTTTCCTTTTTTTGGTGACCTTGCCAGTTTTGAGGAGTTCTGGTCAGATACATTGTGAAATATTTCTCAGTTGGGATTTGTTTATCTAATTTTTTAGTCTAAGGTTATATTTTCTTGTGAGGAAGACCACAGAGGTAAAGTGTCATTTTTATCACATTATATCAAGAGTATTTACATGACTTATCATGTAAATGTTGAAGTTAAACTTGAACACCTAGCAAAAGGAGTGCTTGTGATGTTTCTTCACTGTAAAATTACTTGCTTTTCTTCCTTTCCCTACTGTACTCTTTGAAAGGCTCTATGTGCAGCTCACCCTTAAGGAGAGGAGAGTTATGCCTGCCGTTTTGGAGGGCAGAGTATTTACATCAATTATTTGGAGCTCTTTTTTTTTTTTTTTTGAGTCCAAATCTAGCTCTGTCTCCCAGGCTGGAGTGCAATGGCATGATCTCAGCTTAGCTCACGGCAACTTCTGCTTCCCATTCTCCTGCCTCAGCCTCCCAAGCAGCTGGGATTACAGGCACCCGCCACCACACCCAGCTAATTTTTGTATTTCTGGTAGAGACAGGGTTTCACTATGTTGGTCAGGCTGGTCTCGAATGCCTAACCTCAGCTGATCTGCCCGCCTTGACCTACCAAAGTGCTGGGATTACAGGAATGAGCCACTGTGCCTGGACTGGAACTCTTTTTCATAGAAATTTGTTTCTTCTCCCCCATGTAATAATTGAATTATTTGTTTACATCAGCATGAAATCACGACTATTTATTTTATACTTTGGGTTATAATCTAATATTACATAATTCATTTTGTTCAAATTATTCCAGTTTTGGCCATTAGGAGCTCTTTCAGTTGGTTCCCATGTCCCTTTAACATACTCTTCATTTTATTTTTTGTTGTTCTGATAAGTTCCTTATATCACGGCACTAGAAGATGCTTCAGGTTCATATTGTTGATTTCCTGCCCTCATCTTAGAATCAGTCATTTTTCCAAGGAGCCTTCATTCCTTTTATTGGATAACAGTATTAGAAGCCAAGGTATTGATGCTGGGTATGTTCATTGTTACTGGATTATTGTTACTTCTAGACCTTGTCAGTTTACAGAACAAAAAGTATCTTTGTTATGTATGACAATACATATGTATGTAAATATGTACACATACTTTTATATTTAGCCACTTGTATCTATATTAACATAAACATTAGTTTAAACTGCTGTTTCCACCTCTAATCTATTACTACATGTGTCATTCTGGACTGTTCCTTTTGCTTACCTGTAGTCTCCCTCTCCAACAATGAGAAACCAGGTTCTTACCCTCTCTACCATCCATATACTTCATTGTTTATTTCAAGTATGTATGTATATCAATATTGGCATGGTGAATCCTTACATTCATGGGAAACAACTTTGCCAAATAGCTTATATTATCTATGTACATTTCTATTTATTTATTTAAATTGAAATATAATAATTGTATATATTTATGGGGCAAATGTGATATTTTCAATACATGTAAACAATGTGTAATGCTCAAATCAGGGTAATTGGCATGTCTGTCATCTCATACATTTATTGTTTATTTGTGTTGAGAACATTCAAAATATTTCCTCTAAATTATTTTGAAATGTAGAATACATTAATTTTAGTTGCAGTCACTCTACTATAATATAGAATATTAGAACTCATTCCTCCTATCTAACTATAATTTTGTACCCCTTGACAAACCTGTGCATATTTTCTCCCTACCATCTACCCCCTACACTTCCCAACCTCTGGTAACCTCTATTCTACTCTCCACTTCTACGAGATCAACTTTTTAAGCTCCCACTTACATATAAGTGAGAACCTGCAATATGTGTCTTTCTGTGCCTTGCTTATTTCATTTAACATAATATCCTCCAGGCTCATCCATGTTGCTGCAAATGACAATATATCATTCCTTTTTTGTGGCTGAACATAAATACCTACATATTCATATATTCATAAATACACACGTATTTATACATTGATAAATACATATATATTCATGTGTATATGTATACACATAAATACATATATACACATAAATACATATATACATAAATACATAATGATATATATTCATCATGTATGTATACCACATATTCATTATCCATTCCTCCATTCATGAACATATTGATTCCTTTTCTTAAATATTATGAAGAGTGATTTGATAAACGTGGAAGTGCAGATATATCCTTGATATATCAATTTCTTTCCTTTGGATATATATCCAGAAGTGGGATTTATAGATCATGTGGTATTTCTATTTTAGTCTATTTGCAGAATCTCCATACTGTTTTGCCTAATGGTTGTACTCATTTACATTGTCATAGTGTATAAGAGTTTTCTTTTCTTCACATCGTCACCAGCATTTGTAATTTTGTCTATTTTTTAATTTTTAATTTGTGTGTGTACATAGTGTTTATATATATGGAGTATATATTAATAGAATATTTTAATACAGTCATACAATATGTAATAATCACATTATGGTAAATGAGGTAGTCATAATCTCAAACATATATCTTTTGTATTATAAACAATCAAATTATACTTTTTAAGTTATTTTTAATGTACAATTAAATTATTATTGACTGTGGTCACCCTGTTGTGCTATCAAATACCAGGTATTTTTCATTGTTTCTAACCTGATAGTAGCCATTTTAATTGGCTACTATCATTGTGATTTTGATTTGCAAGTTTTCCTGATGATTAGTGATGATGAATACTTTTTTATATACCTGTTTGACATTTGTATGTCTTCTTTTGAGAAATGTCTGTTCAAGTAATTTGTCCACTTTTAAATAATTTCGAGTTTTATTTTAGATTCAGGTGGGTACATGTGCAGATTTGTTACTTGGATACGTTGCATGAAGCTAAGGTTTGGAATACAAATGGTCCTGTCACACAGGTAGTGAGCATAGTACTCAACAGTTAGTTTTTCAACCCTTGTCCCCACGCCTTCCGTCTCTTCTCTAATAGTCTCTAGTGGCTATTGTTGTCATCTTTATGTTCATGAGTACCCAATGTTTGGCTGCCTTTTATAAGTGAGAACATGCGGTATTTGTTTTTCTGTTCCTGTATTAATTTGGTTAGGATAATGGCCGACAGCTGCATCCATGTTGCTGCAAAGGGCATGATTTCATTCTTTTGAATGTCTGTGTAGTATTCCATGCTGTGTATGCACCATGCTTTCTTTGTCCAATCCACCATTGATGGATTCCACGTCACTGTGATTGTGAATAGTGCTGCAATGAACATATGCGTGCATGTATCTTTTTGGTAAAATGTTTCATTATCTTTGTTTTTGCCCATTTTTAATAAGACCATTTTTATTATTTATTGTTTGCTGTTGAGTGGTTTAAATTCTTTACATATTCTGGACATCACTTCTTTGTTATATGGCTAGTTTGCAAATATTTTATCTCATTCTGTAGGATGTCTCTTCACTCTATTGATTTTCTTTGTTATAAAAAAAGCTTTTTAATTTAACATGATTGCTTTTGTCTATTGTTGCTTTTGTTACTTGTGTTTTTGATATCTATCAAAAATATCTTTGCTCAGATTTATGTCCTGAAGTATTTCTCATATATTTTCTTCTAGTAGTTTCATACTTTTTTCATTTAATATTTAATCTATATTTTATTTTTATATTTGGTGAGAGATGGGAATCTAGTTTCATTTTTTGCATATGGATATTCAGTTTTCCCAGAACAATTTATTGAAGAGACTGTGCTTTACCCAATGTATATTTTTGGAGCTCTTGTGAGAAATCTATTGGCTGTAAATACCATGGGTTTATTACCGGGTTCTCTATTCTGTTCCATTGGTCTACATGTCTGTTTTTGTGTCAGTACCACACTGTTTTGGTTACTGCAGATTTGTAGTACATTTTGAAATCAGGTATTGTGATGCCTCCAGCTTTGTTCTTTTGGCTCAAGATCTGCTTCGACTATTTGGAGTCTTTGTGGTTCTATACAAATTTTAGGATTTTTCTGAAATTTCTGTTAAGAATGGCATTGATATTATTATAGTAATAGCATTGAATATGTAGACTGCTATAGGAATTATGAACATTTTAACAATATTAATTCTTTCAATCCATGAACATGAAATATCTCTGAACCTTTTGTGCTCACTTCAGTTTCTTTCATCAGTGTTTTATAGCTTTCATTATAGATATCTTTCATCTCTTTGGTTAAATTTATTCCTAGATATTTATTTTATTTTATTATTTGTAGCTATAGTAAATGTGATTATATTCTTGATTTCCTTATCAAATTGTTTGCTATTGAAGTATAAAACACTATTTAATTTTGAATATTTGTTTTGTATCCTGCAACTTTATTAAATTTGTCATTTCTAACAGTTTTTTGATGAAGTCTTTAAATTTTTCTAAATATAATATGCTACGTGTAAACAGCAACAATTTGACTTCCTCCTTTCTGATTTGGATGCACTTTATTCCCTTCTCTTGTCTAATTTCTCTGGCTAGTAGTTGGATTATTATGTTGAATAAAACACGTGAAAATGGTCATCCTTGCCTTGTTTCAGTTATTAGAGAAAAAGCTTTCAACTTTTCTCCATTCAGTATTATGTTAGCTGTGGATTTGTCATATGTGATCTTTATTGTTTTAAGCTATGTTTCTTCTATAACTAATCTGTTGAGAGTTTTATCATAAAGTGTTATTAAATTTTATCAAATACTTTTACTGTGTCTATTAAGATGATCATATGGCTTTTGTCCTTCATTCTATTGATGCAATTTATTATCTTTATTGTTTTGCATATGTTGAATCATTCTTGCATTCCTGGATAAATTCTACTTCATCATGGTATATAATCTTTGTGATATGCTATTGGATTTGCTTTGCTAATATTTTGTTGAGAATATTTGCATCTATGTTCATCATGAATATTGGGATGTAGTTTTCTTTTTTTGTGTGTCCTCTCAGGTTTTGATGTGAGAATAATGCTAGCCTGGTAAAACCAGTCAAAACATCATTTTTCCAAAGTTTCTTAGGTTAGCACATTTTTCTCCACCCCCTTCACTGATACGTCATACATGTGTAATATAGCTAGATTCTTTCATTATAGTCTGTATTCTATCCTGGAATCTCCCAAATGTCTTAATGTATACACTAGGCTTCAATGTTTATGCTCTAAAGTCCTTTGCGTTTTGATAATGGCAGAGGGTCATGTATCCCTCACTACAGTACAATAAAGATTAGTCTCACCACCCTGAAACATTTTCTATGCTTACTCTTGTCAAACACTTTCCCATCTCCTTGCCCCTGACAATCCACCTGTTTTTCATCCCTATAGTCTTGCCTTTTCCAAACATCATATGAGTAGAATGTTACATCATGTAGCTTTTAAAATCTTTTTTCTTTGACTTAGTAAAATGTATTTTACATTCATTCATATGTTTTCATGAAGTAATACTGCATAAATTCACAGTAATTTATCATATGGATGTCCCATAGTTTGCTTATACATTCAGTTATTGAAGATATCATGGTTGCTTCCAATTTTTAATGATTATGAATAAAACTTCTATAAACATTCTCATGCAGAGCTTTAATTGGAAATACATTTTATATCAGCTGGGTAAATACCTGGGAAAACAATTTCTGGGTTATATGGTAAGTCTTTGCTTAACTTTATAAGAAATTGCAAAACTGTCTTCCAAGTGACTGTATTATTTTGTGTTTTTACTAGCGATTAGTGAGAATTCCTAGAGCAAGTATTAGAACATATATTCTAGATTTTTTTCACATATTACAATAGATAAGAAATTTGGGATATAGAACAATCTGTATTAATCATCTAGATGAACATGTAATTGAAACATTTACAGTAATATTATTATTTATTAATATTACATAATGAGTCAAGTTCAAGGGAATTTGGTAGTTTCCCCATGAGATGATAACTTTTCCATTATTTTAAATTTCTTCTTAGGTATTTTGACTGTGGACATGAACTAGGATATTTTTTAGCTTAGAAGTCTGAATATCTTAGAAATATTTAAAGATAAGGTCATTTTAACATACAATGATTCTAAAATGTTTTATAGATCATGACTAATATAATTTATAATTTGAGCGTTTTTATTTTTATCAAAGACTTAAAACCTAATTACATATTTTTATAGTTTTTTTCTTTTATTATATTCTCACCTTTGGTCAATGCATTTATTAATAATTATTAAATAGTAACTTTGCTCTATCTGATGACAAAAGCCTAAGAATATGTGACTTAGAAGGTGTAATATGTATTTATCATTAACTATACTTGATGGTTGAGTGAGAACTCAGTCGTTTTAATCCTTATTGTATGTAAATTTCTGCAAGCATTAGTTTATCTTTCAATCTTTAAGTATAATATCTAAATATTTTTTACAATATACTTTGGATCAATTCAGCATTTCCACTCTCAATTTTGGTTATCTTTTACCATTAATGTAGACAATAGGCCATATAAAAATGAGGCCAAAGTTTTGCTGATTTGATTTTATATGAGATCCATAATGGTAGAAATCTTTATCAATATTGTTTTTCAATGTATACTAGGCATATAGAATAGAATTTTACACAAACTAAGCTATCAATGAATATTTACTAGTGAAGAAGAGGAAACGATTCTGGAATTTTTGGCTCTCTAAAAGGTTTCTACACCCTCAGAAGTTGATAAATAGAGTTTAAATAATCCCACACAAAATAAAATATATTTATGGTATTTCTAATTGTTATTGTAATTAATTATGTGTCTTCACATAAAGCATCCTATAACTATGTAATTCTTAATGATTTAGTGCATAATCTTATCCATCTATAGTAACTAGGTAAACATTTATTGTGGATAAGTTAATGAATATTTGTTAAAAAAAGAAGATCAGCAATATTTGAAGTGATTGTTTCTAATTACAAGGTAGTTGAAAACTGAAAAGTTTTATTTTTTGAAAAAATAAGGTTTGTGTTTAATTCATAGTTGTGGCTTTTATAAAGTCTTCACTGATAACAGTTTTACTTCTCCTCTTCATAGTCCATTAAGAAGTCATTTTAATTTATCAAAAATTTCTTGAGAGTGATTTTGCAGCTCTTTTCTAGAAATGAACCATCTTACTTCTGATTACCCTATACCAGGGTGCCCTGTCTCTGGAGATGCTATTTTCTGGCTGTTCTGAGCCATGCAACAACTTTGAAGTACTTCATTTTTTCTTTGATGCAGTGTCATTATATGCAGTGGTGCTATTTTAGTTCCCCTTACAGCTTTTATTTGCCCACTATTGTTTATTTCTGGGAATTGCCCAGTACAGAGGAAATGAATCTTAAAAATTACCATATATATTATAAAAAGAGGTAGAGATAACATAGAGCGAAATTCTAGACATTGAAAGTATGGGTTTATAAATTGTGGCAAATACATGCATTCATGTGACCATCAAGATTTGGACTATTTTGAATAGAAATGGTGAAGGTGGACGTTATTGTCTTGATCCTGGAGGCCCTACCTACAGCAGTCAGACAAAAGAAAGAAATAAAAGCCATTCAAAAATTTTAAAAAGGAAGTCAAACTATCTCACTTTGCTAATGATATGATCTTATACTTAGAGAACTCTTAAAGACTCCTCCAAAAGACTCCTAGATTTGCTGAACTACTTCAGTAAAAACTTTCAGGATACAAAATAAACACACAAATACTAGTAGCATTCCTATACACTAACAATGGTCAAGCTGATAACCAAATCAAGAACTCAATCATGTTTACTATAGCTACATAAAAAGTACCTAAAAAAATTAACTAAGGAGGTAAAAGATCTCTACAAGAAGAACTATAAAATGATGTAGTTCTGATGAAAAAATTGTGGATGACACAAACAAATGGAAAAACATCCTATGCTCATGGATTGGAATAATCAATGTTATTAAAGTGAGCACACTGCCCAAAGCAATCTACACATTCAACACAATCCCTGTCAAAATGCCAATGTTATTTTTCACTGAATTAGAATAAAGAATTCTAAAATTCACATGGAACTGAAAAAAGTAGACCAAATAGCCAAAACAATCCTAAGCAAAAAGGACAAAACTGGAGGCATCACATCATCTGAATTCAAATTATACTACAGGGCAATAGTAACCAAAATAGCATGGTACTAGTATAACCACAGATACACAGATAAATAGGATAGGATAGAGGACTCAGAAATAAAGCCACACACCTAAGACCAACTCATCTTTCACAAAGTCAACAAAAATATACACTGAGGAAGGAAATGCTCTTTGATACATGGTGCTGGAAAAATTGGATAGCCATAAGCAGAGGAATGAAACTGGACTCCTATCTCACTATATACAAAAATTCACTCAAGGTAGAATAAAAACTTAAATGTAAGATGTGAAATTATAAAAATACTAGAATAAAACCTAGGGAAAACTCTTCTGGACATTGACCTAGGCAAAGAGCTTATACCAAGTCCTCAAAAGCAAACACAATAAAAAACAAAAATAGTCAAATGGGACTTCATTACACTAGAAAGCTTCTGCACAGAAAACTACAAGAGTAAACAGACAACTTGTAGAAGTGGATAAAATATTTGCAAAGTGTTGATCTGACAAAGGGCTAATATCCACAATCTATGAAAAACTCAAAACACTCAATGAGAATAAATCAAAGAAAAAACTATTAAAAAGTGGGTAAAGGACACAAACACACATTTTTCAAAAGAAAACAACCAGCCAACGAACATGAAAAAATGCTGAACGTCATTTATCATCAGATAAATGCAACTTAAAACCACAATAAGATACCATCTCATATGAGTGAGAATGGCTATTACTTAAAAGTAAAAAAAAAAAAAAAAAAAAAAAAAAAAAAAAAAAAAAAAAAGATGCTTACAAGGATGTGGAGAAAAGGGAATACTTACTCACTACTGGTGGGAACATAAATTAGTACAACCTCTATAGAAATCAGTGTGAAAATTTTCAAAGAACTAAAAATAGAACTACCATTCAGTCCAGCAATCTCTCTATGAGATATTTACCCACAGGAAAAGAAATCATAATGTCAAAAAGACACTTGCACTCATATGTTATCACAGCACTCTTCAAAATAGCAAAGCCATGGAATCAACCTAAGTGTTAATTAATGATGATAGGATAAATCTTGTAAGTTACCTGCTGGGCACAATGTTCACTATTCGGATGATGGATACACTAAAAGCCCAGACTGTACCACTATGCAATGTATACATCTAAGAAATCTGAACTTTTACCCCCTAAGTCTATTTTTAAAAGATTTAGACTACTGCATTATGCCCAGAAAGTTGCTTTGTTTTCCCTTGCAAACTAGAGTTCCTCTTACCTCAGAGAACCACAGCAGTTCTGGTATGGTTCAGTGGTGATAGAAATCAGTTATATCACCATATATTAGTTTTTCTTATTACTGAAATTCATTTAAGTGGAATCATACATTTTACAGTTTTTCTTTAGTTTCTTTTACTTAGCATGATGCCTGGGAGATACATCCATGTGGCTACATGTATTGGTAGTTTGTTCCTATACACTGAGGATTAGTATTCCATTCCAAGAACATGATATTCTGCTCTTGATGGATATTGAGTTGCTTTAACTTTTTCGCTATGAATATTTTGGACAAGACATTTTTTGAACATATATTTTTATTTTTCTGTGTAAACACCTACAAGTAGAACTGCTGCATCATAGGTTTGTGTTTAAGTTGATACAAAATTGCCAAGGATTTTACCAGAATGGTTGAAGTGTTTACACTTCTATTAGTAATGTATCAGACCTTTTGTTTCTCCACGTCTTTGATGACATTTAGTGTTACCTGTTTTTTTGAGTTTTGGACATTCTGGTAGCATACAAAAAAACCTAATTATCATTTTAATTTACATATACATCATGACTAACATTGAACACTTTTCATGTGCATATTGTTCATTCATATGATATGTCTGCTCAAGTATTTCTCCCATTGTTTAAGCTGGAGTATTTTATTTTATATTATCGAGTTGAAGCAGTTCCTTGTATACTTTGTACAAAAATACAAGTCTTTTATCAGATACATAATGGAAAATTTTCTCCTAGTCTGCCGCTTGTCTATTTTTTTCCTTTTTGATGTGCCGAAGTTTTAAATTCTGATGATGTCAAATTTATTGACTATTTATTTCATGATTAGTTTTTTCTGTAGCTTATATAAACAAAACAGTATTTGTCTAACACAAAGGTCTCAAAGACCTTCTCCTGTTATTTTTGGTGGAAATGTTATAGATATGGCTTTTACATTTTGATCTATAATCTTCATAAATTAAAATTTATGTTTGGAGTAAGAAAGGGGATCAAGATGCATTTTCTTTCCACATGGATATTCAATTGTTTCAGTATCATTTTCTGAGTTAAATTCAGCACAGTTATTTTCTCTATTGTGTTACTTGGGGGCATTTGTAAAAATCCATGCACTCTATTATACATGGTTCTACTTCTGGGTTCCATTTGTGTCTATTGGTCTATTTCTTTTTCTTTTAGCCATGGTCATACTTTTTAAATTATTCTAGCTGTACAGTACAACTTGAAAACATGTGGTAGACGTCATCTAACTTTGTTCTTTTTTCATAAGTGTTTTTGCTATTTTCAGGTTTTTTCCATTTTAGCATCAGTTTGTCAATATCTACAAAAATCATGCTGGTATTTTGCTTTGCTTACATTAAATTTTCTTTGATTTCATTAAAGATCAATTTAGAAAAAAAGCAAAAACAACTAACATCTTAATACTACTGAGTTTTCTTAAACATTAGCATGGCATTATTTTCATTTATTTTAGTCTTCATTAATTTATCTCAGCAATGATTTTAGTGTCATTGTATATGTCTTACACATCTGGCATTAAATTATTTCTAAATATTTTGTGTTGCGTTGCTATTATAAAAGATATTTTATACTAACTATTCATTTTTATTTATATTCAATAAAATACTAACATTTTAAATGTATTTTAATGAGTTTTGATAAATTTACGACAACCATAATAAAAATATAGACATTTTTATCTTCCCAAAAGTTTTCCTAGTATCTTTTTTCAGTCAACACTTCAACTCCTAGTTACAAGCAACCACTAATCTGATTTCTGATACTTTAGATTATAATTTCCTTCTTTAGCTTTATAGAAATGAAATCATACAGCATATACTCTTTTGTATTGTCTTTCTTTGCTCAGCATGATGTTTTTGAGGTAACTCCATGTGGTTGCTGGTATCAGCCATTTACTTCATTTTATTTCTGAGTAATATCCCATTACATAAATCTCAATGTTTCTGATTGTCCATTCACTTGTTGCTCTTCATGTAGGTTGTTCCTAGTTTGGGCTATTATGGATATATTAATATTTACTATGAACATTCACATACAAGATTGTGTTCACATTTTTTCATTTCCTTTGGCTGATATCTAGGAGTAGAATGGCTGGGTCATATGGTAAGTGTATGTTTAATTATATAAAGAAATACAGCCCTTCCAAAACGGTTATGTTATTTTACATTCTTACCTGAAACGTAAAAAGTTCTTGCTTCACATCTTCATCTTAGTATTATCAGGCTACTTAATTTTTCCAATGAGGTCTTTCATTGAGATTTCAGTGTGCAATTCTTTGGTGAGTAATGATGCGAATATTGATTGATATGCTCATATTCATTCTATAACTTCTTTTGTTAAGTGTCTTTTTAAATACTATGCCAAATATTTCGATTGTTTTTTGCTTGCCATTGATATGTAAGCCCTATATGTCCTGGTGATAAAACTTTTGTCGATTATAAAAATTGAAAATATTTTATTGTGAATATAGTATTGTAAATATCATATCAAAATTATTATATTGTGAACATTTGTATGGTAAATGTTATTCAAACACATATATTTGCAAATATTATTTGATTCTAGAAGTTGCCTGGTCCAAATGATCTGAACCTTAGCCAATGCCTTTTAATTAATGGTAGTCAAATTACCAGAAGGCAAAGAATGGTACTGGTGAAGCTTGTTGGTAGTGCCTGTCTGTCATCCCTCTAAGATCTTTCTTCTCCACAATTACATGTCTTTTCTTATAGCCATGCTATACTACCTATTATAGTAAATTAGATAGCTACACACCTCTTGAAAGACTGGAGAAACCCAACAGAGACTTATTCTTACATTTGGCTCTTTGGGTAATTCAGACTTACCTGTCTCCCATTTTCCCAACAAAATGTTGGCTTAAACACAAAATACTATACTGTACATTACATTGGAATTTCAAAGTAATTTTTTCATAAAAGATTCTATTTGATCAAATATTATATTTAATGACAATTAAAAGGTAGTATTCCTAGTATATACTTAAAAGACAGCCTCAGTTTTTATTTGTGTGGAATACCAAAATTTTGAACAAAAAAATGAAAAGAATAGACTTCTTTATCTTTCCCTAAGAGATCTAACTGCAATTTAATATTAAACAATAAAAATAATTTCTTTCAGTTAGATCATTCAGATATTAGGATCTATACACGTACATGCCAATCTGCTTAACAATTATCCATTGTGTTCATTATTATTCAACCATGAGTCTTTTTAATGCCTTGCTGAAATTCAGATATGTTGCCTACACCATTTTCTTCATTTATGAGATTGTAAACTTATCAAAGGAAAAAGTAATTGGACTGAACTCAATTTATGTGTAATAAACTAATCTACCTTATAATTATTTTTCTTACAATTAACAAAACAATACTTTACAATTTGGTTTTAGATAAATATCATCTTTTCCACTGTTCAATTTATGCAGTTTTTAAATTAGACCCTCTCCTTGAGTTTACCTATAATCTTGTAGTAATTCCACTCTATCCAGCTGGAGGTTTATCTATCATTACAACTGAAACAGAATTTTCACAGTAGAAAGAAAGAGATTAAAAAATATCTTATGATACCATCCTCAGTCAAGATCAGTGATTAACTTTGGTACTAGCTGCTGTTAAATGCTTTCAGTATTTTTCAATGTTACTTTATGTACACATTTCAAATATTCTTCCACACAGTTTTTATTAAACTTTTTTCTAGTCATTTTATAATGTATATTGCTAACAGGAATGGTTTATTCTCACTATATTTTCTAATTGTGTATTTCTGACATATAAATTGATTGCTAGTTATTGTATATTTATTATGTATTTGGACTATTTATTAAACTTTAATTTTGTGTCACTTTCTTTAGGTTTCTTTAGATTAGTGTTATAAACAGCATGTGTTTGGATTTAATTTTTTGACCCAATGTGTGTAGCTTCATCTTTTAATAACACTTTTAAGCCCACTGACATGTAAAATTTATCTTCCCTCCCTTCCTTCCTTCCTTCCTTCCTTCCTTCCTTCCTTCCTTCCTTCCTTCCTCCCTCCCTTCCTTCCTTCCTTCCTTTTTTCCTTCTTTCCTTCATAATGCTACTTGGTTTTAACTTGTTAATGTTTAGGCCATTTGTTTAAATCCTATCATATGTGGTGAGTTTTGGATTTTTTTTCTGTGTATTTAGAAGAGTTTGTTTTCTCATCTGAGATAGATGGAGAGCTAACAACTTTGTGCCCTTTACATTGTTCCATATCTTGATAAAATTACGTTGCAGGAGGCAGGGTGGCAGGTGGAAAGAGCTTAGAAACTTGGAATGTGAACTTATAAGCACTGCTCCTGCTCTCTGCTCTGAGGCATTTTTTAAATGACCTGTGCATAAGGATTTACTCTATCTTGTTCAGAGAGGTATAACAATACTGAGACTTGTGGGCTGTGGGATAGTCCCTCAATCCAATATATAGTCATTCAATTTCAATTCTCTTAGACTTGTTTACCTTCCACTTTTCATCTGTTTCTGCCTGACAGTTATTTCTTGTCCTTTTCTGAAATAAAATAAATAACTTTTCTTCTTTCCAAATTCTGTAGTCATGGTAGGTTGAATAACAACCCATGGAAGATATGCTCTCCTATCCCTGGAACCTTTAAATGTTACCTTATTTGGAAAAAGGATTTTTGCAAAGATGATTACATTAAAAATCTAATGATGGAAATGCTGTTTGGGATTATCATTATTGGTCCTAAATATCATCACAGGTATCTTTATAAGAGAGAGGCCAAAGAAGTGTTCACATAGACATAAGAGGAGAAGATGTGAAGACATATGAAGATGGCAGCATAAACTGAGGTGATACAGCTATGAGCCAAGGAATGCCAGCAGCTAAGTTACCAGATGCTGGAAAGGGTAAGGGATGCATTCTCTCTAGACCCTCCAAAGAGAGCATGGCTTTGCTGACACCTTGATTTCAGTCTAGTGATAACTTGATTCAGACTTTTTGTCTCCAAACCTGTGAGAGAATAAATTTCTGTTGTTTTAAGCCACCAAGGTTTTGATATTTTATTACAGCAGCCACATAAAAATAATATAGTAGTTCTCAGAATTTTGTGATCTTACTTATATGGCTTTGGGAAATTGGGGTGATTGCATTAGTCAGTTTTCATGCTGTGATAAAGACACACCTGAGACTGGGCAATTTAGACAATAAAGAGGTTTAATTGGACTTACAGTTCCATGTAACTGGGGTATCCTCACAATCATAGCAGAAGGCAAGGAGGAACAAATCATGTCTTACATGGATGGAAGCAGGTGGAAAAAAGCTTGTACAGAGAAACTCCCCTTCTTAAAACCATCAGATCTTGTGACACTTATTCACTATCATGAGAACAGCATGGGAAAGACCTTCCCCCAAGACTCAATTACCTCCCACCAGATCCCTCCCACAACACATGGGAATTCAAGATGAGATTTGGTTGGGGGACACAACCAAACCATATTATTCCACCCCTGGCACCTTCCAAATCTCATGTTCTCACATTTCAAAACCAATCATGGCTTCCCAACAGTCCCCCAAAGTCTTAACTCATTTCAGCATTAATTCAAAAGTCCACAGTCCAAAGTCTCATCTGAGACAAGGCAAGTTTCTTCTGCCTATAAGACTGTAAAACCAAAAGCAAGTTAGTTACTTCCTAGATATAATGGGGGTACAAGCATTGTGTAAATACAGGCATTCCAAATGGGAGAAATTGTCCAACACAAAGGGGCTACAGGCCCCATGCGAGTTTGAAATCCAGCAGGGTAGTCAAATCTTAAAACTCCAAAATGATCTCCTTTGACTTCATGTCTCACATCCAGGTCACACTGATGCAAGAGGCGGGCTCCCATAGTCTTTGGCAGCTCTGCGCCTATGGCTCTGCAGGTTATAGCCTCCCACCTGGTTGTTTTCATGGGCTGGTGTTTAGTGTCTGTGGCTTTTCCAGGCACATGGTGCAAGCTGTTAGTGGATCTACCCTTCTGGGGTCCGGAGGATGGTGGTCTTCATCCCACAGCTCCACTAGGCAGTGCCCCAGTAGGGACTCTGTGTGGGGACGCCAATCCCACATTTCCCTTCTGCACTGCCCTAGCAGAGGTTCACCACGAGAGCCCCACCCCTGCAGCAAACTTCTGCCTGGACATCCAGGCATTGCCACACATCCTGTGAAATCTAGATGGAGGTTCCCAAACCTCAATTCTTGACTTCTGTGCACCCACAGGCTCAACACCACGTGGAAGCTGGCTTGGGGCTTGCATCCTTTGAAGCCATGGCCCAAGCTGTACCTTGGCCCCTTTTAGTCATGGTTGCAGCAGCTGGGACACAGGGCCCCAAGTCCCTAGACTGTACACAGCATGGGACCCTGGGCCTCTGGGCCTCTGATGGGAGGGGCTGCCATGAAGACCTCTGACATAATGAAGGCATTTTCCCACATTGTCTTGGGGATTAACATTTGGCTCTTAGTTACTTATGCAAATTTCTGTAGCTGGTTTGACTGTCTCCTCAGAAAATGGGATTTTCTTTTCTATTGCATTGTCAGGTTGAAAATGTTTGAAACGTTTATGCTCTGTTTCTCTTATAAAACTGAATGGCTTTAACAGCACCCAAGTCATCTTTTGAATTCTTTGCTGCTTAGAAATTTCTTCCATCATATACCCTAAATCATCTCTCTCTAGTTCAAAGTTCCACAAATCTCTAGGGCAGGGGAAAATGGCACCCATCTCTTTGCTGAAATATAACAAGACTCACCTTTGCTCTAGTTCCCAAGTTCCTCATCTCCATCTGAGACCACCTCAGCCTGGATCTTATTGTTCACATCACTGTTAGCATTTTTGTCAAATCCAATCAACAAGTTGCTAGGAAGTTCCAAACTTTCCCACATTTTTCTCTCTTGTTCTGAGCCCTTGAAACTGTTCCAACCTCTGCCTATTACCCAGTTCAAAAGTCACTTCTACATTTTTGGGTATCTTTTCAGCAATGCCCCACTCTACTGGTATAAATTTACTGTATTAGTTTTCACGCTGCTATTAAAGACATATCTGAGACTGGACAATTTATCAAAGAAAGAGGTTTAATTGGACTTACAGTACCACGTGGCTGGAGAAGCCTCACAATCATGGTGGAAGGCAAGGAGGAGCAAGTCTCATCTTATATGGATGGCAGCAGGTGAAAAAAAGCTTGTGCAGGGAAACTCCTTTTTTTAAAAACCATCAGATCTTGTGAGACTTATTCACTGTCATGAGAACAGCATGGGAAAGACCTGCCCCCATGATTCAATTACCTTCCATTGGGTCCCTCCCACAACACATGAAATTCAAGACGAGATTTGGGTGGGGACACAGCCAAATCATATCAGTGATTTAAGGAGTTGAGTTAAGCTGCTTATCTCATTCTTTTTGAAAACTACTTTTTTTTTCTCATTTTGTTGAATTTTGAACTCTGTTACTTATTTTGTTCCCTTACCTGTTTGATTGCTTTATTTCATTTTTATAGATAAATTTATTTTTCTTTTTTTTCATAATTTTCTAAAAGTGTGTAATGGTATTTCAATATTGCAATCTTAACACTGACATCTGAATTTAATATTAAATGTTTAATAAGAAGTCAACTTCCTGAACTGTGGGATAGTTCTTTTACAAAAATTTTGTCTGCTGGGTCAAACAATTATTGATAGACACAGGTAAAATTGACTTAGTGCTTTCGAAAAGCAAGTGTAATTTTGGGGGAAAAATAAGGACTCAAAATACATGGATTTCAGTACTGGTAGGTTCTCTAGTATATAAAGTTTGTTTCAATGCTGGTCTTAGAGAAAATGTAGGCTAATTCCTTTCTAAGTCCTAGTACTTAAAATTCAATAAAGTAATTTTAAAGAGTCATAGATGCCATGTAATTTTAACAGTAATATTTTAGAAATAATTTGACTTTATGACATCGCCTCACAGGGTCATACAATCCTTCAGTTCTATCAAGGGTGGAGAATGCAGGGTGAGCAAAGTAGCCTCCACAAGGTCAGGCTTCATATCTCCATGAAGTTTCTCTTGGAAAGAATCACAAAGCCACAAATTTTAAATTTTTGTTCAGACAGTACTAATTTTTCAACAAGTGGACAATTAATAAATTTATAAATCATGTCTTTCATTTCTCCTTGGCTGGCAAAAATTCATTAAATTACCTCCACAGTTCCTTTTTGTCAGATAGAAAAATGTTTTCTATGGGGTGTTTCAAAGGGTCAAGCTAGGAAGTTGAAAGTCTTAGAGATATACAGTAAATACTTTCATTATATGAGATTAACCAGTGCTAAATATGTCTTTTAGTATAATAAAATTTATAAATGGTGCTGTGGTGGCCTATAGAAGACATAACATGCTGCCAAATGACAATTTATTGCAGTATCCAGCCCTTAGGGCTAGTTGATGGATTATTGTTATAAGTACATTTTCCTACTTTATCTTGAAAGTCCCTTTGATTAATCATGGATACTTTATTTAGCAATTTGATATATTATTATCCTTATACTTTTTTCTTTAAAATATATTTTTAAATTACTGTTAAGCAGATGTTTTAATTCCTTGCAGGGTATGTGATTAACGTAGCTCTGATGAAACTAGAAATTCAGTATTATCAACATACCCAGAGGAGTGCTGGGCTTAATACAATTTTTTTTATAATAGTTATTTGAAAGACTTCCATTTACTGTAATACACAAGTACTTTCTGTTACACGATGCTTTTTAAAAATCAAGCCAGTTGGAGAAGACATTTATACTTTGTTCTTGTGTATACTAACAATGAAGGAAAGAGAACTGACGCTTCTTATGGATTTGATCAGGGCTTTGCATAGAAGAAAATATTTGAGCCCTTATTAAATTCTATGTAAATTATCAAAAACAGACCTAGCCTTATGTTAATTAAATCTATACGTTTACTTTTAATTTAAGAATATTAAGGAAAATCAGATTCCAAAAGTGCTTTATTGGCTGAAACTTTTCCCTAGGTAGCTAGTTTCTTTACAAAAGGATAGGAAGATTTCATTTGAATGTGTTTCTAATGACACTGGTAGTTTGCTTGTCTCAAAGTCTTTCTCAGTGATACTGCTATATACTGAATATTGCGTTATTATTTCCAAACTTTATTCTAAATACATGGTTGATTAAAAAACAAAATAAAACAAAAACATTTTTAGAAAAGTTGCCTTCTTTCCATCTTTTTTTTTAGGTGGAAGATGTTTTTGATAAAAGTGAATTCACAAAAGTGTTTAATGTAAATAAAATGTGGATAACATGAAGCAAGATGACCAAACATTAGAAATAGGTGAAAATTACTAGGTAGGAAAGAAATATAGGTTGAGATTCCACATGGAGCCAGAATTAAGGCTGATACAAAATGCCTACCATGACAACTTTATATCTGCTAACAGTAGACCACTAGTAAATCTTAAGCTTTATTTCTGTCAATGCTGAGGGAGAAAGGTGATCAGCTACCTAATTCACAGGGTCCAAAAGAGAAAAACAAACTAATTAATTAGAAAAGGTACAAATATTCCTGATACTAGTGTCATTTTTGCCCATGTATCTTCATAAAGAATATATTGTAATGCAGAGTTTAACTTCGAAGGCTTTTTCATAATAATTCTAGCAGCAAGATTTACTTTAATTACCAATGCAATTTCATGTCCTCAATAGCAAACACAATCAATTAGAGCAAATCAGTGTAACCAGAATGTGTATGTCAGTGTATGTGTGTGGTACATGCACTTGAATTTGTGTGTTTGGCTAAGGTGTACTGGAAATGGCACATGGCAAGTTGGAGCTAATCAAACAATGGTGAGATACAACACCTAATTCTGTGTATTTTGCCTCTTCAGTGGTTACAGTAAGACTCTAGCAAAATAGATAAATTAAGTATCCTTTAGAATATTTCCCCCAAATATAGTTTCATTAAGTTTTTATGGATATTTGGTTGTATTAAGCTCAAAATTATGTTCTCTGTAAAGTGTAAATTCTAAAATCAGAGCTTAAATTTAATTCCCATGTTATTTCAAGTAATATTGAGAATTAAGTGTGCTGCTTTATCTTTTGTGTCACTGCTACATGATTTGTTCTGCCTCAGTATTCTCCTTTAATTAGGCTTTGTTGCAGAGGCACACATCCAGCCTAGTGAGCAATGTGCCCTTTCTTAAGCACTGCTAATTCATATATAATGTTGAATTGGGGTTTCTTGGATAATCAGTTAGGTTGGAGTTGTGATATGTAAATTGTTCATGAAGAAAATTCAGGAAAAACAAAATAATGAATTGAAAATGGAATCCTGATTATTTAGACACAGAATTTGATCAAATATATCTCATTTTACCGTGGTATTTCTGAAATTTATGAAAGTTGAGGCTTTAACAAGACAGGAATAGTCTTTTGTTTAATCATTTTTCAATTATTCATTAAGAAGTCAATATTAATAAATCACAGGCTTTTCTTCATTCTAATAACTAAGATGCAAGATTTATCTCTAATAGGTACGTAACATCTAACAGGAGGTTAAACTTGACCTCTAAGTTCCCAATTCACACTGAGAAGCTATTATCCTATGGCTCTTCTTTGTCCTCATCTACTTCCTAGTCAGGAAATCATAATGAGTGTTTTATTAATGGCATGGAGATCAAAACCTTTGTCATGCCCACTAATTTGACTTTCCTTTCTTAGTTGAGAAAATCATTGTGTCTTCTTCCGGATATACAGTGCTGTGTCCAACATCTGTGCTTGGTTCATGTTTGTAACTCTTTCTCTGACAACTAAAATCTTATCTCCTTCTCTTTTCTCCTCCTCTTCCCTTTCTTCCTGCTCTTCTTCTCTTCTTCCTTTCTTCTACTTTCTCTTCTCCACCTTCTTCTTCTCCTCTTCTTTTTCTTCTTGAAATTCATGAACAGAGCCTTTGTTACCTTCCCGACGACTAATTTACATGTAATGAAATTCTACTATTTGCCCCTTGTCCTCTGTGTCTGTCTATATTGTAAGTTTTCAGATTCTGAAACTTGAGAACAGAATTCTCATGGATGAAAAGAAATCTTTTGGTCTTAACTCCTTTACATCATTCAGGCCAGGACAGAGATAACATGAGGAGACCTGATTTCACTCAAAGGCATACAGCTTAATGCTGGAAACTTAATTCTTAATAAAGAAGGCCCATAGGGTGACTATCTTCAGAAGATGACAGTGGAAGGTATTGAATTATTTCTTTTGTGAAGCACGAGTCCAGCCTTTTTCTATGGCTTGCTGATTAGACCTCAAAGTTATCTGAGAGACTGACTCAGCCTAACAGCACAGCATTTGAGCCTGAAGCCCATCTATATAGTTGTTTCCTCTTCTTGCCATACTTCTTACTGGCTTTACCGCCTCCAGCTGACATCAAGGATGTGCATGCCATTTGCACATCAAGATCTCTCTGTCTCTGTTTGTTTTGAAACTTGCCATTCATAGGATTACTGAAACAATTCCTTCTTTGCCATCACTGATATTTTAATTTTTTTCTCTTAATGTTTGTTAAGGTTCCTGATTTTTTTTTTGTTTAATCTCTATAGTCCTTCATAGCCACTCAAATGTCTCTCAGGATCCTTCTGAAGACCACAGAAGATCTCATGCAGTTTTGCCAAAAGCTCTGAAGAGGCAGCACGTGTCTCCTTTGCCTTAGGTCAAGCTCTCCACTGGAGCAGATTGATATCAGATCTGCTCCCATCTTTGAAGCTCAGATGTCAAGGATCACATCATTTTAATTTTTTGAGGTAAAAACAAATGTGGGCATACTTTATACATCAAGTATTTATAAAGTTTTTTTCTCATACAATGTAAATAAGGTGGTTTATTTATTCTCTAAATGATCTGGGCATTTGGCAACTCGATCACATACTTCTAGCTTGCTAAAGATAATTTCCTAACAGAACCTATCTTAACTGATGTTATTTGAGTGTGATTTGAAGAGCTCATAGACAGGACTCCCCTGTTCCTAAGTTTCTATCATATCCCTTCATTCCATCAGTTGTTTGATTCTGGTGGTCCCTGAAAGCTTTTCATTTTTTGAGGCATTTTTATTTAATGCAAGCACATTCAGAAGGAGTCTACCTTCTGCTATCATTATATCATAGTCAATTAAAAGCAGTTTTGGAATAAAATTTTTATTGTTTTAAAAAGAAGCCTATCAAGAAAAAGTAAATGAGTGCTATCATAGTGGTTTTCAAAGAGCCAAGAATAATTATCAACTACTATGCATATGTTCTGTGTAATTATTTCTGCTTCCATATAATTATTCTACTGTCCACTATGCAAACTACAAATTTATTATAGAAATGCCTTGATTTTCTTAACTTAGGTTTAAAATAATTCTTTCAAATAGGGCTAAGCAAATTTTGTTTTTTTTTCCTGATGTATTGAAACAAGCAAAGACAAAAATGATCAGTCACTATAAGTTTTATTTAATCACATTAACCTACAAATTTGCATTACTAGAAATGTAAAAATTGATATTTAGAGGACTCATCCTTTAGCAATGCAGAATATTTCCCAAAGAAAATGCTTTATGTATTTATCTTTCGTATTCTTCAGAATGAGTATAAACTTTCTAGTTAACGGGTTTTATGGTGTGTGTGTGTGTTTGTTTATAATACTGAACATACAATGCATGCATAACAAGAACTTACTTACTGAAAACAAGGTTTATAAATTTCAGAACAGACTGCTACACTGTCACCAGTTGCACAGGAAAATGTAAAATGAACTATATTTTCTAAGACCTATGGTATCTGACATGTAAAAGAAAAAGAATAACTGTTTTTAAAGTAGTGACAACATTGATATTTCTTCCTGGTATAGTCATATTCCAAAATGCTGAAAGAAATAGTGCAGTGAAAAATATTTCCAAAAATCCCATGTTTCGTTTCTAGGAATACTTTTCTAAGTATTCACAACAGTTTTATTACTTTATATTTTGGACATGCTCACTAAACTCAGTTGATCCATTTTGATAAATGATCATTCACGGAAGTTGCTGCTTTCTGTAAATGTTATCATCGGATTCAGTTTTGTCACCTTATCCAACTTCTCAAAACTATTTTATTTCCTGTCAGATCTTTAGTCATCTTGGATCCTGGATAAAGTAGGATGTCAAAATATCCAATCATTCCTTCCAACCCTTTTTATTGTTATTCTCTGGTGGTTTCTGTAAATGAAGGGATTGGTTTTTGCTAGGTGAGGTTTGCTTACTTAGAAAATGAGAATTCTTGTGCAGAAAAGGCACTCATTTTTCTAAACCAGGGTTGTTCTCATTTTTTCTTTGAAATAGCAACAGCGGAAACACTGGGCTCCACATTGAGAGATAAAATGACAGAACTATTGTATTATATGAAAATTGATTAATTATAAAAGAAGGAACCCATTTACCCAAGCCATGGCCTCAAGAAAATCATATTGCAAGCATTGCTTGATTACTAGTGCTATGATATGTACTTCTGAGCTATTTCTGCACTATAGACATGCAAAAATAATGAAGGCTAAAGGTACGCGTTAGATAAAGCACAACAGCTAAAACCCATGGACAGAAATCATAGAGCCTTCCTTATACTGGCACTATTTTCTTTTTCTTAGTAGCATCAGATGAAGTCAGACTTCAGACAATGCCAAAATCATACAATGAAAGTCGAGAGTGTCAAGTACTTAATAGATTCTGCATACACACTGGAACAGTTTCACTGTAATAGGAATCTCCTCTAACTTCTGTATGTAATGGAGACTGTCATAGATATTTCTCTCTCTCTCTCTCTCTCTCTCTCACACACACACACACACACACACACACAGACACAGACACAAACATTTAGAACATGAACAATTCAACACAAATAATCTACTAATTACTTCTATTGACTGCCCAGTAAGTGGTAATAAAAAATTCTCATACTGAAAGTCTGCATTCTATTATTGTTTAACACATATGGTTGCTATTCTCCATTTCTTTTGTCCCACATATTACCTTCAAATAAAAGGAATTTCTATTGGTATCCTTATAAACTTTTATATAATCAAAACTAAAGTAGTTAATGATTTCCATTTATTTGTCATTTATTCTGATAAACTATATGACCCCCTTTGTTCTAATGAAATTTAGTGCATCAAAATTCAGAATACAATTACTTTTAAAATTATACCCTAGTGTCCTCAAATAATATACTCCAATGACTAATGAGACTGTCATTACCTCTATGATATTTTGTGTAAATGGCTCAAACATATTTTACAAAATCAATTGCTCTTCCGAGGTTATGCTTCATTCTTTTTGAATCCAGAATAGCTGTAGGACACTACCCCAGTTAAATAATTTGTGGCTGTTCTTATATTACACGGGTCAGTTAGTTAGAATATACCCAAAGAGAAATAAAAGTAGTATGTTCTGGAACAAAACAAACAAGCCCACTTCCACCACTGCTATTCAACATAGTACTGGAAGTCCTAACCAGAGCAAATAGGCAAGAGAAAGAAATAAAAGGCATCCAAATTGAAAAATATGAAGTCAGATTATCTCTATTCTCTGATAATACAGTCATACACTTAGAAAAACCTGAAGACTCTTCAAAAAAAAAACCCTAGATTTGATAAATCACTTAAGTTTCAGGATATAAAATTAACAAACAAAAATAATGGCATTTATATACACTGATAACAGTCAAACTGGGAACCAGATCAAGAACTCAATTCCATTTACAATGGCTAAAGAAAAAGAAAAAAAAAAGAAGAAGCTACAAAAAAATAGGTAGAAACACATTCTGTAAACGGAACTACCATTTGGTCCAACAATTCCACTGTGGGGTATCTACCTAAAGAAAAAGAAATAATTATATCAAAAAGACATCTGCATTCAAGAATTGATTCACTATTCACAAGAGCAAAGCCATGGAATCAACCTAAGTGTTCATCAATGATTATTGGCAGGTCAACTAAAGCAAAACCCTCCTATACAGACACATGACAGCAAAGTGATGACTGGATAAAGAAAATATGGTGTATGTATACCACAAAATTCTACTCGACCATAAAACAAGGAAATTATGTTTTTTGCAGCAATATGGATGGAACTAGAGACCATTATCCTAAATGAAATAATTCATAAACAGAAAGTTAAATACTGCATGTTCTCACTCATAAGTGGTTGCTTTAGTTTTAGTTCTTTGAGAAGTCACCATACTGTTTTCCATAGAGGTTGTACTAATTTACAATCCCACTAACAGTGAGTAAGTGTTCCTTTTACTCCACACCCTCACCATCATCTGTTGGTGTTCGAATTTTTAATAGTAGCCATTCTGACTGGTGTAAGATGATATCTCATTGTGGCCTTATTTGCATTTCTCCAATGATTAGATATGTTGAGCATTTTTTTTCATATGTTTCATGGTCACTTGTATGTCTTTATCTTTTTTTGAAATATGTCTGTTGACGTTCTTTGCCCAAATTTTAGTGGAGTTGTTTTTTTTTCTTATTGAGTTGTTTGAGTTTCTTACAGATTCTGGATATTAGCCCTTTGTTGGATGAATACTTTTCAAATATTTACTTGCACCGTGTATGTTGCCTGTTTGCCCTGATAATTATTTTTTTTGCTATGCAGAAGATTTTTAGTTTAAGTCCCGTTTGTCTTTTTTTTTTTTTTTTTTTTATTGTGTTTGTGATGTAGGATTTTTCTTCTCAGTCATTTGCAAGCCAGGGAGCCCTGGCCAGCAACACACCACCTGGGCCTCACTTCACCATGCTGACATGCCCCAGCTCGACTGTGCTATAGCTTGTAACCGTGTTTGGCTGTTCCCAGCTCTTGTATTGCATCCAAGAAGAATGAGGATATGCTGAACATTGAAGGATGAGGAGGGCAGAGAATAATTTTAATGAGTGTTGTAAACAGCTTTCAGTGGAGAGGGGATGCAGAGTTGGTCCCCCTACCCAAAGGAGGGAAAGTTCCCTGTGTGGCTGGGCCTGGGGCCTTTTATAAACTCAGGATGGGGAGTGCATGCTTATTGGTTTGTGAGTATGCACAAAAGGTTGAAGTGAATACACCACTCAAAGGTGGGCATGACAGTGTAGGAAAAACTAATTAGGAAAGTGTAGGTATATGTAAAATAGGGGAAGAGTATGGACCAATCAGAGAAAAGCATGCCCAATGGGAAGACAAGTTCTCAATCTGCTCCATGGATTTAACATGTAGCTTGGTTTTCAGGCTTTAAACTGTCTTTGGCTTGCAGGTGGAGTTTCACTGGGGACCTGCCCCTATCTGCCTAGGCATTTGGCTGCCTACTACTCCTCTCATTTGCTTTTGGGAATTTAGTGATACATTCCTAAGCCAATATCCCAAAGAGTTTTTCTTAAGTTTCCTTCTATAATTTTTTATGGATTCAGGTATTAAAGTTATGTCTTTAATCCATCTTGAGTAAATTTTGTATGTAATGGAAGGTAGCGGTCCAGTTTTATTCATCTGCATATGGCCATGTAATATTCCCAGCACAGTTTACTGAATACAGTGTCATTTTCCTAGTGTATATTTTTGTTGATGTTGTCAAAGGTCAGCTGGTTATAAGTATCCGGCTTTATTTGTGGGTTTTTGTTCTCTTCTATTGCTGTATGTATCTATTTTTATACCAGTATTATGCTGTTTTGGTTACTATTAACTTGTAGTATAATTTTAATGTAGGTAATGTAATGCATCCAGCTTTGTTCTTTTTGCTTAGTATTGCTTTGGCCAGCAGTCTCTATTTTTAGTTCCATATGAATTTTAGGATTTTTTTTCTAATTCTTTGTAAAGTGGCATCGATAGTATGATAGAAATTGCTTTAACTCTGAGGATTCCTTTGGGCAGCATGGTCATTTTAATAATATTGATTATTTTAATCCATGAACAAGGGATGCTTTTCCATGTTTGTGTTTTCTATGATTTCTTTCATCAATATTGTGTAGTTCTCCTTGTGGAGATCTTTCACCTCCCTAGTTAAATGTATTTTCGTTTGTTTGTAGATATTATAAATGGAAATGAGTTCTTGATTTGGTTCTTCCTCTTTCATTTCTTTCTTTTGACTGATTTCTTTGGCTAGGATTTCCGGAACTATGTTGAACAAAAGTGGTGAAAGTGGCCATCCTTATCTTGTTCCTGTTCTTAGGGAGAATGTTTTCAACTTTCCCCCATGCCAAATTTTACTGAAAGCTTTCTCTCATCTATTGTGATGATCATATGGTTTTTGTTTTTAATTTTGTTTATATAATAAATAATAATTATTGACTTGTGTATGTTAAACCATCTTTGCAAACCTACAACAAAACCTACTTGATTGTGGTATATTATCTTTTTGATGAGCTGTTGGATTTGGTTTGCTAGTATTTTGTTGAGGATTTTTGCATTTATGTTCATCAGGGATATTAGCCTATAATTTTCTTTTTTGTTGTACTCTTGCCAGCTTCGCTATCAGGGTAATACAGGCTTTGTAGCGTGAATTAGGAAAGATTCCCTCTTCCTCAATTTTTTTTATAAGGAGTTTCAGTAAGATTGGTTCTATTTCTTTTATCTGCATTGGTGGAATTCAGCTATGAGTCCGTCTGTCCATCTGGTTCTGTGCTTTTTGTTTTGTTGGAAGATTTTTTTATTTAAATGATTGATTCAATTTCACTACTCATTATTGGTCTGTTCATTGTTTCTCTTTCTTTTTAAATTTTTTTTATTATACTTTAAGTTCTAGGGTACATGTGCACAATATGCAGTTTTGTTACATATGTATACATGTGCCATGTTGGTGTGCTTCACCCATTAACTCGTCATTTACATTAGGTATATCTCCTAATGCTATCCCTCCCCCTCCCCCCACCCCACAACAGGCCCTGGTGTGTGATGTTCCCCTTCCTGTGTCCAAGTGTTCTCATTGTTCAATTCCCACCTATGAGGGAGAACATGCAGTGTTTGGTTTTTTGTCCTTGTGATAGTTTGCTGAGAATGATGGTTTCTGGCTTCATCCATGTCCCTACAAAGGACATGAACTCATCATTTTTTATGGCTGCATAGTATTCCACGGTGTATATGTGCCACATTATCTTCATCCAATCTATCATTGTTAGACATTTATTTCTCTTTCTTCATCGTTCAGTCTTGGGAGGCTGTATCTTTCCTGAAATTTACCAGTTTCCTCTAGGTTTTCTTGTTTGTCCATGTGGAGATGCTTACAGTAGTCTCCGAAAATCTTTTCTATTTCTCTGGTATCAGTTGTAATTTCACCTTTATAATTTCTGCTACTACCTATTTAAAAATTTCTCTTTTCTTCTTCATTAGTCTAGTTAGCAGTCTGACAATTTCATTTATCTTTTCAAAGAAGCAACTTTTCATTCTATTGATTCTTTGTTTTTTATTGGTCTCAGTTTCATTTAGTTCTGCTCTGATCTTTGTTATTTATTTTCTCTGGTTGCTTTGGATTGGGTTTGTTTTTATTTTTCTAGTCCCTTGAGGTGGGACATTTGGTTCTTAATTTGAGATCTTTTCATCTTTTTGACATAGACATTTAATGCTATAAAATAGAGTCCTGCTTTTGCTGTATCTCAGACGTTTTGGTATTCTTTGTCTCTATTTTCATTTGTTTTTAAAATTTTGTATTTCTACCTAATTTCATTTTTTATCTAAAGAGCATTCATAATCAGATTGTTTAATTTACACATATGCATATAACAGTTGTGAGAGAGTTCTTCTTGGTATTGATTTCCAGTTTTATTTAACTGTGGTCTGAGAAGATAATTGATATGATTTCAATTTTTAAAAGTTTATTGATATTTGAATTGTGGTTAGCATATGTTCAATTTTTGAAAGTGTTCCATGCACACATGAAAATAATGGGTGTTCTGTGGTTGATAGGTACAGTGTTCTATAAATGTCTTTTGGGTTCATTTGGTTTACAGTCCAATTAAATCCAGAGTTTCTTTGTTGATTTTCTGTCTTATGATCTGTTTAGTGCTGTGAGTTAGGTGTTGAAATACCCCACTGTCATTTTACTGATGTTTAAATATTTTCAATATGTTCTTGGGTCCAGCAGTGGTGTTTTTGTTTCTTTTTTTCTATCTGGGTGTTCTAGTATTGGGCACATATATATTTAGGATTGTTACATCTTCTTGTTCAATTGATCCCTTTATCATTACATAATGACTGTCTATATGTATTTTTTTTACTGTTGTTGTTTTAAAATCTGTTTTATCTGATGTAAGTATAGTGACTTCTGCTCAGTTTTCTTTTCTGTTTGCATGGAGTATCTTTTTCTGCCCCTTTTCTTTGAGTCTGTATCTGTTAGGTGGGTTTCTTGTAATAAGCCTATGGTTGGATCTGGTTTTTAAATTCACTTTGCCCATCTATATCTTTTTGGTGAAGCATTTAGTCAGCTCCATTCAAGGTTAATACTGTTACATGTGAGGTTTTGTTCCTTTCCTGGTGTTAGTTGTTCCCTAGTTGCTTTGAAATCTAAATTATGTGGTTGCTTTATGAAATCTGTGTGTTTTCATGATGGCAAGTATTGCTCTTTCATTTCCACGTTTACAATTCCTTTGAGCATTTCTTGTAAGGGTGGTCTGACACACTTTTCTCTTGGTTATCCTTTGCTTTCATCCTTCCAAACTAAGGACTACAACATGGTTTTCTTTTTATAGTTGTTCATCTTGTGCCTTATCTGTAATTGTACATTGTACGTGCTTTGGGACATTTTTTCTGATCCCTTTTCTCTTATCTATATGAACTGTCTTCTTTAGTAACACACCCAGTTCTACACACACACACACACACACACACACACATATATAATAGGGCTGAATATTTATATATATATATATTCAGCTCTAATCTTCCTTAGCTCCGCACTTACATGTTACTTCCTGTATACTATTAATTCTGCAATCCCACTAATATGTTCTAGTTTTTTCCTCATCTTGTCCCTAATTCTTCCCCATCCCAGTTAATAAACCTACTAACATTTTCATAAGTAATTCATGCCAAAAACTTTATTCTTGAGTCTGCCAGTTTCTTCTATCCTCATATTCAATTCATCAAGTTCTATTATTTCTAGCCTGAAATACATATCTGTAATATTTCAACTTATTTCTATTAACTGTCATTACCTTAGTCAAAAACGCCACCACCTCTTCTTGTTTGGTGCAGTACAAAATACTATTATTCATCAATAGCCATTTCTTTAACCTAGGGGAGAATTATACATCTCAACACCACTGACATCAGGTTTGGCCATAGAACTGCTTTGGCAAATGTGCTGTGAGCAGAGGTGAGACTTGCCATTTCCTAGCAATAACTTTAAGGGACGTCTATGCTTTACCCAGTCTTTTTCTGCTAGGAAATAGTCAATGACAATGTTCCAGAGAATGGATGTTTCATCAGCCTTGATCCCAGCCTGAGGATAGTGACAACATATGGCAGAAACTTCAGCCAATCCACAATAGAAATGATGTGTAGAGTGAAAAATAAGCTTTTGTCATTGCCAGTCACTGGGATGTCAGTGGTGTTTGTTATCACAAGATAAGCTGTGCTGTCTGGACCGATTATAGCAGATTAAAGGCAATACAGCTTCAACTGATATGCCTGCCTTCACATTTCTCCCAGAATACCTTCCCACACTACAGTTAGTGTCATTTTTGAAGAAGGCAACCTTTAACCCTTTGAATAACATCCAAACTGCTTTTCATGGCCTCCAAGGTCCCACAAAGGCTGACCCCTGCTTACCTCTCAGATCTCGTCTCATCCCACCCTCAGCTAATGCTCTACCTGCTATACTGTTCTGCTTTTTTTCCCCTGGCTATCTTAAGATTGTTACTCATGGGGACCTCTGACCTTGCTGTTCTCGCTACTTCTCTTAATTCTTCACACAGATGTCTCTTTCTCATTGCTTATGTTCTACTCAATTCCTTAATGTCAGTTTCCTACTATACTATCACCTCATTTATTGCAGTTTCCCTCTCCCTCATTTTTCCTATCATGCAGCAGTTAGATTTATTTAGGGTTCTGAGGATAATATGAAATATAGATGATACAGTGGCAACTTGAACAGTTTTCCGTATTTACTCTACTAATTTCCTAAGGGACATGGACCATGCTTTTTCATCTCTGTATTTGTAACACCAAGTACAAGGCAATGCACAATATATATTAGATGACAAACAAATGATGTTGACTTTAATTTTTCCATGTAACTTTTCATGTTTATCTATGTCTGATTAGAGTATGAATAAAACAAGAAAATATCAAATATTGAAGCCCCACAATTCTTTTCTTTTTGCAAATAAAGCTTTGCTTTCTAGCTCTGAGAAGTTAACATTGGATTGCATATTATCTCCTTTTCTACTTTCATCATTTTATTGGCTGCTCTGGAAATAGGACATTTTGGTTGACGTTCCAATATGATTTTATTCATTTAATTAGGAAATTATAATTTTATTTGTTTTCTCCCCTTGTGATATGGACTATACAAGCTCTTTTCTCAATGTCAATCAATTCTCAATTACAGAAAGGGAGAACAGGAAAAAATAGTTCTGTATTATATGGTTCTGATATCCAGATAATTCAAATGAGAGAACAAATGCTTATAATCAGTTTCTTTCCTTAATTGGACAGAGCTTCTAAGCCTAGTGTGCCCATAAACCAATTTGAATATGTTCTTAATAAGATATTTTTGTTCTCCTATTTACCCAGTATGTCTACTTTATAGCTAAAATAATTTTCCCACTTTAGTTTAGACACGATTTCAAACTTTGTGCTTTATGTAGTTCTTGAAATTAAATGGAAATAGCAAAAACACTTAGTGTATGAGCTGGAAATTATGTGAATTTAATAATGAACTAAGAATGGCATGTAAATTTTATGACTTATGGCAAATATTGAAGGATCAAGGTAACTGCCAAGCTACATACCTTGTACATAAAAATCACATTTCTTTAAAACAAGGAAACTGGTATAATTTTAATTGAGCTTGCTCCAATTATTTTTTACAAAACAAAATAATCCATTAGAAATGAGTATTTTTAAAAAGTTCTTTATTTAATATCGAATGATACCCACAGTAAACTTATATAGCTCCATTTATTTAAAAATAAATTGAGTAGCAAACAGATTTTCAAATATGTTTACTACAATGAAGAACCTTGAGAAAAATAAAATGCAATGTTTATAATCATATGGCCCTGTCCCTGAAATAGAACAATGCCTTTATTTTCTCCTCTTACCTACATTGAAACTTACTTTGACTTCCTTTACTATGAAGCACCTAGTGACTGGTCCAGAAACTCCAGCACTCTCTGCCTGGACATTAGCATTTAGCATTTAGTAGTCTCTTACATTCTCACTTGTGATATATCTTGAGTAGTTATAAGATTTTTCCTGTATTCATCATGTTCACCTTCAGCTTCCCAAACTGAAAATTCTTCTTGAGACTACTATTCTGTAACTACTCAGAACCCATCAAAGTTATTCTAAAAGAAGTGATGAGTGAATTTATTTCAAAAGAACTGGAGTACTTTTATAATATTTTCCCATATCACAAATAATGTTTTGTCTATCATATTTATTTAATTTTAAAATGTAATAGATTTGGAATCAAGTCATTAGTTGTGTAAATATAACATATTAAAGCTAAACATAATCTTTATTTTTTTCAAAAATACTGGAGAATTTGTTTTACCTTAGGTTATTTATGCAATTGTTTTAAGAAATAAGTTTTTTGTATTACAAGGTGACAATTTTCCCCAACAATCCATATTTTTATGTAAAAAGAAAAAAGAAATTCTTTAGGCATCTTGAAAGATTGCTGACTTTCTCAACATTTCTTCCCACCTACTTATTATCTATATATCTCCCCATTGCCATAAATAACTTTGTCATTTACTGTGACCCTAGCCACATGAAAAAGTAATTAATGAATATTAAACATTTGATATCAATGGGATAATGCATATGAAGCTCTTCACCTAGTCCCTGGTACACAGTAAAACTAATAAATGATACTTGCTATTATTAAATTCCACTTGTGAGTTGGCGGCTTAATTTCTTTTCCAAAACACTAAACTCTAGAAAAGTGTCTAAAGTAATCAAATACTAGTTTTTACAATGTTACAATAAGTAAACACAAATTAACCATAATAATTTATGATCAATTTTTTTCAATTCCCTTATGTTTTCCAATTTCCTACCTCATCATACTTAACATATATTATTTAACTTTTTTTAAAAAAAGAATTATTTTTTCATTTAGGAATGTAAGAACCAAAGAGATTTATTTCTAAAACACCATATATTTTAGCCTTGCAATCAAATCTAATCCTCTTTATGTAACATTGGTACCATTCAGCATAGAACATATTTCCATTTTATCTCAGTGAATTCAATAAGAAGATTAGAGCTATTGTCTAAAAGAGTACTAAGAATATCATTGCTCTATTAATCAGCTGTTCACTTTTTTGTCCCTCAAAGTGAAAGATCAATTAATTGCAGCAGTAATATTATATTATAAATTCTATTCTAACTGAGCAATCTTGAAAGAATGCATTTCCCTCTTCTTTTCTCCATGTCCTTCTTGAATAGTCAACTAGTCTATCATGAGCTGGGTATCAGAGATATAGCTATATGTTCTTTTTAAAAGGTATTTGGAAATTTTTCTTTTCAGAAAAGAATGAAGATACTAATTGTGTTATGTAGAACTTGCTTTTCCACATTTCCTCTTATTATTAGCAATGTCTTAAAGAGCCATTAAAAACCATCTCTATTTTGAGTGCCAATATTATGCAGTGTGACATTGAGCATGTCAAGGAGCTCTTAACTGAGGGAAGTTTAGAGTTTTCCCTTTATAAATATACTTAGCTTATCTACACAAGTAGGAAATAAAATTTGGAAAGACATAGCAGATAAATATTTGCTTAGCTTCCATTGATCAATGGCTATTTTGGTTGTGAATGTGGCTAAATTTCTTGAAGTTGCTTATCTTCGTTTTAAATTAATGAATGGTATTAAGAAAAAAAAGCATTTTTTCAAAAAAAAAAAACCAGGAAAATTATATTCAGTATCTAGCTAGCAACCACGTGGCTTAATAGAGTCCTTTTTTGCTCTTTTTAAACTAATGTGAACTTTAACTTCCAAATAGAATGTAGAAAAATGCAAAATTAAAAAACCAATCACATAGTAGCAACAAGAAAAACCCCCAAAATAAAAATATAGTTCTACATTAGGCCAATGAAGAACACCTTCCTCTGTCATTCAAGAGTGCATATCAAACTAATCACTTGTTTTTTAAAAATTTGAATGGTAAGTGACAAGTCCCAACAATTTATTAATTATAACAATCGCTAATTAGTAATCTTTTTTCATTGGATAATAACCCATTCACTTTATGTTAATTTAGACTTTTCCACACTATCAAATAAAAATTATTATACATTTTCTGAGAAGGGAAGTGCAGGACAACCAGCCGGCCCAAAATATAAGAAGAAATCACCTGCAGGAAGGAGCTGAATATGATCACTTAATTGAGAAGACACAGTCAAGCATGGATAAGAATTTAGCTATAAAAGTTAACACATTAGTGGAAGTTTATTGTGAACTGGTAAAAGAAAATAAAAGACCTAGAAGCCACAGATATAGCAGCCTTTCACAGTTTACTAGGCCTTCCTATACAGATTCCACCAGGAGCTAAGAAGAAAATGTAGCAAGATTTAAGAAACCATGACATAAGCTTGGTAGAGGGAGACAGTGGCCATGAGGATATAGGCTTGAAACTCCACCCAAGAACATCCCTTATCTAAGCTGTGAAACTAACTTAATCTCTGGAGGAAAGAAAGATAAACACTGACATGCTTAGGAAACTGGTGGAAATCCAGTGCAGCTGAGGGAAAGGAGAGAAAAAATTCTATCCATCTCTGAAGGAAGTGCAGGACACATATCTACAGGTGTGAAAGTAGAAGAAGAATTAAGAAGGTCATACTCCCAAGCCCAGGAGATCCAGTAGATTCATGCTTTGTCAGAAAATCAGAATACTTCCACTCCCCAACAACAGGCTAATAAGTGTTGAGTAATAGGTAATAATATAATATTTCTGTGAAAGTTGCAAAAGTAAGTAAATAAACTCTCTCTAAGGTGTAACCCAAAGTGAAGACCTAAAACTGAGGGTGGAATAGACCTTGAAAAAAATCCTCTCTGGCAAAGTAGACTCTATCCTAAATACAAGGCATTGATAGACCAAATTAACTCTAACACTCACTTTAAAGACTTAGCAAATTTTATTACTGGGTATATATTCAAAGGAAAACAAGTCATTCTACCAAAAAGATACTTACATCTGTATGTTCATCACAGTGGTATTCATAATAGCAAGGATGTGAAATCAACCTAAGTGCCCATCAACTCTGAAATGGATAAAGAAAATGTAGTACATATAAACTATGGAACACTAAACAGCCATAAGAAAGAAAAAATATATCCTTTATAGCAACATGGATGCAGCTGGTGGCCATTATTCTAAACAAACTAACAGAGAAACAGAAAATCAAATACCTGATGTTCTCACTTATAAGCCAGAGATAAACATTACTGAGTATACATGGACGTAAAGGCAGCAGCAATAGAGAGTGAGGAATACAAGACTTGGGCAAGAGGGTAAGGATAAAGAGCGAAAAGCTGCCTAATGGGGACTATATGCACTGCCAGAGAGATGGATTCATTTGTACTCCAGTCCTCAGCATCACACAATATACCTTTGTAACAAACCTGCACAGGTATAACCTGAACCTATAATGAAATTAAATACATACATACATACATACACACATACATAAATTTTTAAATGACTGACACTGAATGACAGAATCATAAAGCTCAGAGATCACCAAGCAAGACACACACACACACATATACACACACACATACACACACACAAACATCTCTAGACATATCTTATTCTTATCTTATTCATTTAAGCAGCTAAAATCAAAAGAAATACCTTGAAGTAACCCAAAGAAAATAATATATTATGTTGAGAGATATAAAGGTAAGAAATGTAAGTGACTTCTTGTCAAAAATCGTGAAATATATTGAAGTAACCCATTAAAGTGCTGAGAGCAATCAAAATTCGGCCAACCCAGAATTCTCTATCCAGTTAAACTATAATTTTAAAAGGAAACTGAAATATAGATTTTCTTAGCCAAATTAAAGTTAAGATAATTAACTTCTACCTGACTTCTGCTACAGAAATTTTAATTAATGTTTTCTTTTTAGGCATAAGAAATATACTCTACAGAGCCTTGAATTTAAACATGTAGACATACACATGATAGGTGATAAACACTGGAATTAAAATAAATGATGGAAACATAAAATTTATTTTATTATTTACTTGCTTTAAAAGATAACAGACTATCTAAAACAAAAATAGCAGCAAAGTACTTTGTGTTTTTAGTGTGATAAAATTAAAGTTACAGCAATAATTGCAAAAATGATGGGAGGAAAAAATTGGGAATGTGCAGTTTTAAGAAACTTAAAACTGTATGTTAATCACTTTAATAGTAAAGATATAGATTGATTACCCTGGGGCATGCATTTAAACATTTTAAAAATGTATCAATAATAAATCAAAAGTGAAGATAAAATATAATCATAAAATATTAAATTAACCTCTGAGAAGGCAGAAAAATATATACTAGACTTGAATTCATTCATTATAATAATTACTTTAAATACAAAATCTTTATATCACAATTAAATGACAGAGGTTGGATAATTAGATGAAACAATAACAACAAGATTCTACTATATGCTGCCTTCAAGAAACACATACTAAGCTAGAAGTTACAGGTAGATTAAAAGTAAAATGATTGTGAAAGATATGCTATGCAGGCAGTAATCAAAAGAAAGCTGGAGTAGGTATGTTAATTTAAAACAAAGCAGCCTTCAGGAAAAGAAAGATTATCAGAGATAAAGAGAGATAAAGTAGACGCTAAAATGATCAATTCTTCAGCAAGTTACAACTATACCAATCCTAAATGTATGTGTATTTTATAACAGAGCATCCAAATGCATGAGATGCAAAGTGTTAGAACTGACAGGAGAAACACACAAATCTACAATTACATTGGGAGACTTTCACAGTCAGTAATTAGTAGACCATCTCAGTAAATGACAAAACAAGTAGACATAAAATCAGTAGGTATATAAATGACTAAAAAGCATTATCATTCAATTTGAGCTACTTGGCATTTATAGAACATTCCTTCATACAAAAGAAAAATATATATTTTTTCTCAAGTGTACATGGAACATTCACAAAGGTAAATCCTATTTTAAGCCATAAAAGAACCTTAATAAATTAAAATAAATAAAAATCCTATAAGATATTTTCTCTGATGAAAATATGATTAAAATAAAAATACTAATTACAGAAAATTGAGATAATCACCATATATATGTAAATTAAATCATAGACTTCCAAATAACAAAGAAGAATTTTCAAAGAAAATTAAACTTTATTTTGAACTGAAGAAAATAAAACAATCATGCACCCAAGCACTGCTTGTAGATAAATTTATGGCACTATTTTCTTATAGTGGAAGAGAATCAAGGGCTCAAATAAAAAACATAAGCTTTACCTCAAGAACCTAAAATATAAAAAACAAATTAATGCACAGAAAGCAGAAGGAAGAAAATATTAAACTGAGGGATACATAAAATTAAAACAGGAATATAATACCAGAAACCAATGAATCAAAAATATAACTTCATAAAAATATCATTAAAATTGATAAACCTCTACAGATGATCCAGGACAAAAAGAGGGTAGGTAAGAATAGCTAATAGCAGAAATGAAAGAATGGACACCACTTCAGATGCCACAGATATGAGAGATAAAATGAGAGAATAAACAATATTGCCAATAATTTTGATATAGTAGATTAAATGGACCAATTATTTGAATTAGAAAAATATATGAAGACCAACTCAAGAAGAAATAGAAACCCAAAATAAGAGTATGTCTATTACATAATTTGGAATCATGGTTAAAAATTTTCTGGAAATGAAATCTCCTGGCCTAGGAGGCTTAACAGGAAATTCTACCAAAGATTTAAAGAAGAAATAGTGCACTTTCTATACAGTCTTTTCCTTAAAAATAGAAGCAGGAATATTTCTAAGCTTGATTTACAAGACTATTATTAAAACCAGAAAAAGATATTATAAGAGAAGGAAACTATAGACTAACATCACTCATGAAAATAGGTACAGAAATCCTAAACAAAACAAAATGTTTTGTTTATGTCCCTATTTATGTCCCACCTTCATAAGGTTGTTGCCAGGTTATTTTGGATAGAGATTTAAATATCCCGTAATTTCTTTTAACTCTCATGTATTAATAGCCTCCTAGGTTACTACCAAAGATGATTACTTTTCTCTGACATGTGGCTTTTATTAGTTAGTTTTAAAGTATAAACATTTTCAATAATTTTACATATAGGATAGAGCTCCTCACTTTTCATTCCACTCTATCAAGTATTAACTATTAGAATAAAGTAATATGTTTTGTCATTTTCATTATATTATTTTTGCCACTTGTTAAATTTTAAAAATACCCTTTAAAAGATAGCATAGGATTTATTCAAAACTGTCATGTAGAAAATCCTCTCTGCAAGATATTAATAGTTGTCTTTTTGAAATTAAAAAGAAGAGGTACAATTTTTTGACTAATATGTTTGTATAAAACAAAATGAAACTAGATCGTTCAGATACTTTGAAATGTAAGTGTTTACTCTGAACGTTTTGAAAAGTGATATTTTATATAGTCTCATATGTTTTGGATGTTTGTCTCTTCCAAATCTCATGTTGAAATGTAATCTCCAATATTGGAGGTAGGGCCTGGTAGGAAGTATTTGGATCATGAGGGCAGATGCCTCATGGATGGCTTAGAACCACCTCTTGGTGATGAGTGAGTTATTGCTGTGAGTTAACATGAAATCTGGTTGTTTAAAGTGTATGGCACCTCTTTTCTCTCTCTCTTGCTCTCTCTCTCCCTATGTAATGTGTCTGCTCCCACTGCACTTTCTGCCATGATTGTAAGCTTCCCGAGGCCTCTACCAGAAGCAGATGTTGTCACCATGCTTCCTGTACAGCCTGCAGAAATGTGAGTCAATTAAACTTCTTTTCTTTATAAATGACCAAGTCTCAGGTAATTCTTTATGGACTAAGATGGAAAATGGACTAACAGAGTGGGGCATTGCTATAAGATACCTGAAAATGTGAAAGTGGCTTTGGAACTAAGTAATGGGCAGAGGTTGATAGAGTTTGAAGGGCTCAGAAGAAGACAAGAAAATGAGAGAAAGTATGGAATTTCTTGGAGACTAGTTAAATGGTTGTGACCAAAATGCTGATAGAATTATGGACAGTGAAGGCCAGGCTGACAACGTCTCAGGTGAAAATGAGGAAGTTATTGGAAACTGAAGTAAAGGTCACCCATGTTACACCCTAGCAAATAACTTAGATGCATTGTGTTCATATGCTAGGGACCTGTGGAAGTTTGAACTTAAGAGTGATGACCTAGGGTATCTGGTGGAAGAAATTTCTTAGCAGCAAAACTTTCAAGATTTGTCATGGCTGTTTCTAACAACATATGATCATATATGAGAGCAAATAAATGACTTCAAGTTGGAACTTATATTTAAAAGGGAAGAAAAATGGAAACATTTGAAAAATTTACAGCCTGGCCATTTGGTAATAAAAAAATCGAAGTAGGCTGTGTAGCAGTACTTGCTAGAGAGATTAGCTAACTGAAAGGAAGCCACATGTTAACATCTAAGACAATGGGAAAAAGAACTTGAAGGCATTTTTTTAGACTGCTCCTCCCATCACAACCTCAGAGATCTAGGAAGAGAAAATGGTTTGAAGAGCCAGGCCCAGGACCTTGCTGCCCTGTGCAGCCTTGGGACACTGCTTCCTGAGTTTTGGCCACTCTGGCTCCAGCCATGACACAAAGGGCCCAGAAACAGTTTGGTCCACTGCTTCAGAGGATGCAAGCTATAAGCCTCGGGAGTTTCCATGTGGTGTTAACTCTGCAGATGTTCAGGATACAAATGTGAAGGAGGCTTGGTGGTTTCCACCTAGATTTCAGAGGAGGTATGGAAAAGCCTGAGTGCCCAGGCAGAAGCCTGCCACACAGGTGAAGCCCCAAAAGAGAAACTCTACTAGTAGAGGGCAATACTGAAGGGAAATGTAGGATTGCAGCCCCCACTCAGTGTCCTTACCAGGATACTTCCTACTGCCTCTGTGGGAAGGATTCCACCACTATCTAGACCCCAGAATGATAAATTCATCTACAGTTTTGACCCTCTGCCTGGAAAAGCCATGAATACTGAATTCCAAACTTTTAGGGCAGCCATGTAATCTGCACCCTGGAAAGCCATAGTACTGGGCCTTCCCAAGGCCTTGGGAGCCCAGCCTTAGCACTAGGATGTTGGACATGGAGTTGAGGATTATGTTGAAGCTTTTAGATTTAATGCCATCACTGCTGAGTGTCAGGACCATTACCCCTAATTTATTTTGGTCAGTTTCTCCCTTTTGGAATGAGAATGTGATATGGTTTGGCTATGTCCACCCAAATTTCATCTTGGATTATAGCTCCCATAATTCCCACATGTCATGGCAAGGACATGGTGGAAGGTAATTGAAGTGGGTGTGGGGGGCGGTTCTTTTCTGTGCTGTTCCAATGATAGTGACTAAGTCTCATGAGATCTGATGGTTTTATAAAGGGGAGTTTACCTGCACATGCTCTTTTGTCTGCTGTCATGTAAGATCTGTCTTTTCTTCTCTTTTGCCTTCTGCCATGATTGTGAGGCTTCCCCAGCCATGTGGAACTGTGAGTTCATTAAGCCGCTTTCCTTTATAAATTAGCCAGCCTTGAGTGTGTCTTTATTAGCAGTGTGAAAATAGACCAATACAGTAAATTAGTACCAGTAGAGTGGGGTGCTGCTGTAAAGATACCTGAAAATGTGGAAGTAACTTTGAAACTGGGTAACAAGGAAAAGGTTGGAAGAGTTTTGGAAACTGGGTGACAGGTAGAGGTTGGAACAGGCAGAGGTTGGCCCAGAAGAAGACAGAAAGATGTGGGAAAGTTTGGAACTTCCTAGAGACTTGTTAAATGGCTTTGACCAAAATACTGGTAGTCATAAGGACAATGAAGTCCAGGTTGAGGTGGTCTCAGATAAAGACGAGGAAATTGTTGGGAACTGGAATAAAGGTGACTCTTGTTATGTTTTAGCAAGGAGACTGGTGGCATTTTGCCCCTGTTCTAGAGATGTGTGGAACTTTGAACTTGAGAGATATAATTTAGGGCACCTGGCAGAAAAAATTTCTAAACAGCAAAGCATTCAATATGTGGCTTGGGTGCTCTTAAAAGCCTTCAGTTTTATGTATTCACAAAGATATGGTTTTGATTGAGAACTTATATCTAAAAGGGAAGCAGAGTATAAAATTTCAGAAACTTTGCAGCCTCATGTTGTGATAGAAAAGAAAAACTCATTTTCTGAGGATAAATTAAGCCTACTGCAGAAATTTGCATAAGTAACTAGTAGCCAAATGTTAACCACCAAGATAATGGGGAAAATGTCTCCAGGGCATATCAGAGGTCTTCATGGCAGCCCCTCCCATCACAGGTTCAGAGGCCTAGGAGGAAAAAATGGTTTTATGGGTCAGGCCCAGGGCCTTGCTGCTTTGTGTAGTCTTAGGACTTGGTGCCCTGTGACCCAGTTGTGATTAAAAGGGGCCAACATAGGGCTCAGGCCATGCTTTGGAGGATTTAAACCCCAAGCCTTGGCAGCTTCCATGTGTTGTTGAGCCTGCAGGTGCACAAAAGTCAAGAATAGAGGTTTGAAAACCACCACCTAGGTTTCAGAGGATGTATAGAAACACCTGGATATCCAGGCAGAAGTCTGCTGCAGTGATAGAGCCCTCAGGAGAACCTCTGCTAGAGCAGTGCAGAAAAGAAATGTGGGGTCAAAGTCCCCACACAGAGTCCCCACTGGGACACTGCCTAGTGCAGCTGTGAGAAGGCCACTGTCCTCCAAACTCCAGAATGGTAGATGCACCAACAGCTTTCACTGTGCACCTGGAAAAGAGACAGACACTCAATGCCAGCCTGTGAATACAGCTGGGAAGGGGGAGAAGAGAAAATAAGAAGCATGTGTTTTACTATAATAGATTTTAGAAGAAGAAAGAATACATTGCACAATAATGGTTAACAATTCTCATGAAGCATTTTTCCTCTACCAATAATTGATTTGTTCTAATTGTCTCAGACTTCCAGCCAACTTTTCCTAGCCTCCTGCCTTTCTGTTCCAGACTTCAGGCTCCATTAACTTTTATTCTGGGGACCCTTATAGGCCTTCATTTTTTCAAGTACTAAAATTTATTTAGTGCTGCTCTGGTTTGTACAAAATCAACAACTAATCTTGGCTAAGAATAGAAATCATCTTTGTACTGAAAAAAATAAATATATATATTTTTGCTTCGGAAACAAAACATTCTGATTATCAAAATCTACCCTACCTAGCAAAGGCAGAGTTGAATGGATGATAGTTGAGTAGTGGTAAAAGGAGCATGGGTTACAAATACCAAAACCTTATTATTGTTGATCTTAAATGCAACTGAAAAAATAAAATGTTTTCTCCCCTCATATAATATGCATTGTCTAGAGAGTACTTAATATGTGATGGGCATATTATGTGCCAGACATATTATTATCTCTATTTACCAGATAAAGATACTGAGTTCAGAGAGTTACACAAATTGTTCAGTCATATCACTAGTAAATGACAGAACTGACCTTTGCACCCATGTCTCATCTAAATCAATTGAACATTATGCTTTGTATAAAGTATGTTCTGATATCTTAAAAATCAGGTACCCGCTTATTAACCTCTGATGTAGAGTTTTTGCTTCTATGCACTTAATTGTTCTTGCAGAAAACCTTTAGGATTTGATGGATGTAATTTAATGAAATTGGAAATATATATATATATATATATACACACATATATATACTTTAGGAATATATGTGTATATATTTAGGAATATACATATATATTTAGGAATATATATGTATATATATTTAGGAGGAATATATATGTATATATATTTAGAAGGAATATATATGTATATATATTTAGAAGGAATATATATGTATATATATTTAGAAGGAATATATATGTATATATATTTAGAAGGAATATATATGTATATATATTTAGAAGGAATATATATATATATTTAGAAGGAATATATATGTGTATATACATATATGTACACATATATATATTTTCCTAAAGTAATTACACCTTCATTTGCTACATTCACAGAATAGATATTTACCTGTGGTAGTAAGATTAATGTGTCAACATGTCTCTACTGTAGTACCCAGTGATTAAATCAAACTGCTATTGTTTGGATGTTTGTCCCCCAAACCTCATGTTGGAATTTGATCTCTGACATTAGACTTGAAGTCTGATGGGAGGTATGTGGTTCGTGAAGGTGGACCCCTCATGGATGGCTTGGATCTGTACTTGTGGTAATGAGTGAATTCTCACTCTATTAGCTTCTGTGACAGCTGGTTGTTAAAAAGAGTCTAGCACCTCCCTTCACCCTGCTTCCCGTCTTGCCATGTGAGCTATTAGGTTGGTGCAAAAGTAATTGTGGTTTTTGCCTTTTTTGTTTTTTGTCAATTACTTTCACACTAATCTAATGTATGCATGCTGGCTCCTCTTCCTGTTTCACCATGAGTGGAAATAGCTTTAGGCTCTCACCAGATGCAAATTCCAGTGCCATGCTTCTTGTACATACTACAGAACTGTAAACTAAATCACCCTCTTTTCTTTATAAATTACTCAGCCTCAGGAATGCATTTATAGCAACACAAATGGACTAAGATAAACAGTAATCTAGGTGTTGGTGTGAAGGTAATTTTAGATGTGGTTACTTGTGGTTTTGTGTTATATCAGTTGCCTTCAAGAAAAACTATTATCCTTAATAATGCGAATAGACTTCTTCCAAACAATTGAAGGTGCAGACAGCAAAAATTGAGAAGAAGATATAGGATGTTGCATATTTATAAAAATATTAATGTCAGTTACTGAAGGAATTATTGACCGATTTAGAGTTCAAATCCAGGGATTATGGTAGGATACTGTGAAGGCAATAACACATCCTGTTGACTCAAAGACAAAATTATTTAACTAATAATAAACAAACACATTGATTGTGTTTGTAAGCAATGAAGATATACCTTGAAATGTATACTATTAAATATTTAATAGATGAGTGAGTTGAGCTGTCTCTCCAGGTTTTTGTTGAAATGAATTACTTTTGCAGTACATTTAATAAATGCAATTTGTTCTTATATGCTGGGCCAGTATTTGTAGATTTGTAATAGCCATATTAGTGGGTATCTTGTGCTACTTGTTTCAATATCATTTTACATGTAATTGGCTAAAACAGAACATTTTAAAATAAAGGACCTTGGGGGTTGCATGTTGATATTTTTCTCACTACCATTCCTGGTATACATAACATTATTCTAAAAATGTGTCTGGTTTAATTCAGTCATAAAAGGGATATTGGGAATCTCTAATCAAAACCATTGAAAATCAATCTTTATAAGTCTAAGTTACATGGTTATATTCTCACGTATGTATTTCTATCATAAGATAATATAATGATAAATGTCAATTTATCAATGTCACTTGTAGAGTAGTAGAGAGAATATAATATAATTATACATAGATGTAACATTTATCTTCATTTAGTACATAATATCAAAATGTAGGCAAAGTACATGTTATTTAAACAAATATCAAAGTCAACAAATAATGCATGCCTCTCCTTAGAGAAAAAGAAACATAAATTCCTCTTTGATATTTATCATGTTATTTTTTTAATCTTACTTTTATTTTAAGTTTAGGGGTACATGTGCAGGTTTGTTATATTGGTAAACTTGTGTTATGGAGGATTGTTGTAAACTTATAGCAGTCTAAGTTTATGCTAACCCCTTCCATCTCTCCTGTTACATTGGTAATTTAGTAACAGATTGGATTAGAGCAGGAATTCACAGCTAAGTTAAACCCCACATGTGATAAAATGGAAGTAACAGTTATTATGTAGGAAATGAAAGGACACTCCTTTCCCTAGAGAGTCTCAGGATTACTGGCATAAGGCTGTGTTTTTGCCTGCTGTGCTCTCTCTTACCTTCTCTCTCTTTTCCAATAGAATACTGGGCTGTTTGAATCACACTTCTAGATGGATGGTCACTAAGATACTCAAGGGAAGAAAAGGGTATGCTAGAATTTGCCAATAAAGCAGCATTTTTGCACTAATAATAAAATAACCGAATAAATTAATGGAATTTATAATTAAACTTTTCAGACAAACATAAAGACATACTCCTGCACATTATCTGATCTCATTCTTCTGGGGTTGTAGCTGACTGTCACTTGACTAATTGAAATTCCACTGCATTACTGGCTGTTAATAGGCTACAGAGAAACCTGCCATTGTGTATTTGTGTTAGACTAGCTGACATTACATAAGTAAATACAAACATGATGAAAATTAGTTCTTATAAAACACATCCCATTAACACCTAAAGGGTTTAGGAAAATAAAATTATGAAGGATATTAATTTTATTTTTCTTCAGAACCTTTGTTTTCACAAAGTTCAAAGCCTGGTGAGAACCGTTCTCTCTCTTTTTTCACTCTATTTCTCTCTCTCTCTCTCTCTGTCACACACACACACACACACACACACACACACACACTCACTTACTCATTTTGAAATTGACAATAAAAATGAGCCACCAGAGAAAGAAATTTAAATAAAGTTTTCAGAATTTGTCTCTTCTTCTATTTTTACAGTTAATTTTTTCATTCTGCATAATAGAGTTTGATATACATTTTACATTTTATATAGGGGTCAAATCATTTTATGTGCAAAACTAGTCAATTAAAGAGTACTACATATCCTGGGGAAATGGACTTTCATAATGCTGGAAATAGAAGCTCGTAAAATCTTTTTCTTATTAAAAATGGCAACACTGGCAGCAATTGTCATAATAAACATGTTTTTCAAAATTCTTGAAATTATCCAGAAGTTTATAATAATTCAAGCGGAGTTTATTCAAGAAAAAATGACTGAATCTCAATGATATGGTTTGGCTGTGTCCCCACCCAAATCTCATCTTGAATTGTAGTTCCCATAATCCCCACATGTCATTGGGGGAACCAGGTAGAGATAATTGAATTATGGCGGCAGTTTCCGCCATCCTGTTCTCATGATAGTGAGTGAGTTCTGATGAGATCTGATGGTTTTATAAGGGCCTTCTCCCTTTGCTGGGCACTCATTCTTCTCCTTCCTGCTGCCATGTGAAGAAGGACATGTTTGCTTCCCCTTTGCCTTCTGCTATGATTGTAAGTTTCCGGAGGCCTCACCAGCCCTGCAAAACTGTGAGTCAATTAAACCTCTTTCCTTTATAAATTACCCAATCTCAGGTATGTCTTTATTAGCAGTGTGAGAATGTACTAATACACTCAGTAAGAAATGGAACACTTGTCATTTTAACTTATCCTATTGACATATTTTCCTTTCGGTTCTATGGAAATCCAGAAAACCAAATGCACTGCAAGTAAGGTGACTGTGAAAGCCGGAAACCTAGCACACACCAGAAATGGCAAGAGAGAAATGTCATCATGGGACGTGTATGGCAGTTTCTTAAATAACTCCATTATCTGGATTTATTTTAACTTGATCTGACTCAGAAATAACTTTGCATTAATGCCTTTATCTCTAGAACACTTGTAGAAAACAACCAGCGCAATGGTTTAACATCACTGCTGACTGAGGTGGCAATACAAGTTGGGGCTAATAATAGTCTGACCAAAAGTCCTCAGAGGGACAACTGAGAAAGAGATTTCCATAGATAATTTTTCAAAACTCTGACATATCCTGGAGATATAAAGAACATACATGGGTGCTGAGCTGTATGTATTTCAGGTAAGCCCTGAGAATGTCATAAATTCTCAACTGTGGCTGATTCTGAGGGCCTATGCATGCAGAAAATGAAGCCTATAGTTGCGAACTTCCTAATGGAGTATTAAAAGCACTCCCTAATATATACAGAGCCCTGGGCAAAGACTGGAAGACCTATTGGTTAAAGTCATTTAAGGAAATTTCTGTCTGATCATTATCTGACCACTGAGATAATCAAGCAGAGGCTTCAGTGGCTGTACTTGACAAAGTATACAGACTATAAAGAACTAGTCCAGGGAAAACCCTAAATTAACAAATATCAACAACAACTACAATGACAACATCCCATAACAACCATGAACTCCCCCAAATTATGAAAAAATCTGTTTCCCAGTGGCCTCACATTCTATTTTAAGTGCCCAGGTTTTTTAAAAGAGAGATCCATAAAGAAATGAGAAAATATGGTCTATATACAAAAGAATAAAAATAAAAACACTCAAAGAAGACTATGAGGAAGCTCAGATGTAAGTCTTATTTGAGAAATATTTAAAATAAATTATTATTAATATGTTTAAATAACTAAAGGAAACATTACCTAGACAATTAAAATGTGAGGGTAATGTCTTAACAAATAGAGAATACCAATAAAGATACACAATTTTAAAGGTTAGTATAGAAATTCTGGATTTGAAAAGTATAACAACTGAAATTAAAAACTCATTAGAAGAATTCTACAACACATTTGATCTGGTAGAAAAAAGAATCAGCTAACATGAAGATAAATTGAGGTAATCCAGCTGAACACAATAAAAAATACAAAATGAATAATCTCAGAGACCTAAAGGACAACATCAAGCATAACATCATATATAAAATGGGAGTCCCAAAAGAAAGGAAAGAAAGAAAGAGGAAAGTTTATTTGAAGAAATTATATCCAATTAAGTATCAAGTTTGGTGCATATAAGTAATTTGTATATCCATGAAATTTAAACTCCAAGTGAGATAAAGTCAGAAGTATACATCTAGTCACATTATACACTGTCAAAACTAAAGACAAATAGATCATCTTGAAAATAGAGAAAGAAAAATTACTCACTACAAATTAGTGATTTTCCATAAGATCAACTGCTGACTTTTTTCAGAAATCATGTAGGTTAAAAGTAGTTGGATAGAATAGCAAAGTGCTAAAGGTAAAAATATTGTCAACAAAGAATATTATTTCAAGTAAAACTATCCTTTAAATATGAAGGTCAAATTAAGCTCTTTGCATATTAAAAAGAAGAGAAATTATCACTAGCAGAAATTTTCTACAATAAATAGTAAAGAGAGTTCTTCAGGCAATATAAAAATAAGAACACTGGATTGTAACTCAAATTTACAGCAACGGTGCACTAGTAAAGATAACTACATAGGTAACTATTAAAAAGAGTATGAAGAAGTTTGTTTGCAATTTTTCTCTTCTACTATCTGATATAAAAGACAACTATGTAAAGCAATATATATGAAATTATGTTGATGGAATTATAATGTTTAAAGATACAATTTGTATCACAATAATAGCACAAAAGGGGAGTAGAGCTATATTGGATGACATTTATAATACGATGAAGACATATCATTCAAACAATAACCAAAAGAGAGCTGTCATAGCAATATTAATATTAAACCTTACAAACATTATAGACTTTATGACCCAATTGTTACTACAGGCAGAGAAGACAGAGAGGGAAATCTTATAATGATAATAGGGTCAAATCTTCAGGAAAACATAATTATAAACATACATGCATCCAAATGGGGCAACATAATTTATTCAGGTCAGTAATATATTAGTCGAATTAAGATGAGTTATTCCCAGGCAAAGTAGTTACTTATTGGAGTAACAGCCTCCAGAGATTTCACTTTTCTTTTATCAAGACCATCAGAATTCAAAACAGTGCCCTCTATTATTCTGAGTTCCTCAATGCCAAATCCCACAGATGCATAGCATGAGAAAGAAATAAGCTGTTATTGTTTTACAGAGCTGTGATTTGGTGCCTAGTTTCTTATCTCTAATACACAGGTTATGATTAGCAATGATGTAATTATAGATAGACAATGGGATTCAACTATAATTTTGATATTTAATTAAGTAGAGTTGGAAATGTAGAAATTTTAATTTTTTTCTCAATATTTTGTTTCATTAAACTATTTCATGGTGAAGTAACAAAATAAAATAGTTTAAAGATCAAGCTTTGGAAAAAAAAAGACTGAAGAGAGATCAATTGTGAATTAGCATTTCTGGTATATATTAAAACTTTATTCTATTTTTCCTTCTTCTCAATTTTTCTTATCCCTCATTTAATTCATTCCTCTCTCTCCTCACACCATCTCCTGGAATCAAGAGAATTCAAGGTAAATGTTGTTCTACATCATGATGTGACACATTCTGTCCACAGATGTTTACTCAGTCCAAAATTAAGTGTCAGTAGACTACTGAATTAGAGTTCATGCAATTTCAGAATACATCCAGTAAGAACCCTTTACCAAGTAGATGATAATAATGATGACGATTATTTTTCACAGAACATGTTTAACTAAAAGAAAGTTTAACAGATACAATCGAAGTAAACCTCAGAGTGATCCTCAGTGTAAAGCAGGTTCACCATGCACTGGTTCCCACTCCTCTCAGTCCAGTGAGACAGAACATACTCACATGCAACAAGTTATATGAAGCAGGTTTATTACTTACAGATAGGCAAAGGGAAAAAGAAGCTAGGCTCAATTGTGAACCAGTACTCCAAGGATCAGGAAAGCTAAGACCGGGGCATATGGAAAACCGGCCCACTTGCATCACAGCTGAGAACCCTGGGTTATATACCTCAAGAGCATGGTGAGTCCTTGGAAAAAGCTTTGCAAGACGTTCTATGTCTACGGGGAAAGAGAAATAACTCCAGGATGTTTCAAGTTCTTCCTTATCTCTGAATATTGAATTCTTAGCACATTTTACAGTTATTCTTGAGATCTACAAGCAAGGAAATGGGGAGAACTGAGTCAGATCAGGGCTACCTGGAGGATTGTCCTGTGTTCAAGAGGTATTAGTCCATCCCTGAATAACATTACATAACTTCCTTCTCATGAGTGGAAGTAAAACAATTTTCAAACTTCTGGCCGGGCACGGTGGCTCACGCCTGTAATCCCAGCACTTTGGGGGGCTGAGGCGGGCGGATCATGAGGTCAGGAGATCGAGACCATCCCGGCTAACACGGTGAAACTCCTTCTCTACCAAAAATACAAAAAATTAGCCGGGTATGGTGGTGGGTGCCTGTAGTCCCAGCTACTCGGGAGGCTGAGGCAGGAGAATGGCGTGAACCCGGGAGGCGGAGCTTGCAGTGAGCCTAGATAGCACCACTGTACTCCAGCCTGGCTGACAGAGTGACTCCATCTCAAAAAAAAAAAAAATTTCTTTAATAAGTAACAAAAGCAGAGAAACATTTGTAGCTAATACAAACACATTTCAGAAAATGAACAGATTTTAAAACAAACAAAAAATGCATCCCTTCATTCTGTGGGATGCAGTTGAAAGAATGTTATTTGCTAGCACTCTATCCAGAATTCCTCAACTTATTGAAATAGTGGTATAGTATTGTAGTATCTGAACTTAATATACAATAATGTTGGTTCCCTATGGCAAGTTAGCAATGTTATAGTGACAGTGTTAGTGTAATAATCATATTTATGGAGAAAAGGTAGAGGTAGTAATATTATTAATGAGTCATATTTATTATACTATCAGTGGAGACATTTCTTTAAAAATCAGCACATTTTCCCCAATAGGCACAATTGCTTAGAAATTAGGTATAATAGCATAGAAAATTTTATCATAGGAAGTTTTGTCATTTTGCAGTTAAGTCTACAAACTTTGAGATTCTGCTGACCTGTGCTCTCATCCTATTCATCATTTAGTTGCTGTATAATGTTAGGCAGCTGTCTTCTCATACTCTCACAGGGAAGAGAATAATTCATTTAGGTGATTAAATGGATTATGTCAAGTGGTTATCATAGAAGTTGGCACATAGTTAATTCTCAGAAAATGACATCATCATTTTCACTAGTCCTTATTCTTAACTGACCTTGTAATTTAGACATTATCCTTACTTTACAATCAAGAAAATTGAGGCTTTAATAAGTTAATTATCTTGTCTTATTTCATACTAATAAAAGCAGAAAATATCAGAGTTGCCAAATTCTTCCATGTCCTTCAACAACCTTATTATTAGTTTCCAATTTGGATTTCTAGCTAAAATTGTCAGTAGTAGTTTCTGAGTAAGGAAAACAAATTCATATAATATAAATAAAAAAATAAGTACTTTTGTTTGGAAAAAACCTGTATCCATATTTTCCCCAAACTTGATTGAAAATATCTATACAGTTGATTGTTGAACAGCATGAGATTTAGGAGTCTTAGCTCCCCATGACTTAAAAAGTTTATATATAACTTTTGACTATCCCCAGAATTAACTATGAATAGCCTGCAGTTTTCTGGAAGGCTTACCAATAACATAAATCATTGATTAATACATGTTTTGTATATTACCTGTATATGTAATATAGTCTTACAAGAAAATAAACTAGAGGCAAGAAAATTATACAGAAAATATATTTACTATTTGTTAAGTGGAAGTAGATCATTATAAAGATCTTCATCGTATTCCTTATCATCTTTGCTTTGAGTGGGCTGAGAAGGAGGAGGAAGAGGAGGGGTTGGTTTTCTTGTCTCAGGCGGGGCATAGGTGGAAGAAAATTTGTGTGTAAGTGATCCATGCAATTTACATCCACGTTGTTCAAGGGTCAACTGTACTTTTTATTTACAAACACATTAATACTCAATTTCCTCAGTTCTCAACAATCAACTATCTTGTTTTAAATTTACAGCTTAATTCTCTGGATACCTGAAAAAAGAAGACACAGGAAACTTCCAATCTAATAATGTCTAGTACAAATTAAGTCTTGTGCTAGTGCCTAAATGGATCAGTGCATTTTTTTGTGTTACATGTTTTAGCTAATTTATTTTTTTAAATCATAGTATATATTTGTCTGTCTACTAAGAGTAGATAAGTGTATGAGACCCTGGCCATACAAAGATTTCATTCTTACCTGGAAGAGTTTACCTTCTAAAGGGATGGCGGGTGTGGCAGATTCCCAACCAAAACTCACAGAAGAACTCAATAGCCCAGAGAGAGAGGTAAGCAGTGTGCTCAACTTCCTTAAGGAAGTGAATGTCTAAAGAAGTGCTGTAGATGTTTTATTTATAAAAACATGAAGATACATAAAATGTTTTCAGAGAAAGGCAAACAAATCAAATAGAGTCGACTAAGTACTGAATATATGGAACAATGGTGAATACTTGTGCAACAGATATTCTTAGATCTCCCGTCATGTGGGTTTCATATTTAAGGCCATGAGTAAAAGATTTTAAGCTTGAGAGTTACATGGTTATATTTATATTAAAAAAAAATCACTATGGCAGAAGTCTACAGGATAATAAACCTGGATATATCCTTCCAGACATGCATGCAACCATTCATTCATTAATTTACCCTTTTATATATGTATGCAAAACATATGCTTTTAATACCTTTCATGTGTAGATCAATGTAAAACATGATGAAAATATAATAAAAAACAAAATAAGCATTCATTCTCTCCCTATAGACACTCCTTTTTTTCTCTTTGCCTTCCTCTCTTTCTCTCACTGAGCTTGAGAAATGTCAGAGACTGATAGTAAACAAACAGATAGTAAACAAAATAATCCAATAGATGAATACAGTGAATTGTAGAAGAAATTATGATGGTTTGCATTAGATATGCAGGAGTAGCATTGGAGAATCATGGATATATCGGTTAAGTACTTTGGAGGTAGAGTTTTTGTTGGAACATGGAGACAGACTGGAAGTAAGATGCCAGACATAATCAACTACACATTGTATAATTCAATTTATATAAAATGTCTAGAATAGAAAAACCCATAGAGACAGAAAGGAGATTAATGATTTTCAGTGGCTACGGGAAGGGTGAAATAGAGTGTGACTGCTAATGGGTATGGGACTCTTGGGGGGATTCATAAAATGTTCAGAACTTAGATGGTGATTATGAATACTCAACTCTGATTATGTGAAAAACTGTGGCATTGTACACTTTTAAAAGGTGAATTTTATGATATTTTAATTGTATCTCCATAAAACTGTTATACAATGTAGAAATCTTAAATATTTTTATTATTTGAATGCAACATTTTAAGAACAGTGTAGTCATTATATGTGTCTTGATTTTTCAGCAATGTCACCAAATGGTTTTTAGGGAAAATCTGTGATGCTTTAATATAGTTCTACCATAAGTGTTTTTTTTTTTTTCAAACAGATTCCTTTAAGAGAACTTACAGCCTTTTGAAATGTGTTCTTATAGACATTTTTTTTTTGTTTTAAGAAGACTATAAATACATAAATCTTCAAAGCTGAGTTTGCAACTGGATAATGGTAAAACCTACACTATTTTTTTATTACTGTGCAAATATCTTAACCAATCTATTGTGCTCTATTCAGTGGTATTTTAGGCATGATGTAAAGCGATACCTACCCAGAACTTAGTTTTGCAAAGCTCTGAGTAGTCCTTTAAAGTACTCTATTCCCTGTGAACAAGTGTTTTACTAGACAATTTATGCTAATAATACTGAGTTTTGAGTTTTCTTCCAAAAATGAGGGAGAGATTTAGAACTTCCACTAGACTCAAAAGGCTATTTTCAAAGCAAGTGATATTTTTGCTTGTAAGCTTCAGTAACATTAAATAAAGAAAGAGGAATTTTAAATGCTAAGGAAAAGAAAAGGTTCAGCAAGAAATAATAATAAAAGACCAGCCATATGAAAGCATTGTAAGGAAATCCAAAGGGATGTAATTATTACCAACATTATGATGGTAGGCAGGTTATGTGGTAACATTAGATTGTAGGAAAGTCAATGAAGCCACAGGATCACAAGTCATTAGTAAAAAAAAAACCAAAAAACCTTATTATTTGCATCAGTTATTCTTTATGTGTGTTTTTCACTTGAAAAGCTAAAAATGAAATATTAATTGACCTATTTTACAGGTGCCTATTTCGTGTTTATATAATATGCATACCCTTAATTTTCCATAAAGGAAATAGTCAAAAAATTTACTTAAAGTGCATAAAATCTTTATTTATTTTATGTTGTGTGATATGCTGTTTTAAGGGCAGAGAATGCAACTATTTTCTTTTTGCTAAAAACAGCTGAAATTTAAGATTTTAAAAAATTGTAGTCAAATCATATAGCTATTTTGTTTTTGAAAAAGGGAAACAGGGATGTAAATACAGAATATTCACATAATTTTAAATGAACCCAAGCATTAGAAACTACACATGAAATGATGCAATGGTAATTTTCTGTGATTGGGTAATATGTAAATTCTGAAGGGGAAGAGAACAAAACATGAAGGTCTTACATTTGTCCCAGCTTACTGCCTGAGGTACTTTCCCAGCTCTTGAGAAAACAAGAATGGAGAAAGATGAACTGAGACTCAAAGACCTGTAAAAAGACTTCAAGTGCACCAACATATGTGCAATGGGAAACCAAAAGGAGAAGATAGAAAAATAGGTGGGGCAAAATATTTATTTAAATGACTAAAATGTTCCAAAATTTGATGAAAATTATTAGCCTATGCATGCAATAACTCTACTTTATATATTTTCTAATAATCAGAGTTAATTTAGCATTACTCTGCAGTGGATTGTTTGGTAGTCTTTTTTTTTGATATTTGATTGCTGGCAGCCTTTGAGCCTCATCTTTCCTTCTTCCTCTTCTGCCTCACCTCTGGGTAAGCTCGTAAGAAAGCCTAGGTGCTGCCTCCTTTGTTGCCAGGCAGCAGGAGATTTAAGCCCTGTAAATCCCTCCCTACATCCAGGAATCCTTCCACCTCATACCCACAATAAAAGCCCAAGCCAGTATCCTTTCTTTGCTCTCACAAGACATTTTTGATCACATTGGGAGGACTGAATGGTTTTTCGCAGAAAGCCTCAATTACGTATGTAATAAACCTTTACATAACCTCTTGGATTGTGTGTGTCATAACATCGGTCTCCACATGTAAACTAAATTTTGTGCAGGATTCCAAAATGCCCTTACAGAGTAGTCACAACCACTATGATATTTTAATACATATATAATCAGCCTTCCCTATCTGTGGATTCCGTATACATGGATTCAACCCATTGCAGATTGAAAATAGAGTATTCGTGGGATAGGGAGCCCACAGATATTCAGACTCCTGGAACAAATCCGTTGTGGATACTGAGGAAACAACTGTATAATCAAACTTCTGCTTTCATTCAACGTGGAGTAAGAAGGATCCACCTGAACAAAGAACAGATAAAAACAAAAAAATATAAAATCAAATGTTACAAATATTAAAATATACAGTACTACCACACCAAAGGTAAGGGACAGAGTTGAAAGTAAATTTTCTGAAGCATATATCTGATAAAGGATTTGTACCAAGGATAAATAAGTCTTAAAAAACAATAAGAAATCAAAAAACCCAGTTAAAAATGGGCAAAATATTTGAAGAGACACTTCATTAAGAAGTATTCATGGAAAATTAAGACGTGAAAAGATGCTCAACAGTATTAGTTATTAGAAAAATGCATATTAACCGCAATGAGATACCACTAAAAACCTACTAGAATATTTAAGACTGATTATACTGAGTGTTGCAGAGGGTTTAAAGAAATTGGAACTCTCATAAACTGCTGGTGGAAGGTAAAATTACAACCTCATTGGAAAACAGTTTAGAAGTTTCTTAAAGATTACACATACCTCTACCATGTGATCCAGCAATTCTGCCCCTGGGATAGAATTAATTAGATAAAGAAGAAAACGTACGTCAAAGAATTGTGCGCAAAAGTTCATAGTACGTTTATTTATAATAGCCATAAGTTGAACAACCTAAATGCCCATCAATAGGTGAATAAATTGTTTTATATCTTTCTTATAAATACTATTGAGAAACACAAAGAAATGAACTATTGATATAAAAGCAACATGAATAATTCTTAAAATAATTTTGCTATGTAAAAGAAACCAGGCATAAGAAAGGTACATACAGTATAAGAACATAAATATAAAACACTAGAAAACACAAACAAATCCACTGAGACAGAAAGCATATTAGTGGTTGCCTGGGGAAGTGGGTTGGGAAGGCCAAGACAGAGGTATTACAAAGAGAAATTAAAAACCATTTAGGGGTGGTGAATATTATCTTTTATGGTTATATACATATGTCAAAACTTGTTAAATTGTACACTTTAAAGAGTCCACTCTAGCGTATGTACATGAACTATAACTCAATAGTGCTTTTGTACACATGTGTATATATATATATATCACATATAATTTATGTTATATATTATATGTTATGTATACACACACAGTAATCCTTAAAGCAACTACTAAAGTAAAACATTAAAATTATAGACAAAATATAAACAGAGTAATAACTAAAATCTAGTGTTTAGAATCAAATGAGGCGGTCACGGAGGTACAAAAGAACAATGAAAAAAGACAATGGATATATGGAAAATAATAGCAGAATAAAAAATGCAATTTCAGCCATATCAATGTTATATTAAATGTGCTTTTTCTAAACACCCCAATCAAATGGCAGAGATTGTCAAATTGGATTAAAAAAATTCAAGAATCAACTATGTACTGTCTAAAAAAGACATACTTTTGATTCAAAGACATAAATAGTTTAAATGTAAAAGACTGGAAAATATAGACCTTGCAAATAGTAACCATAAGAGAGTTACAGGCACTATATTATGTTTTACAATATATACTTTAAGCAGGATATAACACTAAAGTCCAAGAAAGACATCTATAATGAGAAAGGAGTTGGTAAATCGTGAATATTTAACAATTATTAATATATACTCACCTATGAAAAGTGCCTTGAAATACATGAAACAAAACCTACCAGAACTGAAACAGATAATTCATCAATATTAATTTTATATTTAAATGATTTATTCTCAGGAAGGAAGAAAAAAACACACGAAGAAGGAAAGTAGGAAAAAAGAAGAAAAAACAGAAACAACTTCCATTTTGCAGATGGGCTTGTTGGGGCTCATACCTGCCACATTCAGTCAGGCAGATTACAGTTTTTTCTTAATTTTCAATTCCTACCTGTGATGAGCCTGAGGTTTGATCAGAAGTTAGGGCTTAGGATGTTTTCAGGTATTTTATAATCATGCATCTAGTCTAGGATATGCATATGCCTTCTAGATTCCCACCAATATTCATGAGCTTTTCAAAGCCCTTATTCCCCCCAAGCTCTTCATTATTCAGCTTTTCTTCAAAAGCTTTTCTTCAAAAGCTTTTAGTTGATCTATTGTTTGTTTCAATTGTTATAGCTTGTCCATGTAACAGCAGCTACAACATTTGCCTTTAAATATTTTTGAAAATACCTCCTGTATAGCGTTCTCAGCCCTGGATGAGTTCTGGGTTAGGCAAAGAAAAGGTAAGCTTTTTGAGTGAGTTCTTCAATGAGGCACCTAACAGGTCAAAATAAACCACCACAGTTCTCTGAGAAAAATAAATAAATAAATGCTTCATTCTCAATAATTGATGGAATAACTAAACAGAAAATCACTAAGGATATAGAAGACTTGACAAAACTGTCAACCAACTTGACCTGACATATGCAGATTAATCCATGCAATAACTGCAAAATACATATTCTTTAAGGAAGTATTTTTTTTCAAGCAAATACATGAAATAGACCATATCCTAAACTATGGAAGAAGACAGATTAAATTTGAGAGAATTAAAATTAGAAAAAGTATTTTCTATGACCACAATTAAATTAAATTAGAAATAAACCACAGAAAAGTATCTGGGAAATCATAAAATAAAAAGGAATTAAACAAAAAACACTTTTACATAACTCAGGAGTCATAGAAGTCACAAGATAAATCAGAATATATTTTTAAATTTAAATGGATGGAAAATAACATATACTAAAAGTTATGTATACAACTAAAGCATAGCTAAAAGAGAGATTTATAGCTTTAAACACTTGCATAAAAATAAAGGTTTCCAATCTACAACCAAAGTTTCTATATTAATAACCAAAAAAAGAAGAGCAAACTAAGCAAATGGTCAGAATAAAGCAAGAATTCAAGGAAATAGAAAACAGAAAAATATAGAAAAAATAAAGACAAAAGTTGATATTTGAAATGATCAAGAAAACTGACAAATCTTTAGGCAGACTAAACAAGAAAACCAAAGAGAAGGCGCAATTTACCAAAATCAGAAATAAAAAGGGAACTTTACTACTAAACCTGCATAAATTAAAACAATTATACAAAAATACTACGACCAACTGTATGCCAACAACTTAAATATTAGAAGACATAGAACAATTCCAAGAAGGACATAAATTGCCAAAACTGACTTAATAAGGTATGGACTATCTAAATGGATCTATAGCAAGTGAAGATATTAAATTAGTCATTTAAAATATTCTTTCAAAAAAACCTTGGCCGAGATGGCTTTAGTGGTGAATTTTATCAAATTTTAAAGAACCATTCAGATATTCAAGGAAGAGGAAACAGTTTTCTATTAATTGTAGGAGGCTAGTATTTTCCTGATACCAGAACCAGACAAAGACATTCTACATAAAACAAAACAAAACAACAGACCAATATTCCTCAGGAACATATACACAAAAATCATTAATGAAATATTGACAAATAAAATCTAGCTGCATAAAAAAATACATAATAAACAAGTGAGATTTACTCCAGGAATGCAACAAGGGGTTAATATCTGTAACCCACTTATTTTTATATTAATACATCATATTATGAGAATAAATGGGAAATTTCATATAATCATATCAATAGATACAAACAAAAGCCTTTGATAAAATACTACACCCCTTCATGATAAGAATTTTCAAGATTAGGAACAAAAATAAACTTCCTAGTACTGTTTGTGTGTCTATGAAATCCCAAGGTTGACATCATAACATCATACTTAATTGTTAGAAACTGCATGTTTTCTCCATAATATTCACAAAACACAAGACATTGATTTTTATTATTTCTATTCAATATAATATTAGATGTTGTATTCAATGTAATATGAAAAATATAAGGAACTATGATTGAAAAGGAAGAAAAAAATGGCTGAGGATAACCTAGATTGCCAGTCCTGAGTGAGAGCTAAGCACTATTTTCCCTGGTTCTCTCAGATGATTCTTTCTCTTGCCCTTAGCAATATCCTGACATATGCACCAGACAGTTCTCTGCTTAATACTTGATGATACCCTCTGCAGATCTTCAGCATTCTTTCTCTCTGTTATTTACACCCTTGTACTCTGTCTTGAATTCCAGCAGCCTTGATTTCTTTGGACTTTCATCTTGGTTGCAGAGATTATAGGTGATCAGGTCTTTCAAAATCAGTGGAAGTTCCAGAACCTGAGAGATGTTAGTTTAGATCTACAGGATTGACTTCTAATTAAGCTTCATAGAACATAGAACTTGTTTGTCAAGGGAATTGCTATTCCTGCCACAATCAGGCAGATGTGAAAAAATGCATGAAATCAGCTAGAAAGTCACTAAAAGGTTGATTCTATTAAATAGCAACACACTGTCTTAGTTGTCATTCTGGGAGTCGGCAAAAGAAATATTGGCCCGGGAATCATACCATGTGAGCTATGATAGAGAGATCAGTTATCTTCCATGTCTATGAGTACAGACAGCGGAGTCACTGCAACCAATAGGGCCACATTAAGAAAGTGGATGTCTGTCCCTCATGCTCACAACAGTCATATAGTTAAACTCCGGAATGCTGCCATTGAAAAACAAAATACCCAATAACTACACTGCAAGTAAGATCCACTAACACAGAAAGACAGCTTCCACTTTACTTCCTATCTGGTGCAACTATGGATAGGACAGGCAGCACAGTAATCCCCACAAAGAGCTAATTACTTACAATAATAAATGATGGGACACAAGAGGAGATGATAAAAGAGGATGCGCATAACGGATTCATAGGTAAGACATTTGCTTCCAACTATGATGGAGTAACAGGGAGAACATAATTGTTCCAACTGCTTTAAAACTCTAAGAAACTGGACAGAATATGTGAAATAATGATTTTCACATGTTGGCCAACAGGTAGCAAAGGGCTCTGATTTCTGTAAAAAGAGAAACACATAAGATGAGCCTTGTGTAGGGATAAGAAATGTAAATGAAATCCAGAGATCTCACTCGGTTGCAGAGACAGATACCAGAATTAAAGTAGGCTAATGCAGCTTGAGAAGGGGGGCAGATAATTAAAAAAAAGGAGCCACAAAGAGAGATAGCATCACAGACATTCAAAGAGGGTCAATCAAGTTTTAGCTGAGTGTTGATCTGGGCATCAATGAAAGGAAATTATACAAGGACAGGGAGAGAATTACTCAGAAGTAGCAGGCCTATCAATCCTTAGAGTGCACATAGGTTTGCAAAAAAGTTATCTTCTAATTAGTCAGAATAGAAAGATCTCCTAATTCACAGAAGAGTGTGGGCCGCAGAAGGTTATTAAAACAATAGCAGAACTAAATTTTCTCCACAACAGCTACTCTGTAGGCACTCTAGGAAATCTTAAAGCAAGTTTTGAAGAGGTTCAACTAATCCAAATAATTTAATTGCATGTCAGGCAAAATCCAGCACTATTCAAAAGAATACAACAAAATTTTCACCCCAATGTAAAATTTGGAATGTCCAGCACCCAGTCATCAATTACCAGTAATATCAGTCATTGTTCCATTGGAGGAGTAGAACCAGAATGAAATCAATTAGTAGATGATTTTCATATGATAGTATATATTTACCAAAACTTATAAAATTGTACACTGCTAATTGTTGAATTTTACTGCATGCATGTTGTGCTTCAATATCATTTTATTAAAGATTGGTAAGATAAACTACAAAGGATGGAGTATATCAAAGTCAAAGAAAAACCCTCCCAGAGGCCCCTATGAAAACTAGTAACAAAAGAGAAAATACCTCTGCTAAGAACTAACTGTGTTCCTTCAAAATTTTTATTTTGAAACCCTAACCCTCACATTGATGGTATTTAAAGGTAGAGCCTTTGAAAGATAATTAGGTTTAAATGAGGTCATTAGGGCAGAGTATTCATGATGGGATTAGCACTTTCATAAGAAGAGACACCAGAGAGTTTCATGTCTCTCTCCTTGTGCCATATGAGCTCACAGCAAGAAGTCAGCCATCTACAAGCCAGTAAGACACCCAATACCAGAACCCAACCATGCTGGCACCCTGATCTTGGACTTACAGCTTCCAGAACTTTGAGACAATAGATTTCTATTGTTTAAGCCACTCACTCTAGAGTATTTTGTTAAGGATGCTTGAACTGACTAACACAACCTCCTATTTTATTTTCCCCTCTATATGTTTTTTTTTCCCCCTTTACAAGCTACAAAGGAAATTTAATGGCTTTTGAGTTACAGACTTTCAGGTATAAATCATACAATGACACCACAGAATTTATGTAGTAATAATATATCTGACATGCCTGAATAGAGAAAACATTGTCTTGTGTTATTGGAAATATGTCCTGTATCATTGCCACCAACATGACATCTTGCACACTAGCAAAATGAATGCCAAATCTATTGTTTCTTTCCTCACATAATTGACAAATTTAATTCTCAGAAATAAATTTACAAATCTTCACCTTGTCATCTATTATCTATCTCATTTATCACACACACACACACACACACACACACAATCGGTATGTCTATCTTTAAGATTCTTCCTTGGTAAGGTATTATCAAATATAGAGAGACAATACAAAAGATACTTGGCAGATACAAATTATATGTATATTTTCTAGAATCCAAATAACTCTCCTTGGAAATGTAATAAATTTTAATAATAAATATAAAAATAGCCTGGGACTAAAAGAACAGATTACATTATACAATTTGTTTTGTTTCAGATTTTTTAAATGTAATTCTTAGTTCATGAAGATAGTGGTATAACTTTTAAGAATTCTGAGTAATAAAAATGTTTTATACTCATTTTCATTCAAGTAAATGTTCAGTGGTACCTTATCTCAAACATAGAGTACTTCGGTAAATGTTTGCTAAATGTTGCATATATTAACTCTTAAGTAATAATACCAGTAAAAAACAACAATCAACTTTTTGGCACCAAAATCCATCCAAGAAATGTATGGTGAGGCTGTGTTAAAATAAATGGTGAGGATCTGCAAACATACTTATATTTGTCAAAACTGATCAAATTGTACACTCTAAGCATATGGTATATTTTCCTTTAAATAGACTTCAGTAACACTGTAAAAATAATATAAGATTAAACATTACCTCATTATATAAAATTGAAGCTCTTGGTATCCTATCATCTCACAATGTCGATTTTTATGCTGTTTTTTATTGACAAGTTTATAATATTTAAAATTGTATTTTATATTTCATTCCATGGTGTAATGAGTACATTTATGGTTCTAGATTTTTATGTTCTAAGAAACTTTTGCATACCCCAAATGACAATTAGTTTATGACATTTTTCTAGAATTTCAAAGTTTTGGGTTCAGTAATTCATCTTGATGTTTTTTAAAAAATGTAGGCTGTGTTGTCACTTTTTAAGTTTTTATATTTTTATACTCAGTTAATACAACACTTTTTAGTGGAATGGCTTTGTTACCTTTGTCAATAATGAGTTGGGTATATATTTATATATGTGGGTCTATTTCTGCACTCTTTTTGGTTCCATTGATCTATATGTACATATTTTCTTCAATACCAAATGGTCTTGATTTTTGCAGCTTTATAGAAAAGTCTTTAAATAAGAGAGATTAAGTCCTGCAATCTTCTTTTTCATTTAAAAAACTGTTTCAGTTAAATGCAATAGGCTTTTCAATAACAACAGAAAAATTCTGCTGGAATTTTGATTGTTCTGCAATCAAATACATAACAACTATAGATCAGTTTTGGGAAAATTGCTCTTATCAATGTTGAGTCCTGTAATTCACACATTTAGCATTCATTCTTCATCTATTACCTTTAACTTTTTGAAGCAACATTCTTAATTTTCAAGGTAAAGTGTTTAGATTTCTTCTTTTTTTATTAAATACTTTTATGTTTTGGGGGTACTATAAGTGGAATTATATTTTTGAATTTCATTTTCCAAATGCTTGAGGTAATTTGTAAAAACTCAGTTTATTGTTTTCTGCACTAACCATGTAACATGCTAAATTCATTTATGCATTCTGTGAGTTATTTTGTGGTTTTTCTATGTAAGCAATCATATCACTCACAAATAGAAACAGCATTTCTTCTGTTTTTCTGATATTTGTGACTTTTCTCTTTTTTTACTTGCATTATTGTAATGGCCAGGACTTCCAGTGTTGAACAGAAGTGGTAAAAGCAATCATCATTTACTGGTTTCTGGTCTCAAGGGGAACATTTGTTATTTGACATTTAAGTATGATTTTAGCTGTAGGTTTTTCATAGATGCCCTTCATTATTTTCAGGATGTTTCCAATCATTTATATTTTGCTGCAACTTTTTATTAAAAATTTCATTAAATGCTTTTTCTGCAACTACTGAAGTGATTACATATTTTTTATCTTTAGTTGTTAATATAGTAAATTACGATAATTTATTTTCAAAATTTTAGCCACTTTTGCATTCCTAAGATAAAACATATTTGATCCTCAGGTTTTATCATTTTTATATATTGTTCTGTTTATGTGCTAACATTCTATTTAGCATTTTTTCATCTACATTCATGACTGATAATGATCTATTTGTGCTTTTCTCTTTTCCATAACATCATCAGGCTTTGTTTGTTGTAAAGTTTATTCTGAACTCATAACACAAACATACAGTTTTATTCGTTGTATTTTGTGAAATAATTATATAAGGTGGTATTATTTAATCATTCAACCTTTGATAAATTTTACAAGTAAAACCATTTTTGTTTGTAGCTTTGATTTCTGTTTTGTAATAAGAAATTCAGCTGGGCACGGTGGCTCACGCCTGTAATCCCAGCACTTTGAGCGGCCAAGGCGGGCAGATCACGAGGTCAGGAGATCGAGACCAACCTAGCTAACACGGTGAAACCCCGTCTCTACTAAAAATACGAAAAATTAGCCGTGCGTAGTGGCACGTGCCTGTAGTCCCACCTACTTGGGAGGCTGAGGCAGGAGAACTGCTTGAACCTGGGAGGTGGAGGTTGCAGTGAGCTGAGATTGTGCCACTGCACTCCAGCCTGGGTGACAGAGCAAGACTCCATCTCAAAAAAATAAATAAATAAATAGAAATAAAAATAAAAATAAATGTAATTTCTTCAATAGATATGGAGTTACATAGATGTTTTTACCTCTTGTATAAATTTTGATAATTTGTGTTGCAGAAGAAATTGATTCATTTCAAAGGTTTTAGTTTTTACCATAAAAAATTAACAGTTTTCTTGAAATTTTATTTAATATTTTTATAATACATGGTCGTAACCCAACTTTTTTTCTGACATTGACAATTTCTCTTCATTCTCTTTTTTACTTGATTAACCTAGGGATTGATCTTTCACACACACAGACAAAAAGCAGCTTTGGCCTATAAGTTCCTCTATTGTCTATTTTTTGTTGTTTTGTATTATTATCTGGTCTTACCTTTAGTATTCATTCTATTTACTTTGGATTTATTATACTTTGCTATTATTTTCCTTAAGATACTCATTCTCCTTATCTTCCTTTTCTTCCTCCTCTTTCTTCTGGGCTGCTTCATTATGAATGTAAGTATTTAAAGATAAAACTTGTCTCAGAGCACTGTTCTAGCTTTAGCATTTTGATAAGATGTATTTTTATTTTTATTAATTTGAAAATGTTTTTCTCTTTCCTATGATTTGTTAGTACATTGATATTTGCTGTTATTTGCCTCTAATTACATATGGTTAGATAACACATGTGTTTTATGGCCTAGTATATTATTCATTTTGTTGAATGTGATATATGCACTAGGAAATAGTATATACTTTGTAAGTGTGAGATGCAGTGTTTTGTTTATAAGTGACAGGTATAGCACAATGGTTTATACTTTGTTCAAATATTTTAGGTCTTAATCGATTATTTGTGTCTATTTTTTTTTCTCAATTGCTTATGGGGGGAGTGTAAAAATATCTTACTATGGTTTTGAAATTATCTACCTCTTCATTCAATTGTCAGTTTTTTCTTAATGTATTGTGCACCCAGGATATTAGACACATAGCATTTATAATTGTTTTATTTAACTAATAAATTATTTCTTTCAATATTATATAATATCCTTTGTCTTTCGTTATACTCTTTTTCTATAAATCAGTTTTAACTATTCTTAATATAACTCCTGTTTTTTTATTCAATGTTTGCTTAGTAAACACTTTCCACTATTTTACTTTCAACTTATCTTTGTTTTAATGTAAATCTCTTAAAGGCTGAGCCTAGCTCTCTCTCTTTTCTGTTATCTCTATCAGTTTGCACCCTGAAATTAAAGTGTTTAGAACATTAACGTTTACTATGTTTATTTGTATATAGTTGGATTTAGGTCAACATTTTTTTCCTGTTTGCCCCCGTATCTTTTGTTTCTCCTATCTTCCTTTTTTTTGTTTCAAATTTTTTGAATTATTACATTTTTCTTGTACTTAGTTTTAGGCTATACATCTTTTTAAAAAAGGTTTGCTAAAGATTAAAAGATATATACATAGATATCCATAAACATAGAGTTAATATTATACAAAATTTGTTTAAATGTAGAACCTTGCACCAAATACTTTCTATCATCTCCACTGTTTGTTATAATTTAGATTATATTTGCGCCAGGTAGACATTTTGTATATTTATTTATTTATATTTATATTTATTATTATTATTTTGAGATGGAGTCTCACTCTGTCACCTGTGCAGTGGCGCAATCTTGGCTCACTGCAACCTCCGTCTCCCAGATTCACACGATTCTCCTACCTCAGCCTCCCGAGTAGCTGGCATTATAGTCATGAGCTGCTACGCCCCGGCTAAATTTTTTTTGTTTGTTTGTTTTGTATTTTAAGTAGAGATGGGGTTTCACCATGTTGGCCAGGCTGGTTTCGAACTCCTGACTTCAAGTGATCTGCCCACCTCAGCCTCCCAAAGTGCTGGGATTACAGCTGTGAGCCTCTGCGCCTGGCCCATTTTGTATACTTATATATTGTTTATATATCTTTATTATACACATATCTTAGTTTCTCTCCGTCGGAAAATATATTTATTTTTCTTTCCTTCTTATAGGATATTTTCATGTTTGCAGAATTCGGTGTTGATGGTTTTTTGTTTTTTTTTTTTTAATTTCAGCAGCTTAAAATATCTTTCACTGTTTCAGGCCTACATGCTTTCCAATGAGAAAGCTCCAGGCAATCAAACCATTGTGCTTGTTGTAATGTGTCCATTTCTCTCACTACTAGCAAGATTTTCTTTTATCTTTGGTTTTAAGTATCTTGACTACAATGTTTTCAGGCATAATTTTCTTTGAATTTTTACTGCTTGGAATTTGCTCATTATTTCAGTGTGTTAATTTATGTAGTACCAAATTTCTGATATTTTGCATTATTTTTTCCTCAAATATGTTTTCTGACTCCCTCTCTTTTTCTCTCTCTCAAGTATATGCATAATGGATTTTAAAATATTACCTCACCTGTCCATAAAGCTTTTTATTTGTTTTTTTCTATTTTTTTCTCTCTTTTGTTCAGACGAAATAATTTCTATATATCTAATTATGGTCCAGGTCACTGATTATTTTTCTCTATTATCTTCATTCTGCTATGAGTAGTATTTTAAATTTCAGATTTTGGATTTCTCAATTCCACAACTTCAATTCTTTTATCTAGCTTTATTTTAGCTTTTCATTCATTTTAAGTAAATTTTTCTTTACTTCTGGAAAATAGTGACGATAGCTGCTTTAAAGTGTTTCTGATAACGACAAATATTGAGTGATATTGATGTTGGCATCTATTCATTGCTTCTTCCTAAGATAGTTGTTCACATTTTCCTGGTTCTTTTTATGTGTCATATTGCACATTTTATTTTGGCCCTTATGAATGCCATGTTGTATAGACTTGGTCCTGTTGTAATGTTCTAGATGTATTGGTGATACTTCCAATTTTCGTAGGCATTTAGTCTAGGTAGTTTCATACCATATGTCTTGCCTTCTGTAGGTGGTGATTCAAGTATCATTTTAGTTCTCAAATCCTTCGTCGTCATTTTGTGTCTCTCCTGCGCATGCATAATTTAGGGATTAGGCAGAGACTTGTGCATTTTGTTCACATATAATTTAAAGCATTTACTTTCTAATTTATGTCCCATGAATGTACAATTTCAGGGGTTAGGTTGAACTTATGCCTTTGATTTGAGTCTAAATACATTTCTTAGTCTTTTTATGGTGTCTCAGTGATGCTGATTTAATTTGAAGCTTAATTAACCTCAAGTGCATGAGTTTCTTTCCAGTGCACTTTTTAACCACATTTATTCCACATGAAGAAATAATTTCTTAGATATATAGATATTATTTAAAAAACTTCTAATCTTCTATGAATGTTGATGTATTATTCATATTAATAATTGAACTTAATTCTAACATATAGGTTCAACTATATCATGGTGTCAAGAAAATATAATCAGTAAAGAAATTGTAAAAATAAAAAACCTTACATTAATCTGTAGGTATTGTGCTTTTCCTAAGTGACATTTTGGAGAACAGGGCTTAATTAATGTGAGATGCTTTCGTTATTCAAAAGTGATTTTCCTAGAAAACATCTAAACAAAAATAAGAAAGTAGCAACATTTCTCCCAAGTCTTTATCTCAAATACATCATAGGGATAACAACAGGTAGCTACAACATTGTTTGACATATCACAGATTTAATGCAGTTTTTCACAGCATGAGGAAAAAACTAGTTGGTCATTTTGGCAGTTTTGCGTTCACTGATTTGAATTGTCAAAATATTTTCTTGATAGAATAAATAGAGATATATTATATTTCTTGATGAAATTACGAGTAAAATCATTTTTACTTGTAAAAGCAGGATTAACACCAAATTCGTAAAAATAACATAAATTTTGATATGGTTTGACTGTGTTTCCAAATAAATCTCACCTTGAATTGTAGTTCCCATAATCCCATCCCCATCTGTCATGGGAGGGACCCCGTGGGAGGTAATTTAATCATGGGGGTGGTTACTCTCACGCTGTTCTTGTGACAGTGAGTTCTCACAAGATCCTATAGTTTTATAAAAGGCTTCTCTCACTTTGCTTGATTTTTCTATTTTCTTGTTTGTGCTTTGTTCCAAATGTTCAAAAGCCTATCTATCAAGAAATATTTAATTTTTATATAATTCTTTTAATTAAATAGAATAAATGTTTATGTGACTACATATCTTTTAATTTAAATTGTGGTAAGAAAGCACATAACAAAATTTACCATCTTAACTACTGTTAAGTATAACATGATCTTTAAGAGTTATTCGCACAACCATGATCACAGCAACATAACCAAGAGGTATAAGCAGCCCAAATGTCCATTCGTGAATGGATGAACAAACAAAATGGAGCATATATATATGTTGTGATATTATTCGCCTTAAAAGAAAATGAAATCTTATGATACAAAACAGATGAACTTTGAGAACATCATAAATGAAATGTCAATTTTAAAAAGATGGATACTTTATCTTTTTTAAAAATAATAAATTTAACAATAGTATTTAAATTAAAAATAAAAATCACATTATTCTTTGAGTGCTTCCAGTATGGCTGAAATTATTTTATAAATTAAAAAATATATGTAAACAGCATAAAAAGGACATGGGGTGTCAGACGTGAATGTCTCCCATTTTATTTTTTTATTTTTAGTAATTATGGGGATATAATAGTTGTACATATTTATGGGGTGCCCATAATATTTTGATGCAAGCATACAATGTAGTCAACTCAAGGTAATTGGGATATCCATTATCTGAAGCATTTATTATTTCTTTGTGTTAGGAACATTCCAATTTTGCTTTTAGTTATTTTGACTTTATTGTATATTATTAGCTATAGCAACTCTATTTTGTTACCAAACACTAGATTGTATTCCTTTTATCTGATTGTATTTTGTACTTGTCAACCATTCCTCTATATCCCTGCCATCCCTGCTACCCTTTCCAGCCTGTGGTAATCATCATTCTACTCTCTATCTCCATGAGTTCAATTTTTTTTTAGCTCCCACATACGAGTGGGAACATTGAATATTTGTCTTGGTATGCCTGGCTTATTTCACTTACCACAGTGTTCTCCAGTTGTATCCATATTGCTGCAAATGACAGGATTTGATTCTTTTACAGCTGCACAATAGTCCATGTTGTATATCAACTATATTTTCTTCATGTATTCATCCATTAATAGACATTACCTTTGATTCCATATCTTGGCTACTGTGAACAGTGCTTCAATAAACATGGGACTACATATGTCTTTGATATACTTGTTTCCTGTGTGTGTGTCTGTGTGTGTGTGTGTGTGTGCCCAGCAGTGGGATTACTGGATCATAAAGTAGTTCTATTTTTAGTTTTTTGAAAAACCTCTATACTATGCTCCATAGTAGCTGTACAAATTTACATTCCCGCTAATAGTGCCCAAGGGTTTCCCTTTCTCCACATCCTCACTAGCATCCATTATTGACTGTCTTTCGATAAAAGATATTTTAATGTGAGTGAGATGATATCTCATTATGCTTCTAATTTGCATTTCTCTGATAATTACTGATCTTGAGCATTTGTCGTATACCTATTAAACATTTGTATGTCTTCTTTGGATAAATTTCTATGTAGGCCTTTTGGTCATTTTAAAATCAGGTTATTTGTTTTTTTTGTCTATTGAGTTTTTTGTGTTCTTTATATATTTTGGTTATTAATTCCTTGTCAGATGGGTGGTTTGAAAATATTTTCTCCCATTCTATGGAGTGTCTCTTCGCTTTGTTGATTGTTTGAAATGCAGAAGCTTCTTAGCTGGATGTGATCCAATTTGTCCATTTTTCTTTTGTTGTGTTTGTTTTTGAGGTTTTATTCAAGAAATTTCTTCTCACAGCATTGTTCTAGAGTGTTTCCCCAATGTTTTCTTCTAGTAGTTTCGTAGTTTTGAGTCTTTGATTTAAGTCTTTAATCCACTTTAATGGATACTTCTGCATATGGATATCCAGTTTTTCCAGCACTTTTTATTGAAGAGGCTGTTTTTTATTCAATGTATGTTCTTGGCACCTTTGTCAGAAAAGAGTTGATGCAAATGAGTGTGGATTTATTTTTGATTTCCCTATTGTGTTTCATTGGTCTAGGTGTCTGTTTTTATGCCAGAACCATGCTCTTTTGGTTACTATAGCTTTGTAATATAATATTGTCAAGTAATGTGATTCCCCTAGATGTTTTAGTTTAGTTTTGTTTTCATTTTTGCTGTTGGTCAGGACTGCTTTGGCTATTTGGGGCCTTTTGTGGTTCCATACAAATTTGGGAATTATTCAATCTTGTGCTAGAACTCCTCCTAGCCAGAGCCATTAGACAAGAGAAGGACATAAAGAGCATTCAAATTTGGAAGGAAGAAGTCAAATTATTCTTGTGTACAAATGATATTATCTTATAAAATTATTAGAGTTGATAAATTCAGTAAAATTGTAGAATACAAAATCAACTTACAAAAACAAGTTGCATTTTTATATGCCAACAGTGAACAATCTGAAAAAGAAACAAAAAAACTAATCTCCTTTAAAATAGCTACAAATAAAATAAAACATCTAAGAATAAACTTAACCAAAAAAGAACAATCTTTACAATAAATCATATGAAACATTGATAAAAGAAATAGGAGAGGATGAACAAAAAATGAAAAGATATTCCATGTTCATGAATTGGAAGAATCAATATTGTTAAAATTTCCATTCTTCCCAAAGCAATCTACAGATTCAATGCAATTTATATTAAAATAACAACAAAATTTTTCACAGAAGTTGAATGTCCTACATTTTACACATTAGATACTTTAGGTTCAAGAGCATAGTATTTTGTCCAAGGTTATATATGTAATGACCACTTATTAAAAACTTACGAGAGAGAATATTTATTATATGCTTTATTTGCTAGATATTATTTAATGCTCACAACCACTTAATGATTTAGGTTTTTTCCTTCATTTTATAACTGAGAAAATTGTGATTTCAAAGATGTTGAATAACTTCCCTAAAATCAGAGGTAGTGGAAAACAACAACAGCAGCAGCAATAACAACATACATTTGTTTTACTCAAAGCCCATGCTATGAAACCAGTAGATTACATGGCCTCTTCAGCTTATATTTACAGTCCTCTTACTTTGCATTATATCAGTATTTAAAATACCTGAATTTTATGTAACTAGTATATCACTAAAATGATTGAATTTGAATGTCTTATTCTCTCAAATAGCTACTTCAACACCACACCCTATTTTATTTCAGCAGGTAATTTAAAAAAAAAGGTTAGCTTAAAAAAAACTTTCAAACAATAGTATGTTGGCATTTTTGCCTTTATATGTAGCAAAGGTATAAAATAATGAAATAGAGGTTAAAACACAGTCTATATCCTTAATCTATTTGAGAAAGCAGGATTAACACCAAATTCATAGAAATAATATAAATTTTGATATGGTTTGACTGTGTTTCCAACCAAATCTCATCTTGAATTGTAGTTCCCATAATCCCCATCTGTCATGGGAGGAACCTTGTGGGAGGTAATTTAATCATGGGGGTGGTTACTCTCACGCTGTTCTTGTGATAGTGAGTTCTCACAAGATCTGATAGTTTTATAAAAGGCTTCTCTCACTTTGCTTGATACTTTTCTTTCCTGCTGCTATGTGTAGAAGGACATGTTTGCTTCCCCTTCTGCCATCTTTGTAAGCTTTCTGAGGCCTCCCCAGACTTGCAGAACTGTGAGTCAATTAAATTTCTTTCCTTTATAAATTATCCAGTCTCAGGTATTTCTTCACAGCAGTGTGAGAATGGACTAATAAACACTTACAAATAACTTTTTTAACTGTCAAGAGTAAGTTGAGTATCTTCAACTACTCCCTCTCCCTTTCACACAAAAATTCATCAGTAAAATGTTTCTCTGTTTCATGTTGGTGGTTTTGTTTTATTATTGTTGGAAATTTGGAATTTAGAGAATACCTTTTATGCTAGGAATTATAAACAGATACGATTATATAAAGTACATGATAGAATTAGAAACACCAGGCTAAGCACACAACATATGCAAGCAAATGGGAGTAAGTAGAGTTTAATTCTCCATAGCACTTTTGACTTTGCGATTTAATTATGTACAAACTTAGACTAGAGATCAGCATAAAAATCATAAGGCACATTTTATGTAAGAAGAGTTCTTTGCTGAGAGTAAAAGCAATCATTGATGCGGTTTTCTAAAGTTAATACTGGCTAACACTGATTTTTGTTGTTGTCATTTGGAATTTTTTTGCATATTTGTTTTTTACTTTTACACTTTTTTTATTATTATTATTAATATTATTTTGTAGAATTGGATTCTCACTATGTTGCTTACGCTTGTCTGACGCTCCTGGCTTCAACAGATCTTCCCACCTTGGCCTTCCAAAGCTCTGGGATTCCAAAAGTGAGCTCCAATGCCTAGCTTTTTTTTTTTTTTTTTTTAATTCTTCAAAGGAGTTTCATCTTATAGACGTTCTTAATTGTAAAACCTCAAAGAGTGATAAATAGATAAAATATAATGAATGTCCACACAATAAACATTTCTCCTCAATGAAACATCCCACTGGGAGATATTCCCAGGTCCATAATATGTTTTTGTTTAGCTTTGATTTGATTTTTTCAAAAAATGCCAAAAATGAGGAACAACTCTGTAATTACTATGACATGCAATGAGTTGAAGAAACAACTGGAAGGAAAAGGTAATATCAATAGAATTTGCTTATTTATTCTAATCAAAATCTGTCAATTTTCTCAATGATAACATTTTAGATAATATATAAAGTCCTGCCACAAAACGGAAGCTCATGTATGTTTTCATGATTTTTAGGTAATGTAGAAGTCCAATCATATTTGAGTGTATCCTGTGAGATCTCTCCTATGACTTATTTTCCAAGGCATTTCTGCATTAATTTTCATTTTCTTTATTCTGCTTTCACGTAGTTTTATCTGAAGATGTGGGAGAAAAATGTGACGAAAGAAAAGCAAACCTTCTTACAAAGTATTCTAGGCTTTATATATTTCACTGAGGAACTGGAATGCACAATAATTGGTAGACCCTGTAGATACATACATTAATCATGTAGTCTGTACCTGACAATTTATAGATTAAAGTAGCACTTTTGTTTTATCAGCTTGTCTGAAACTTGTAATTCTAATTGGTTTTCAGAACAGCATAACCAATTGATTTTGAAGATTATTTTCCCAAAAGAAAAGGTATAACAGTTGTTGAATATTATAAAATTGTTATAAGTAACAAAATTAGATATCTTGTGTGATCATTTCTCTGGCCTGTATGTGGCTTGTCTACATGTACAGGAGGAAATCCCTCTTTGCTCCTTCTGTATATTTTGGAGCTATACTATTTCACTCCTGAGGGTCTGCTAAATCTCTCCTTTCAGTATAATGTGTAGATAGAATAATTGAGCCGAATACACAAACATAAAAGGGTCTAACTCATAAGAAACATTTCGACTATAAACGTTAGATATAATAAAAGCCAGTAAAATTAGTTATTGCTGGAATTGTAAGATAATAGCTTCTTCCAGGCAGTCACTCTCTAAATTGGTGATTCTTGTAGGTCTTCAGGGAAGCTTACATCAATAGTAAATTTAATCAAAATAAAAGAAAAAAGCCTCCATGTTACAGACTATTTTGCATTTTTTAAGAGATTCATGCATTTTGTCAGTATAACTCATGAGTCTGTATTTCTATTGCCCTATAGCTCTATTACCAGATACATTACCATATTAATATTAGCTTACTTTTAATACATAAGATGCTAAGAATAATTTAGAAACTATACCAGTTTTATGATTTACACATTAATTATGCAATCCCAAGAGGCTTATCTATAATGCAATTTATATAGGGTAAAGATGGAGCACACGGACTCTTGAAAGAAACTGTTTTAATTTATAGTTTTGCTCTACTATTTAGTCAACTTCTTTAGTCATGTTGTAACTCAGATCTCTCAGTGGTCAAACTGACATAATAGTACCAGCTTTTAGGAATGTTGAAAAAATTAAATAAACTTTGTACTTAAAGAACATATGGTCTGATACATATTTTATATATAAGTGTTTTGATTATTACTATTACGTACACTACCTGAGTTATAATATAGATATAATTCAACCTGACCCATGTGATCCAGCCTCGCCAATATTTGCAATGCAATACTCACTCCAGCCATGGTGATTGTTGAGTTGTAAGAAAGGATATTTATTTTGTTTTATTACAGTGGTTCAAGTACAGTCAATGCTCAAACGTGCCTAGGTTCCTATATTTATAGTTCTAGATTAACTTGCGTAATCCCCTCCTTAGAATGTAAAGCTTCCACCATTATAGCAAGTTTTTGACAATTGCCTCACAGACCATAAACCATTCCCGCCAAATTCTTGATTCTTGGTGTGAAAACCAGACTTTTAAATCAGTTCCTCTTATTTCATGATGAATTTTACTGTAGATAACTGTTTACCATTATCTAGGACATTATCTGTTTCAGGCTTGGGTTAACCCAATGTATTAGTTCATTTTCATGCTGCTATGAAGAACTGCTCAAGACTGGGTAATTTATAAAGGAAAGAGGTTTAAGACTCACAGGTCTGCAGGGTTGGTAAGGTCTTAGGAAACTTACAATTATGATGGAAAGGGGAAGAAACCATGAGCTTCTTCACATGGCGCAAGGAAAGAGAAGTGCTGAGCAAAGGAGGAATAGCCTGTTATAAAACCGTCAAATCTCTTGAGAACTCACTCACTATGATGAGAACAGCGTAAGATTAATTGCCCCCTTCTGTCTGGATATCTGGGCATTTCCAGCTCCACTAGTGGCAATGTGGAAGGGAAATGTGGGGTTTGAGCACCCATACACAGTCCCCACTGTATGGGATTGGAGCCACTGTATGGAGCCACTGAATGGATCCAACCCCAAATTTCCCTTCTGCATTCCCCTAGAAGTTCTTCATGAGGGCTCTGTCCCTGCAGCAAACTCTTGCCTGGACATTCAGACATTTCCATACATCCTCTGAAATCTAGGCAGAGGTTCCCAAACCTCAATTCTTGTCTTCTGTATGCCTGTAGGCCAAATACCACATGGAAGCTGCCAGGGCTTGGGGCTTGCACCTTCTGAAGCAATGGCCTGAGCTGTACCTTGGCCCTTTTTAGCCATTGCTGGAGCAGCTGGGATGCAGTCACCAGACTGTACGCAGCAAGGGGGCCCTGGACCTAGCCCAGAACACCATTTTTACCTCCTAGGCCTCAAGGCCTGTGATAGGAGGGACTGCCATGAAGGTCTCTGACATGCCGTGGAGACATTTTCCCATTGTCTTGGCGATTAACATTGGCTCCTTGTTACTTATGCAAATTTCTGCAGTTGGCTTGAATTTCTCCCCAGAAAATGTTTTTTTTCTTTTCTATCACATTGTAAGCCTGCAGATTTTTCAAACTTTTGTACTCTGCTTCCTCTTGAATGAGGAAAAATCATTTTCTGCCAGATACCCTAAATCATCTCCCTCAAGTTCAGTGTTCCATAGATCTCTAAGGCAGGGGCAAAATGCCACTGATCTCTTTGCTAAAGCATAGAAAGTCACCTCTGCTCCAATTCCCAACAAATTCCTCATCTCCATCTGAGACCACTTCAGCCTGTACTTCATTGTCCATACCACTATCAGCATTTTTGTCAAAGTCATTCAACAGGTGTCTAGGAAGTTCCAAACTTTCCCACATTTTCCTGTCTTCTTCTGAGACCTCTAAACTGTTCCAACCTCTGCCTGTTACTCAGTTCCAAAGTCATTTCCACATTTTCAGTTATCATTACAGCAGCATGCCACTGTCTGTGGTACCAATTTACTGTATTTGTTTGTTCTCATGACACTATAAAAAAACTGCCCAAGACTGGGTAATTTATAAAGGAAAGAGTTTTAATTGACTCATAGTTCTGCAGGGCTGAGGAGGCCTCAGGAAACTTACAATTATGGTGGGAGGGGGAAGAAAACATGTCCTTCTTCACATGGCAATGGGAAGGAGAAGTGTTGAACAAGTAGGGGAAAGCTCCTTATAAAAGCATTAGATCTCATGAGAACTCACTCATTATCATGAGAACAGCATGAGGATAATTACCACCTTGATTAAATTACCTCCCACTGGGTCCCTCCCACAACACATGGGGATTATGGGAAGTACAATTCAAGATGAAATTTGGTTGGGGACACAGCCAAGCCATATCATCCAATAACCAAGTTGCTTTAGTGACTTTGAAACTCAAAATGAAGGAGGTGAAAATATTTTCTTTACCCTTGAGACCTCTAGGGTGCTACATAAATTCCTGGTTACAGATTGAGATTTAGGTAGTAGTATTTGCCAAGCATCAGTCAGCATCTAATTGATGAATATTATTAGAGAAAGAGTAGTAGGATTATATCCAATTGCAAAGCCTTTCAGAACTAAATTATTGAAAAACTGTTCTCTTTCATAACTCCTATCTTCTCTTGCTGAATTTAAAATCAATAAACAATCATTTTGTAAAATATAGAAAACATATCAATTTATAATGAAAATATTTAAATAAAAGAATTTAGATCACTTTCAGTTTCTATACTTACAGACATAACTTGAATGTTTAATTTATCTTCCATATGTAAATGTTTCTGTGAATGTGTGGTGTAGGTATGTAGACATACAGGCATCCTTAGATGTATATCTTTAGAACATTTTTTGCTTAAATGCTGTTTTTCCCTCTAGTTATTTGTGTATTCAAGTTGTATTTTGTACCAATGACTTTAATTTTTAAAAAATTCTGATTTCTATCTTTCTCTAGTATTTTATTGATTTTAAGTTAAATAGTATATATTGACAAATGGTATGTTATGATAAGAAAATCCACATGTGATGACTTCTTTCTCTTAATTGTTAATTTTTGTGGCCACATAGTATTGTATGTATTTATGGGACACATCATATATTTTGATACAGGCATAAAATGAGTAATAATCACATCAGGGTGAATGGGATATTCATCACATCAAACATTTATCCTTTGTTTTACAAATAATCCAATTACACAATTGTAGCTATTTTATTATTTATTTATTTATTTATTTATTTATTTATTTATTTATTTATTTATTTGAGATGGAGTCTCACTCTGTTGCCCAGGCTGGAGTGCAGTGGCATGAACTCAGCTCACTGCAACCTCTGCCTCTCCGCTTCAAGTGATTCTCCTGCCTCAGCCTTCTGAGTAGCTGGGATTACAGGCGCTTGCCACCACGACCGACTAATTTTTGTATTTTTAGTAGAGACGATGTTTCACCATATTGGTATTTTTAGTAGAGACGGCATTTCACCGTATTAGTCACCATATTGAACTCCTGACCACGTGATCTGCCTGCCTCAGCCTCCCAAAGTGCTGGGATTACAGGTGTGAGCCACTGTACCTGTCCGATTTTAGCTATTTTAAAATGTACAATTATTATTATTATTGTTGATAGTCACCCTGTCATGCTATCAAACATTAGTTCTTATTCATTATTTCTTACTATATTTTGTACCCATTAACCATTTACACTTTCCCCCACCACCCCACTACCCTTTACTTCCCCTAGTAATCATTCTATACTCTCTGTCTCCATCAATTCGGTGGTTTTAATTTTCACATCCCACAAATAAGTGAGAACATAGTAAGTTTCTCTTTTGTTGCCTGGCTTATTTTGCTTAACATAATAACCTCTAGTTCCATTCATGCTGTTGCAAATGACTGGGTCTCATTATTTTTTTCTGGCCAAATAGTACTTCATTGTGTGTATGTACCACATTTTCTTTACCTATTAATCTGTTGATGGACACTTAGGTTGCTTCCAAATCTTAGCTATTGTAAATAGATCTGTAATAAACATGGGAACACAATATCTCTATATATTGATTTCCTCAATTTGAGGTATATAGTTAGCCATTGAATTGCTGGATTATATGGTAAAACTATTTGTAGATTTTTGAAGAACCTCCAAACTGTTTTTCATAGTTATTGTACTCATTTACATCCCAAGCAGCAATGTACAAGGGTGCCCTTTTCTCCGTAACTTCACCAATCTTTGCTATTGCCTGTCTTTTGGATATAAGCCATTTTCACTGGAGTGAGATGAAGCATAAATATAGGTTTGATTTTCATTTCTCTGACAAGCAGTGGTATTGAACACCTTTTCATATGCCTGTTTGCTATTTATATGTCCTCTTTTGAGAAATGTTTATTGAGATATTTTGCCCATTTTAATTGGATTATTAGATTTTGTCCTATAGAGTTGTTTGAGTTCCTTATTTATTCTGGTTATGAATTCCTTGGCAGCTTGATAGTTTATGAATACTTTCTCCTATTACGTGGGTTGTCTCTTCACTTTGTCGATTGTGTTTTGTTTGTTCATTTGTTTCTTTTTTTGCTGTGCAGAAGTTTTAAAACTTGATGTGATTTCATTTGTTCATTTTTGTTTTATTGCCTGTGCTTGTGTGGTATTGCCCAAAAAATCTTTACTCACTCCAATGTCCTGGAGATTGTCCCTAATGTTTTCTTGTAGTAGTTTTGTAGTTTGTGGTCTTAGATTCAAGTCTTTAATCCATTTTTATTTGATTTTTGTAAAGGCAAGAGATGGTCAACTTTCATTCTTCTGAAAATGGATACTCAGTTTTTCCAGAACTATTTATTAAAAGACTGTCCTTTCCACAATATACGTTCTTGGCACCCTTGTCAAAAATGAGTTTACTATAGATGTATGAGTTCTCTATTCTGTTCCATTGGTCTATTTCTTTTCTTTCCAGTACCATGCTGTTTTTGTTACTATACCTCTGTAGTATAAATTGAAGTCAGGTAATGTTTTCCTCCAGCCTTGTTCTTTTTGCTCAGGACAGCTTTGGCTACTCTGGGCCCTTTGTGGTTACTTATAGGTTTTAGGATTCTGTTTTCTATTTCTGTGAAGAATGCCATTGGTATTTTGACAGAGCTTTAATTGAAACTGTAGACCGCTTTGAGTAGTATGGACATTTTTAACAATATTGATTCTTTTAATTTATGAACATAGAATATCTTTCCTTTTTTGTGTCCTCTTCAATTTCTTTTACCAATGATCTATAATTTTCATTGTAGATATCTTTCAATTATTTGGTTAAGTTAATTTCTAGACATTTTAGTTTATTTGTGGCTGTTGTACATGAAATTACTTTCTTATTTTCAGATTGTTCACTGTGGGCATATAGACATGCTGCTGATTTTTGTAGGTTGATTTTGTATCCTGCAACTTTATGGAATTTGTTTATTAGTTTTAATAGTTTTTCTGTGAAGTCTTTAGGTTTTTCCAAATATGTTTATGTTATCTACAAATAAGAATAATTTTATTTCTTCATTTCCCATTCGAATGTTGTTTATTTCATCATATTGTCTGATTGCTCTAGATTGGACTTCCACTATTATGTTGAATAACAGTGGTGAAAGTGAATATCCTTATCATGTTCCAGATCTTAGAGAAAAGGCTTTCAAGTTCTTCTCATTCAGTATAATACTAGATGTGGTTTTGTCATATATGGTTTTTATTATGTTGAGGTATTTTTCTCCTATACCCAGTTTATATCCTTGCATCACTGGGTAATAGACACTATTTTACTCTCTTCACACATTTACTAATGTGAGGAGGTCTGAAGTTAGAATTATTTTTATTCGCTTATTAGTAATGTGTTTTCATTTTTCCCAAGTGGAATATCCTAATATAGTGTATATTTTTATGGAATTTAAAAATAGTCTAGATTTGGTCTGGGTCAAGACATTTTTAAAACTAATTGATTTTGCCTAGTACACTGTAAATCCTATTTGTTCCAAATATTCCTGCACAGTTAATGAATATCTCAATGGTCTTGATTTCTCATTTATCTCACTCAACATTTCCCTATTTATTTTCTTGTATTCAGGCTTTCTTTGAGTTTTTTGATAAGTTTCTCATATTAGTCATCCAGCTCACCAAGCTAACTTTCTGAGCTATCCATGAGGGTGTTTATTGTCTCTATTGTAGTTTCAAATTCAGAAATCATATATTCATTTAAATGTATCTATCCATATCTAAGTTCATTTACAATATGTTCTTGTTTTACTCGGAAAAAAATGGTATATTTTTCTTGATTTTAAACCTGTAAATTTCTAAACAAAAATAATATTCCTAATTTCTAAACAATAATAATATTTTAGCTGGATATATTACTATTATTTGTTATGGTCTACACTTTATTTTCTAAGGACAGACACCTCGGTTTTATATATTTTGAGTCTTTACTTATCTGAAAACATTTCTCTGCTATGTTAACATTTGAATAATATCTTTCCACAGAATAAAAATTTTGGAAAAATTTTACTTCTTTCACTTCTATTACCTATCACTGTTTTGCATAGAAAGGCCCAAGTTAAGCCATGTTTTGTTCTTCTGTAAATAATTATTCTTGCCCTGCATCTATGCTTCCAGAATTTTATTCTTTATTTCTGAAATTTTTTTAAAAAGCAAATAATTTTGAGCTTCTTCTGGCCATGAGGGCAGAAAAGAAAGCGGAATTCATCTCCACTATAGACAATTGCAAAACTGAACTGAAGAAGGTATCATCTATTTTAAAAGACTAGAAAACAGGAATTATGCGAACTCTGAGAAAATGGAAAGAAATAAGGAAATCTCTTTCATTACCCAGGCTTTCTGCTTGAAGGTAATTTCTAGACTGACTCAAGGAAGGATACCCAAGTAGAGACCAGCATTCCTGCTAATTTTAAAAGTCAGAGATTAGAGATTGATGATGCTGAGGCAGATATAATATGCAAAGCAGGTTATCCAAGGGTAAGGAGGTAGGCAGAGAACAAGTTCTAGAAATCATCATGGTGGTCCTATTGAGTCATTCATTTATTTAAAGATTAGGGAAACAATATTACAAATTTGAGAAGATCATGTTCTAGGGAATATAATTATGTGAGCATGGTGAGAATTCTCATAGGTCATGCGGTGTCAGGAATTCTAAACAGATAGAATGAATTGAGCACATTGAATATACATGTTATTTAAATGGTCAGAGGAACCACATGTTAAAAATGAGGTTAATTACCACGAGAGTTAGATTCACCTTAAAAGAGCAGATGCCAAGGGAGGAATAAAAGCAGGGCCCAAGGGGCAGTGTGGCTTCTACCACAGCCTAAACCTGCTGTAGACCCCTTTACCACTCAAAATCTCAAAATTTCCTTCCTTCCATGTCACAGAGTATGGATTGGAGCAGTATGCCTACATGTGAAAAGTGTTCCCTCCAAACCGAAAGAGGCCTACCACATTCTGTGCCTCCTTCTGTGTGGTGGTGAGCACTATATGCATTAATTATCCCTTAATTTGCAAAAGATATCTCTGGCCATCTCATCCCTACAGACATTAGTGAAGTGGCAGGTTTTTCTCTCTCCCTGTGCAGTACATGTGTCTCATTAAGGCCTCTGGCATACCATCACCTGTTATTTATCATGTCTGATTAGCATGCTGTCATCAATGTGGTAGCTCAGTGTAATGTTCTGTGGGTTGTCCAGGTGGTCTAGCTCTCCTCAGGCTATATTTTGACATAAGACAGCAGAGGTAACATAGCCCTGAGCAAAGTATAAATGAACACTGTCATCCATCCAACATGAATGCAAACTGTTCTGGATCCCTTTTCTAATCAGAACAGAAAAAAAAAATTTTACTCAAATGCTGTCCTAGTAACTAGCTGACAGATGACTCATGCATGCATGGAACAGACTCAAGAAACAGTTAAATTCGGGAAATTGTAATGTGATTTGGGCTATTGGGTTTAAATAGATAGAATTTAAGGTTTAAATCTAACATAGTTAATTTCCTGCTACATCAAAGACATCAATACTCTTCAGGAGAATGTAACAAATGCAAAATATTAAAGAAAAAACTACAATGTCCAGGATACAATCCAAATGAAAAACAGAAAAATATCGTACACACAAGAGAAAACACATTCAAGTCACAATAATCTCCATGGTCAGAATGTTAAAGCAACTATTATAACTACAGCTAATGAAGTAAATTAAAATATGCTTTCTATAATTGAAAGGTGAGAAATAGCAGCAGTAACGTACACATTTTAAGAAATTAAATATAATATAAAATTTAGACCTAAATTATACCATTTTCAATAAAATATATGTGCATGTGGTTAATGAGGAAAAACAATGGTGACAAAGGAAAGAATCAGTGAATTTGATATTAGATTAATAGAACGTATTTGCTCAGAAAAATAGATTAAAAAATATGAAAATAAATATGAGTAGAGTCTCTGGGACCTATTAGGCAACATAAAAATTTCTGACATTTATGTGATCAGAGTCAATAAAGAGAGGATAGAGAGAATAGAGAAGAAAATATTTGAATATACAGTGTCAAAAATTTTCCTGAATTTGCTGAAAAAAATAAATGTAAAAATTCAAGAATTTCAGGTTATCCCAAACAGGATTAATATAAAGACAGTAATACCTAGACTCATTATAATCAAACTGCTGAACATCAAAATTAAAGAAATTCTTGAAAACATCTAAGGAAATTGGACACATTACATCTCAGTTACCAATAATGTATTGTTTACTGACTTTTCACATCAGATATCATGAAAAGAAAATCTATCAACCTATATGTATGTGAACACATATTTTTTAAGAATTAAGAAAATGTATAGACATTTTCAAATGAAATAAAATTCAAAGAAACTTTTACTATCACACTCACAGTATGAAAAATGATAAAGGAACTTCTTGAAGCTGGAGAAAAAAGACATCAGGTGGAAAATTCTACCTCCAGAAGAAAATGAAGAACACAAGAAATGCTAAATATCTAGATTAGTACAAAATATTATTCTATTATTGTTTTTAAAAATGCATGAGATGTTTAAAGCAGCAATTATAATCCTGTTATATGGGGTTTGTAATGTTTATAGCCATAATGCACATGACAAATATAACATAAAAAACAGAGTAGATGGGAAAAGCCTATGTGGTTGCAAGGCACATACGTTTTATATAAAAAGGTGCAATATTAACTTAGTGTGAAATGTTAAGACTGTATTATGTAATCACAAGAATAATCACTAAAACATAAAAACAAAAAGAAATAACTAAATTTTAATATATAAATTAAGACATAGTTATATTTACATGTAAATGCAATATTCAATAATTCAAGAAAAGGCAGGATTAAAAAAATAGAAGAGGATTCAGGAGACCATCAGAAAACACACAATAAAATGATAGATCCATTTTGCATAACCATACCTATAGGTACATTAAACGTTAATGGAACAAACACTGTAGTTAAAAGTCCAAGATTGGTTGAATGAGTAAAAAATACACTCAACCGTATACTACCCATAAGTATACATATTTAATATAAATAAACACATCGGTTGAAAAAATTATTAGAAAAAGATAAACAATAAAAATAACAAACATAAGGCTGGAGTGGTTATATTTATATCTGATAAGATAGACTACAAAATAAAGATTGCTACCAGTAAGTAAAAGAAACATTTCAGAATGTTAAATAATCCATTAGCAATATATAAAAATACACCTCTGGAGTGTGCATTCATTACTAATTCTTACCAAAAAAAAAGTATTAAAAGAAATATTTAAAATACCCCAGCCTGGGAAGCTCAGGGAGACCTTATCTCTACCAAAAAATAAAAATAAAAAATTAGTCAGGCATGATGGCACATACCTGTAGTCTCAGGTATTCAGGAAACTGAGGCTTGAGTGTGGGAGGATTGCTTGAGCCTTGAAGGTAGAGGTTGCAGCGAGTCATGATCAGGCCACTGCACTCCAGCCTGGGTGACAGAGCAAGACACTGTCTCAAAAACAAAAAGCAGCCAGGTGCAGTGGCTCACGCCTGTAATCCCAGCACTTTGAGAGCCCAAGGCGGGCAGATCACAAGGTCAAGAGATCGAGGCCATCCTGGCCAACATGGTGAAACCCCATCTCTATTAAAATACAAAAAAATTAGCTGGGCGTGTGGCACACGCCTGTAGTCCCAGCTACTTGGGAGGCTCAGGCAGGGGAATCGCTTGAACCTGGGAGGCAGAGGTTGCAGTGAGCCGAGATTGCACCACTGCACTCCTGCCTGGTGGTAGAGCAAGACTCCTTCTCAAAAAAAAAAAAAAAGGCAACATTTTCAATCATATTTAGTATATCACTATTTTACTTGTTAGCAATTTAATTACATACAGTATTAGAAATCATATCCTTTAATTTTTTATAACACATATTGTCATAACTTTGATATTCCATTCAGAGTTTATGATGTCATTTTATTTCTCATATCATTTGAACAATAAAGGGAAAGTGTTTATGTTAGGGAATAAATTCAAATAAAGATCCAAATTGATGGTCAACTGATTTATCCCTTTAAGTGAACTAATTACTTAGTACTACTATTGTTATTAAAGCATAAAAAGCTGAAGGTATTTTGAAATTTTTATAATTATTCTAAAATAGCTTACTAATTATAACTCATGATTTTAACTATCTTACTGTTTTAATTGTTTTCAGATTTCTAGTAATGAAAAGTCAGGTTACTTATACATATTACTGAACTTTGTATAGCAATTACTTTACAAGTTTTACTGTAACATGACTAATAATTTAGAAAAAATACTGATATTCTAAACTGGAATTATTATTTCATCTACTGTTGGGTCCCCTTAACCTAGATCTACTTTTCTGTTCTCATTTTTTCTTCAAATTTGCAACTTTTGGTGAAAGAAGTGAAATAGAAGTGACTTAACATTAAGAGATTCAACAATTAACACATCAGTAATTCTATCCCCTCTTCCCTTTTTCTCACCTTTTTGGTCATCTAATCTTAGCTGCAGCATCTCTAATTCAGTATGTGAAACATTGATAGATAATAACCACTTTTTACTTTATTTTATGAATAATTTTTCCCTGAGGACTAAAATTGAATAATAAAAGCTGATCTTATATTTAAGGCTTATAGATTTTAGACATCTGGACACTTTTCAACTGAGAATATGGATTAATATATAAATGAACATCTTTATAACTTCATGGACAGTTTGGACACAAGAAAATAATTCTTATTTATGCAGAATCACTGTCTGGCACAGCACGATTGATCTACTACTTTAATTTATATTTATAAGGGTCTTCATACCTATCACAAAAAGGGAGTTAATGATTGATAAAACTGGAGTGATGTGGTCATATGAATATTTGTTGCTTAATTGGGATTTTTCTTCAGATTTCTTTGAATAATTGATATCGGCTCAAACACACATCCCTCTGTGAATGAAGTGGATTTATAAAATAAATTTGCATTTGTTTTGTGATATATTTTTGTTCTTGTATAGATCTTCGAGGATCAGGGAATTAGTATTTTTTTATTTGAAAAATTTATCTTTCTGCTAACCTCTTTATTAATACTGATTAGGCTTTACCTTATATCATTAAGAGCTAAACATTTCTAAGCAAATAGCAATAAAAAGCTTATATTTTTCCCAGATATATAATCCCAAACAATTTACCCAAAGGTATTTTCTCAACATGTTTCATTCAATCCATTCCAATTTCTCATTATGTGTAACATATTTGACATTTGCTTTTTAAATTTTTTCTGGAATATCTTCTCTTTTCTACAAAGGCTAAGTCCAGTTACAGGCATAGATATTTTGGTGGCTTTTTTTCTACTATTATATCTCTTATTTACTTCTTCTCAATTTTTATATTTATACTTTAGGCCATACAAGAAAACATCAATTTGTATCTGTCCTTGTAATTATTTTCAATGTATGTTTGTTATTTTTATCAAATTAGATCATACGCTTTTTGGGACAAGTATTGTATCTTGTATTTTCCTCTATCATCAAAATGTTGAGCCTAATATTTGTGATCTAGTACAGTAACAATAAACACCAATATGTTGATGCTTCATTTGAGAATTCTAGTACTATTACTTCTTAAATTGAGATTTTTAAAAATTATTTAAAAAATTTTTGTGGATACATAGTAGGTGTACATATTTGTGGGGTGCATGGGATGTTTTGATACAAGCATGTAATGTGAAATAAACACCTCATAGAGAATGGGGTATCCATCCCCTCGACCATTTATCCTTTGAGTTACAGAGAGTCCAATTACATTCTTTATTTTTAAAATACACAATTTAGTTATTATTGACTATAGTCACCCTGTTGTGCTATCAAATATTAGATCTTATTGATCTTATTCATTCCTTATATTTTTTCTTGTACCTATTAACCACCGGTGCCTCCCCCTTAACCCTCACTACCCTTCACAGCCTCGGGTAACCATCCTTCTACTCTCTATGTCCATGAGTTCAATTGACTTGATTTTTAGGTGCCACAAATAAGTGAGAACATGCAATGTTTGTCTTTCTTTGCCTGGCTTATTTCATTTAACATAACAATCTCCGGTTCCATCCATGTTGTTGCAAATGACTAGATCTCATTCTTCTTAATGCCTGTCTAGTACTCCATTTTGTGTATGTACCCCATTTCCTTTATCCATACATTCATCGATGGACACTTAGGTTGCTTCTACATCTTAGCTACAGTAAAAAGTGCTGCTGCAAACATGGGAATGCAGATATCTCTTTAATATACTGATTTCCTTTTTGGGGGGTATATACCCAATAGTGGGAATGCTGAGTCATATGATAGCTCAATTTTTAGTTTTTTGAGGAACCTCCAAACTGTTCTCCATACTGGTTGTACTAATTTACATTTACACAGTGTACAAGGGCTCCCCTTTCTCCACATCCTCACCAACATTTGTTATTGCCTGTCTTTTGTATATAAGTCATTTTAACAGGGGCAACATGATATTCCATTGTAGTTTTGATTTCCACTTTTATAATGATCAATGAGGTTAAACACATTTTCAAATGCCTGCTTGCCATTTGTATGTCTTCTTTTGAAAAAGTTGCTATTCAAATATTTTGCCCATTGTTTGATCAGATTCTTAGATTTTTTTTCTATAAGGTTGTTTGAGCTCCTTACATATTCTGATTAGGAATCCCTTTTCAAATGGGTAGTTTACAAATATTTTCTCCCATTCTGTGGGTTGTCTCTTCACTTTGTTAACACAGTTTCTTCAATTAATGGTTCTGGGAAAACTGGGTATCTATATGAAAAAGAATGAACCTAGACCCCTATCTCTCACCATAAATAAAAATAAAATCAGGCCGGTAGCGGTGGCTCACGCCTGTAATCCCAGCACTTTGGGAGGCCGAAGCGGGTGGATCACGAGGTCAGGAGATCGAGACCATCCTGGCTAACATGGTGAAACCCCGTCTCTACTAAATATACAAAAAATTAGTCGGGGGTAGTGGCGGGCGCCTGTAGTCCCAGCTACTCGGGAGGCTGAGGCAGGAGAATGGTGTGAACCCAGGGGGCGGAGCTTGCAGTGAGCCGAGATCGTGCCACTGCACTCCAGCCTGGGCGACAGAGTGAGACTCCATCTCAAAAAAAATAAATAAATAAAAATAAAATAAAATCAAGTTTGATTAAAGACATATCTAAGACCTCAAACTATGAAACTACTACAAGAAAACATTGGGGAAAATCTCCAGGACATTGTTCTGGGCAAAGACTTCTTGAACAATACCCTACAAGCACAGGCAACCAAAACAAACCTGAATAAATGGGATTACATCAAGTTATTGGGTTGGTGCAAAAGTTATCGCGGTTTTTACCATCGAAAGTAACGGCAAAAACCTAGATGACTTTTGCATCAATGTAATAAATAGCCTCTGCACAGCAAAAAAATACAATCAATAAAGTGAGATTTTTCTGATGGCTCTTCTCACCAGACTTCCATTCTGTATTCCAGTTTGTAATCAACTGACTGAATAATTCCTCACGCTCCACTGTCAATGCATTGAGGGGTGAATGAGTATAAAGAAGATAAAAAAGGGAATGCAAAGCTTGCCCTAGATTTTTGTGTTTGATATTTTCTAATTCCTACTTTAGATGCACTCTCCCACATTGCTTATAATTTAATATGCTTTAAGAAACTGACTTATTTGGCCTGCATTAAGAAGGCATCTTGTCCTCTAGTTCAGTGGTCCCCAACCTTTTTCACAGCAGGGACTGGTTTCATGGAAGACAATTTTTTCCATGGACAGGCAGTGGGTTGGGTATAGAGGGATGGTTTAGGGGTGATTCGAGTGCATTACATGTATTGTGTACTTTATTTCTATTATTATTATTACATATTCACCATAATGTAGAATCAGTGGAAACCCTGAGTTCGTTTACCGGCAACTAGATGGTCCCATCTGGGGGTGATGGGAGACAGTGATCACCAGGCATTAGATTCCCTTAAAGAGCATGCAACCTCAATCCCTCACGTGTGCAGTTCACAATAGGGTTCATGCACCTATGAGAATTTAATGCCACCACTGACCTGACAGGAGGCGGAGCTCAGGCAGTAATGTGGGCTTGCGTGCTGCACACCTCCTGCTGTGCCGCCCTGTTTGTGACAGGCCACAGACAGGTCCCAGTTTGTGGCCCCGGGGTTGGGGACCCCTGCTCTAATTTCTATGTGGTTTTAGCTAATGGGGGTGGGAGGGGACTGGTAAGATTAGAGGAGGGAAAGGGAGCCATCAGTGTACATTTTCCTTGCCTTAGCTCCCTTCCTGATAAGGCTTAAACTGGAGGTGGCTGCATTTCTCTCCCTTGGGCACCAGTTTCTGTCTTGTGGCTCTCTTAATTAAATTCTAGCTCTCCCTGCCTTCTGGTAACCTCTCCTTTTCTTAGTTTCTTCAGGACTAAGGGTGATAAATCTTCTTAACTCTGGCTACTTCTGGGGTGTTTTCCTTTGATGTTTGCCCTTAATATTGCTTTCTTTCTTGTAAATGAAGTTGCCCCTTTATTAGTCTCCTCAGTTATTCTGGTTGTGCTATATTTGGGTGGTTACTCTAAACTATGCAATGTTTTATGTGAAGGATGAAAAGACTGCTACAGTGTACCTCTTATACTTAGTTTTTCTTCTAAGTTCCTTTTCAGAGAAAATATTTGTATTTGATATCAATGAAGTAAGTGTTAAGAGTTGGTGATGTTTAAATAAATGTAACCAAGGCAACATTACCTCCAAAGGGGAAAAATTCAGCTCAGACTGACCTTCTGGAGAATTAAATGAATACGAAAAGAACATATTGGCAAGGAAGCAATGACATTTACCAGCTTCTTAAACAGGCATTGTGCTTTCTTAAGTCCATAAGAAAACTAGATGAAAAGATTTCAGAGTGATTTGACAAAATGTTGGAAACACCATATAAAAAACTTTGGTTGACATCTTGTCATGTCTGCAAAGTCAGATGTTCTTACTCTCCTCTACTTGATGTAAGATTAAGGTGCTACGTGACAGATGGTTTTAAAAAGTACATCCATTCCATCCGGTCCCAAATGGAAAAATGAAAGTCACCCACAACTTTTCATCTAAATACTTGCAGTGAAAGGATTCTCAAACTGAGATTTAACACTTCACCAAGGAATTCTATAAGATTCCAGTGATACAGCCTTTCAACTATCTCTCCATTAAAGACATTTTTTCCCACTTGCCACCCTGGAAAATACAAAACTTTAAAATACAGTGTGGTAACCTTAGAAAGCTCCAGAATCATTTTATGGCAGTGGCATTTGGCTCAAATTTTAGTGACCTCTACCTTCAATTTGACAATCTTACAGGTAAGGGTCTTGTCCATTAATCTATTCTGTTATATAAATAAAAGAAAACATTTAATGTGTTGTTTATCTTACTATTTGCATTTATAATTTTAACCAAAGAAACAAAATTCTAATAATGGCATTTCAGTCCTGGCACATCAGGTTGAGAGTAGCTTTATGGATGTAGAACATTCCCAGTGTATTGAATTTTCCCAGACATAAAAAAATTCTTATTTAATGCAGACCCAGTGTTCAAAGAGTTAAAAATATTAGGTTGAGTCAATCCTGTAGAAGATGCAATGAAATTTAATTAAATGTCATTGATGTTTATATAATTTCGCGTTAAGGGGAGACTACTCTTTAACAGTACCCAGCAGATTTTTTTGTTTTATGATAAAGGATAGTGAGGTGAGATTGGTGATCTTATAAAAATTGGATGCAAGATAGATATGTTTGTTATACAAGCTGGGGTGATTTTTTTTCCGTGTCAGAATATTTCTGCACTTTATTTCAAAGTTTTATATAATTATGAAATAAAGAGGGAAAAGGGTCAGCCTAAGATTAGTAAGATAGATTTATAGTAATTTAACAATGTATTCATAATAATTAACAGCTAATGACTAACAACTGACATTTATATAAAGAGTTTAAACTTCATTGTTACATTCACATATGATACATGTGTAATGAATGTATGAATAAATCTATGTGACATAGAATATTTTAAAATGTTAAATGATGCTTCACTGAGGAATTAGTAATGCATATGTTTTATTAACGAATCATTTTATTCTTTTGCATTCTAATTGGGAAATACAAGAAAATATAATTCTCATATTATTTATCTATTTCACCCTATTATTATGTTGAGTATATAGTGCTCTGGAGTCTGTGTGTGGAATGTTTTTTAGACAATATTTTGGATGTCTTAGAATATGATTATACGGAATATGCAGCTATTGCTTAATTACTATATATGACAACTTTATTTAAATGTTTAATGAATTGGCTAAATATTAACTCTTCTTCTGGCAAGAATCATGTATGTGCATTTAAGGCACAGAATATTAGTCATATAGCTGATTAGAGATATATTGTCATGAACAAAATTGTATTGTTATTTTTTTCTTCTTTTCTTTCCTTTCTTTTGAAGTATGTATGGACTGCCAAATCTGTGCCTAAAATTGGGCTAACTATAGTATTTAAAATAATTAATATATATATATATATATAATTTTTGCTTTTGAAAACTAGTATGCTCATGGTAAGACATATAAACACATATAAGTGAATAAATATTTTTAAATTTGTGATGCATACAGTTAAGCAAACAAACAACAACTAGAAAATTCATCATGACCAAATGGAGATTATCCGATTATTCTAGAATGAACGGTTAGTTCATCATTTGAAAAAAAAAAATCCGTGTAAGCTTTCATTTTAAGGAAGTAAAAGAGAAGAAACACATAATCCTATCAATTATGATATGGTGCAGAAAATGCAGTTTGTGAAATTCAGCATCATTTGTTAGAAACTCTGGCACACTAAAGTTCCTAATGAATAGAATTCATTAGAAACCAAATCCTACCCAAACCTAACATTACTCTTAGAAGTTAATGTCTGAATTATTTTCCCCAAAATTTGTTAACACTGCTTCCATTTAACATTATGGCAAGTGCAATGAATGAAGCAAGAATAATAAAGTCATGAAGACTGGAAGTAAAGTAATAAAACTTTCTCTATTTATAGATAAAATGATTGTTACATAGAAAAATCCCAAGAATTTACAGGAAAGCTCCTCAAACTTATAGGTGAATTTAGAATATTCAGTATATTTCCAATATATTAGAAAGTCAACATTCGAAAGCCAATTTTTCTATCACATCATTTATGATGTCTACAAAATATTGAAATAATAAGGTATAAATATAACAAAACACATATAAGATCTGCATACTAATAACACAAATACAGGCAAAAAGAATAAATATACTATGAAAAAATGTCAATCTCATAAATTGGAAGTCCTAGCACCATTCAAATGACAGTTCCTTCAAATTTAGGTATCGGCTAAATGCAATTAAAATAATCTGAAAATACAGCAAAACTTTAGGGCAAGAATTCAAGGCAAATGATTGAATCATAAATTTTTAAGGGCTAGCTCATTGTTATGGTACATAATCATTTCCAAAAATAAAAATATGAAAACAACTTATTTATTTTCTTGAACTACATTATTGTTACAGGATCCTTGAGGTGTTGCTTTACCAGCCAGAAATCTCTGTGGCCAGTGGTGCCTTTGCCAGTGGTGTGAACCTGTCAAGGACGAGCCAAACAAGGAGTGGTGAGGGGTGAGGGAGAGAGTAAGCGTGGGGTCCAGCCACTGCACACAGCCAGGCACACCAGCTGTAGTGGGGCAGGCAGCTCCAGATGCCAGTACAGGTGCTGCCTCCCTGCAGCTGGACCAGGTGTACTGCAAGCAGCTTCCATGGCTAGCACCAGGGAACATGGTGGTGCCCGGAAGCTTGGAGATGCGAGGAACTGCACATCCTTAGATAGGCTTTCACAGCCCTGGCTCAGGGAGCTCCTAGGTCTGGGCTCCTTGAAGGGCCACAGCTCTTCTCTCCTTCTGTCTTCTCTCCTTCTTTTTGCCTGCAATGTGGCGAGCAAAGGGTGTGTTTTAGCCCTGTTTGTGTTATAGCTCTTTTAGCCCCCTCATTCAGCAGGTCCCAAGTTCTTGTCCTGTGTCCAGGAAGAATGAGGTACAAGGGCAAGTGGAGGGTGAGCAAGGCAAAGAGGAGCTTTACTGAGTGACAGAACAGCTCAGAGGAGACCTGCAGTGGATAGCTCCTTTCACAGGCAGGGCATCCTGACAAGTATTCAGCTCTCAGCAGAGAGGAGGCCCACAGTGGATAGCTCCTCTCTGCAGGCAGGCTGTCCCAACAAGTGTTCAGCTCAGCAGAGTGGAGACACTGGAGTGGTAAGTTCCTCTCCACAGCTGGTCATCCTGGCATCTGCTCAGCTCTCAGCAGAGAGGTGACCCTAGGGTGAGTAGCTCCTCTCTTCAGCTGGTTGTCCTGTTGTCTCCTAGAGTCTGGCTGAGTCCAGGGTTTTCATAGGCCTCAGAAAGCAGGAAGTGTGCTCCAACTGGACCATGGGCAGCCATGGGCAGGCCCAGAAAAAGCACCACAAGTTCCCACTGCAGTCTGCAGGACTGGCAGCCTACAGGACTGGCAACTGGCAGCCCCGCCCCCAGGCTTCAGGCCCTCCCTGGCTCGAAGGTGGGGTTTTACTGGGGACCAACCCCCTTCCATCCAGGACCCTGTCTGCCATTCATGGCACCCAGGCTGCCATTCATGGTGCCCAGGCCGTTCATGCCAAGTGGCATATGCAGGCCAGCGCTGAGCTGCCCTCAGCACCCCCTCAGGCTCCCTCCCATGCTCATCGGTGCCCAAAGTCCGGAGGGGGCCAAGGCGGCAGGGGGTTGGCATATCAGTGCTGCCTCAAGCGCCCCACACCCGGCCAGACTAAGATAGTACCTGGGCTCGGCCCCAACCTTGCTCTGAGATCAGAGCAGGCGCCAGGACTGGAGAGAGGCAAGGCAGCAGGAGCAGGCATTTCCCAGCTTGCAAGGGCAGAGGGGCCTTCCTAGGCCCCCGAGAGTGCCTGGATCGGAGGACGCTGCTTGGGCAGCTGCAGCTATGCGTGGGAGGGCAGGGCTCCTGCCTGCTCCTGGCCCCCAAGAGCACGGGGAGGCCTGGGTCTGCAGCCATGACTTGGTGGCTGCAGCTGTGCCCAGAGAGCACAAAGCTGCCACCCTGCTGATTCAGAAGGGGGCAGGGCTTCCACCTGTTCCTGGCTCCCGCTGGCTTTGTGGAGCATGCAGCCCCAGCTGCGCCTCCCCCACTGCAGCTGGCATCATGGTAGTGGCTGTTCTAGATGGGCAGCCCCTGCCATCATTATTACACTATCAAGTAAATAAATGGATAATTTTGTTAGATATGAAGAAGATGCTCCAAAATTTATACTAAAAATCAAATAATAGTCAAAAGTATTTTGAAAATGAAAAACAAAGGCGAGGGCTCATGCTATATGATTTTAAGATTACTAGGTAGATACAATAATGAAGATCTTGTAGTATTAGAGTAAGGATAGACCACAGATAAGTAAGGTAGCTTTAAAAGTCTAGAAACAGACCCACACAAATATTATCAATTGAATTTTGACGGAGTTGCAAAGGAAATTCAATGGAGAAAGAATAGTCTCTTGAGCAAATTATGTTGAAGCATGAATCATGAAAATGAACTATGACCTTCTTTAACATCTTTACAAAAATTAACTCCAATTGAATTATATATCTTAAGGTGTAATATAAAATTATCATGCAGCTTTTTTAAAATAGGAGCAAACCTCAATGAAGTTAGGTTATGCAAAAATTATACCTGACAACAAAAGCAAAACCTACAAAAGTTGGACTTCAACAAAATGATAAACAAGCAAAAACACAATTTAAAAAAATGGAGAAAAATTTGAAGTAACTTCACCAGAAAGATGTACGAATGACAAATATCCTCATGAAAGATGTTCAGCATAAATTTCCAATACGTAAATTTAAATCAGAGACAAAATAAATAATAGTATTATGCCATACCTATTAAAATGAATATGATTAACTAAATCAACAATATCAAGTGCTGACAACAATATGAAGCAACTGAAACTCTGAGAGCTGCTAATTGGAATGCAAACATGGTACAGCCTCTTTGGAACAGAGTTGGACCATTTCTTGGAAAGTTAAACTTGCTTTTAACACCCAACATCTCACTTCTAGGTACAGTTCCTAGAGAAAAACCAACTTATATTCACGTGAAAACCTGTACAAAAAATTTTTATAGCAGTTTTATTATTAATTGTCCTAAACTGAACCAGCTTAAATGCGATGAGAGAGTGGAAAAACAAATTATAGTATACCCATACAATGGAATGCTACTGAGAAATAAAAAGGAATAAATGATTTGTAACTGAATGACATGGATAAACCTCAAAAACACTACGTTGAATAAAATAAATCAGTCTCCAAACATTACATACTGTATAATTTTATTTATACAAAATTCGGTAAAAGAAGCTACTCCAGGGACTGAGAACACATCAGTGATTGCCAGAGATTAGGGTAAACAGTTTGGCTATGAAGGGGGAGCATGAGATCATTTTTTAGATAATGGGATTATTGTGCATCTTTACTGTGTTGGTGTTTATGTGAGTTAAAACTCATAGGCTATAAACAAAAATACTGTTATCTTACTGTACATAAAAAAAAAAATCCTGAGCTACCATACCATAGCTATCAAACTGGAAAAAATATATAGACATGTATTTTTTTTAAATGTGGGAAAGATGAAATTTTATACGCTGCTAAAGAAAGCATCATTTTATATGAAGGGCAATTTGTTATATCTAAGTCCTGACAATTACATTGCTACGTAATTCCCAGAAAAAGCCTCTAGGTACACATGGTAACGGGCACAAAAGTGTTCATACTAGTGTAATGGGTATAGCAACAATTGGAAATCACATACATGTTCAGTAAATAGTTGTGATATATTCACTTAAGGAGATGTTACACAGAATTGGTAATACATTCACTAGTACTAATTTTTCATTGACTATGATGCTCACAGACATAATATTAAAGAAATAAAAGAATTATAAGATCAATGTATATCACTTATTAGAAAAATTTTAAACATGAAAAATATTGCTTATGTATTATATAGGAATGCATTATAATTTAATAAAAGTAAAAAGATATTCATAAAACTGGACATTAGAACATTGAGCATATACATCATCTGCAGAGTGGGGTGGAAAAAAGGTATCATTATATGATTAGGTATGAATGTATTGAAAGATTTATCTGTATTATTATAATAATGTAATTCTTAATGTATGCAGTGGATACCTAATGTTTTGTCCTATATTTATATATCTAAGATATTCTATAGGATATTTCTTAAAGAAAATATAAGGAAATACTAACACACATGAAGTGGTTAGTGACTGAATGATCTGTCTTTTCAAAGAATGACTAAATTTTAAATAGCTATACAAATAATGGAACATTTATCTTAATGGACATTATCATTAATGGCAGAATTTCCAAATATGGCAAAAACCTCAGATGGAGGGAGTTACTTGGAGAAAAGATGTCTTCACAGAGACCCATTATATATCATGTATGAATCTGTAAACTGTCTTTGTAAAAAAAAGTTGGACTTGAGTAGCAGAGTTGCAGGTTACGGTGGAGCAGCACGTTTTTGTATTACTCAGGTAGAACCCTGGAAGGAATGTGATTTTAAATTTGTCATTTTTAACTCATTGTCATCATATATTATACTTTTGTACAGGATAAATTAAAAGAGAAGTGGTAATGATATTTTCTTTTTTTATCTGGCAATAAGCATGTCTTTATACATTTCTCCAAAGAAATTTGTCCTGAATTATAGACCTCACAGGAACGGCAGATATAACACAATTTAAGTTAAATGCCTTCCCTTCATAGACATACTCATCATTTACACAAAGTCTGATGCAATCATGATGTAGTAATTTTGCTTTCCCAAGTTGATGTGTTTTTCAAGACTAAATGGAAATGCCCTCTCTTCCAGAAAGTTTTATTACATTTCCCATAATAAATATGATATTTTTTTCTCTATGGGATTTCTTTTTGCATCACTAGTTTAGCTTTGGGGCATCTTTTGACCTAAAACTTACATACTGGCACCTTGCATGTATGTCATGCTTAGCCAGAGTTAACTAAACTTAATATTTCATATAAAAATCTGGATTCCTAATTTGTCATATTCCCTGCACATGAGATTAGTTACATAAATGGTCTTTGAATTGAATGCACAAGTTTGCTTTGTTTTTTTTCTTTTCTTGTTCCATTCTTTTAAAAATACATGAAGGAGGATAGGAAATGGGAAGCACTTAAAAAGGCAGAGAAAACAAAACTATTCACAATTTTTGAAGGGGTATATAAAAACCAATAAATACAATATTCTTGCCCTGTGGAAGCTTATAAAATGCTAATAGAAAATGTGTACCATGTGCTTTTAAAACTGTGTATTATTCACCTGACTGAAGACAATGAATAATAATTCCATGGATATCCAAGTTGGTATTTTTTTTTTTTTACTGTCCTCTTGCAAAAATAAAGGCAGCCAACCAAATTTCTGGCATAGGGACTATGCTTACAATCTGCCAGAGGGATTTGCCTGGAAATTAGAAATTAGCATTTTTACAGCCTGGTGTTGGGAAATTGACAACAAAGTCAAATTTAGATATACAAAAGTTTACAATAGATACTGTAATATAGGAATAATATATTCTTGGGTTTTAATACATGAAAGATTCAATAGCATCATTACAATTTGACTAAATCACTGTGCCATAACAGGATGAGACCATATTTTTAGAAATTATTTTACTAATATTTTTGCATCTCTCATTGCCCTCACATTAAGTTGGAGTTATTGAATAGAGTGCTCATTGCCCTCACATTAAGTTGGAATTATTGTCGTACATGCCTTTTGACGTTAGGAACTTCCAAGTCGGTCTCCTGGTATTTATTTCTATTCTTCTCCTATCCATTATACCCTTGTGGTCAGATGAGCTTCATAAAACACAAATCCAATTGTTTCATAGTTTTCATTAAGCCATTCAGTAGTGTTCAACAAATCCTTAATGTGATTTATGCAGTCTTTTTACATATAGTTCATTTACTTAGCTTTATATTCTGCATTTTTCCAGTTCTATTTTTCATTTCTATTTTTCAACAGTGTAGAAGCACCATTGTCTTCATCTTCTAGCTCTATGTCAACTCCAGGCTTGCTTTTGTGTTCTTCTGATAAATGTAGCACATTGTTCATTCCTTATATTTCAGTTTAATTTTCCTGCTGAGTTCAGCTTTCCTCCTAAGAGAAAAATTAAAGGAGGAGACTGGACTATCTTGTCTGAAGTCTGTCTTCTCACTTTGAGGCCATATCACTTATTTATTTTCTTATGAAGAACTTTAATAATCTGTATTTTCTTAATTATTTTATTTTTATTAAATCCTACCTTTCTACCTCACTAGTTTTGGAAGAGCAAGAAGCATTTTTTTTTCCTCACCATTGAATGTTCAGTGCCTGGAATTGTGTCTGGCACACTCTCAGTGCTCAAGAAGTACTACAAAGTGAATAGATTAATAAAGGAACAAAATGTCTCTCCCATATCCAATGTCTTTCCTACATTTAAAGAAAATTTAGCGGACTTACAGCCCCCAAATTCTCTGAAAAACAGTTTCAAGAAAATTTAAAATTTGACACACAGACAATTGTGTTTCATGCTTATCTTAGTTGAATTGTTTTAATGTGAATTTCACAAGTTATTTTGCTCAAAGAGTTTCCTTTATGTAACACAGGAAAAGTGTATCTGAATCCATCCCTATAATTTCCCTGGAGCTGTTGTTGTTATTCGGGATATTATTCAATGAGCATAGCCATGGGGATTGGTCTTGTTGAATATATGGGAAGCCTCATTATACACTCTTGAGTTTCCATTGTGGTGGGGAATCCGCTAACTCAACTAGTCTGTAGTTAACTAGGTAATTTTCTATTCATGCCTAAAGCCTAGTAATTTGTTTATTTCTGTCCCATATCTTAACAATGTAACTAAAACAATGCAATGTTTAAAAGCATTTATATATAACACAAGATTACTTAAGTGGTTTTAATAGGTATCCACGCAATTTAATTTGTTCAGTTGCTATAATTGCTATAATTTATTATATATTGTTATGTTACTAAAACCTTAATCCTGATAGCAATGAAGTCTGAAAAATAAAAATTTAAAAATAAATGGTAGGTTAAAATTTGAAAAGGCAAAATGATTCTCCTTGTTTCCTTTCAATTTCAACAATTTCTTCTGTGAGCCATGAAAAAGAAGAATCTTTTAATCATGTAATGAAATAATTTAAGTCAGACAGGCAGATAAACTAAATACCAAAAACATTTTGTTGGTAGGTAGCAATTATCTTTATGATTCTTTATAATTTTGTAGCTCCTCCTACATTTAAGAACTGCACAGGGACTTACGAACAATATTCCTTGGCTGTAGTTAACTATGCTGATTGATTAATAACGTTTATCAAGTATTAGTAATCAGGTGTTCCATGGACAGCAGGGGTAACTATACAGAGAAAACTAAAAATATCTGTATAAATCCAGTTTTTGAAGTTTATGAAAGTCATTTAATAAACTTATTTGAGAACCTAAACCACAAATCAAAAATAAAAGAGGAAAAACACAAGAACTATGCAATGACTGACCTTTGACAAACACATTGTTTCCTTCTGAAATAACATGTAAAGGTGATTAGCAACTGAATGCAACAAGATACATTTTTTTTCAGACATAAGTTATACTGAGATTAGCATGCCCACGGAGGACTTTTCATATTCTGATGTCAAAGAGAACTGGGGTAATTTACACCTGGAAAATAAATCCAGTTCAAAGGGATAGATAAACCCCAAAGTGTAACAAATTAAGGTTAATGAATCATTACAGTCTCTGTAACAGCTGAACTCAATTGCAGGCTGGACTATGCTGTATGAACACAGAATATTTTGGCAATCTTTCTGGACAGATGAACATTTAAGCCCCCATCTTACTGTGAAATTTGAAGTTAACTTTCCTAGATGATATGGCTGGGAACAAAACAAAAATTTAAAAAACCTTATGTTTATTTGCATAGAGGTGTTTATAGTATTCTCTGATGGTAGTTTGTATTTCTGTGGGATCAGTGATGATATCCCCTTTATCATTTTTTATTGTGTCTATTTGATTCTTCTCTCTTTTCTTCTTTATTAGTCTGGCTAGCAGTCTCTCTATTTTGTTAATGTTTAAAAAAAAAAAGAGTTCCTGGATTCAAAATTTTTTTTAAGAGATTTTGTGTCTCAATCTCCTTCAGTTCTGCTCTGATCTTAGTTATTTCTTGTCTTCTGCTAGCTTTTGAATTTGTTTGCTCTTACTTCTCTTGATTTGGGGTGGAGAGTTCTGTAAATGCCTATTAGGTCCACGTGGTCCAGAGTGGAGTTCAAGTTCACATTAAAAAGCTTATCCACCATGATGAAGTCGGCTTCATCCCTGGGATGCAAGGCTGGGTCAACATACAAAAATCAATAAACATAATCCATCACATAAACAGAAGCAATGACAAAAACCACATGATTATCTCAATAGAAACAGAAAAGGCCTTTGATAAAATTCAACAATCCTTCATGCTGAAAATTCTCTCATGGATGGAGATGTCCAAGGTGACCTTGAAAGTCATGGATTGTAGGTATCAAACTCTCAGTCAGCTTGAGTCCTTCCATGATGGCATAGAGGATAAGACATCCCCCAACCCGTAAAATAAACAGAAAATATGTTTGTTTTGACACATAGCACAATGGCCTATTTATTGGAGTAGCCTAGGATACCATAATGAATGTAGTATATATAATGACTTGAAAAAAATATAAGCTAGAAATTACGTATTTAAAAGTCATCTTATCAGTGAGACTCATGAGGAAAAAACACCCATTAACTGGCTGTAGGAATGGTATAAAAGAGTATTACGGTGATGGTTTTGAGTTTTAACTCTACTATTCATGTAACCTCAACTAGGATTGTTGACTTTTCTGAGTTTTTAAATGGTTTTAACTGATTGTCTTAATCAGCATCAGGTCATGACAAGCATCTAAATTTTAGGCATAGAAATCTCAGCTAGAAACAAATACATGTGTGTGTTATTTATAAATTGCTCCCATTTCAACAATCATAAACTTTGAACAATAAAATGGAACAAATAATAAAAGTAACACATGAAATTCAATTTACCTGTTCAGATATAATTTGTGTTTTACTTCTTCGCTCTGGGAGTCAAAAATATAACAACACTGGCTAACTTACTAAGACCAAATAAATTTTGAGGATAACTACTTTACAATAACTATTTCTTTTCGTTTTCTTTGTGATCTAATAAATATTTTTGCTTGTTAGTCTTTTATTTAACAAACATATTTTTATCCTAAGAAGTAATCTTGGCAGCAAATTCAACAATAATGCTGGAAATACTATATAGAGAAATCATTATTTTAAAAGTAACTATAATACATGTATTTTTTAGACTCCCTAGCTTATAGATTCTAGATGAGATTCTCTTCTTAAATCATGGCAATTAATATATCTCCACAACTCAACAGTAAGTCCTCATTTCTTCTGCTATCATTTCTCTGAGAGCTGTCAAAGGGAAGGGGTTCAGCAGGGACCTGTGTATATAAGTAACTGAGGTATACAAATTGGCAGTGAGCTGTTACAGTACCTTGTAGAGAATTTACAGTCCCTTTCAGTATCAATTCGCCATTCCCTGCTCACTTTTATTGATGTTTTACTGTTTCACCACATTGCTGATGCTGCTAAAGCCACTAGTAGTTTTTGCAAACTTTAAAGTGCCTATATCCCCTGGGATGGGTACTTTTTGTTCTGCAATCACCATGACGCTGCATTTTATTATTATTATTTTTCAATTCTTGATGTAATAGATTATTTTCAAATCCCAGAAAGTTTCAGAAATTAATAAATATATTGTGGCTAACCCTGAAAAGATAATGGTGATGATGATGACGATTCAGAAATAATAATAATAAAAAAACAAAAAATGGAGTTACTATGTTATAAAGAAAGGTCATATCTGGATTTGTCTAGCTTAAGGGAAAAAAATAAAAGACTATGAAGTGACTTCATTATTGGGTATAAGCAAAATAAAAGACTTTATCAGTATAGAGCCACATCTATGAAGTTTAACTCTAGAGCCAGAGTCATTTTAGTGAAATATTAAGAAAAAACATCTTAGATGATAAGAATAGTAAAATCTTGGAAGTTCTACCGAGAGAGCTTGAAGGAATTTATCACTGGAGTTCATTAAGCAGAGAATGACAACATTTTAACTTAGATTATACGTACAGATTATATATTTTAAAGACCAGGTCTCTCTAAGTTACTCAGGCTGGCCTCAAATTCCTGTGCTCAAGTGATCCTTCTGCTTCAGCCTCCTGAGTAGCTGAGACTATAGGAACATGTCACCACTCCAGTTGATTTAGATAATTTAATCATTCATCTACTTCAAGGAAAAGGGTGGGGTTTGATGAGTTTTCATTCTGTCACCACCAAGGCTAAAACAGAGAATCCCAGTAAATTTCTCACATTCTAAGAAAACTTCTAAGTAAGCTCACAAATCTAAGCAAATTTGTCTCTCTAGATGAACGTCATTTTTCTTCTATTAGGATTGGTCCTGGATTGATTTTTTTAAAAGTATGGACATGAAGATATTATGATTCCAAATGACAGGAAAAAAACTTGAAGATAGTATTCCGCATTGCAATTTCTTAACATTTCTGCAGCATTTCCATAAAATGGTATCTTTCATATGGAAGCACATATTTAAAATTAGAATTTATTTAATACAATGAACAAGAACAATATCACTTCAATTCAATTCACAAATGGCCTTTATTGCAACAGCCATGGATCAAGTACATATTTTCACTCTTTAAGCAGAAGGTTGAATATGTGCATTATGATAATCTGACTACGTCACTATTGGAAGAGGATTATCATAGTTGTTCAAACACTATTTTTCCTGTTCTTTCAAATGAATAAAACTACATTTTTTTCTTGTAGTACAGTATAACTATCAGGTATAAATGAAAAAGTCAATGCAATTTAATTTTTAATTATATTTTTGCTGTTTTAATGTTTAGGCAACCACGGATATGCCAATTCAAATTTTTTAGTTAGGTATAGATATAATTGGAAAATAACTTAGAGTTTTTTTATATCATTTTATCTGTAATCAGATAACAGAATTGAAAGGAAATAGCTCTCACAAATAACAAGTACATTTTCATATGTATTTGCATAGATATACACAGTATGAAAGCAAGTAAATAAACAGAGTGTAGAGGTTTCAGAGGTATACATGGTAAAAAAAAAAAATTTGCTCCATAATGTACTACCCTTTCTGCCATTAAACAACAATTAGTGATGTTATTTAAGCGGAATTTAAATTATCTAAAAAAAATATTTACTTTTCTAGGTTTTGGCACATAGAAACAAAAAATTTTCTCTTGACCCCAAAGTTACTTGTTTCATTTTTATAAAGGGTCATTCTAGAAATAAAATTCACGAACATATTATGCATAGAGGAAAACATTCTTTTCCTAAATAGAAATGTTTCTTTGAGGTCAAAAAACTCAGAAAAACATAAGCATATTCTATTAAGAACATTTGATCATCAGAAAGTATGTCTAAGACAGTGAAAATGCAAACCTCCAAGTAAGACATTTGCTGTCCATATATCTAGTGAAATTCTTGTATCTAGAGTACATAAAATGTTGCTTCAAACTGAAAAGAAGAAAGAAAATAGATAACCGAATGGGAGAATGCAATAATGCAGGCACTTCAAGAAAGAAGATATCCAAATGACCAAGAAACATGTAGATATGGGCTCAACCTTGTTAGTTCTCAGCAGAATAAAAATTACAACAATGAGAAATTATTAAACAACCAAAATTGCAAAAATTAAAAATAGTGACAATTACATATACTGGTGAAGATGTGGAGCAACCAGACTTTTCACAGACTGCTGCTATGAGTATAAATTTGACAAGCACTCTGGAAGTATTTACTGATGATGAACATGTGGTTAGCTTACGATCAGGCAATCCCACTGTTTTTGTATACTTAATGGAAATATTAAACATATTCACTAACATTCATAACCAGGAACATTTATAGCAGAGCTTTTATATAGCCTCATACTGGAAACACCCAAAATGTCAATTATCAGTGAAATGAATTAGTAAATTCTGAAATATTTATGCAATGGAATTCAGTACAACAACAAACAGAAACAAATTACTACTATATACAACACCAGGAATTAATCTTACTGGTATATTATTAAGCAAGATAAATCAATTAGAAAAAACTAGTTCTATATGATTCAGAAGCATCCAAAACTCATTTGTTGGGATATTCTAAAAATTAGATAGTGGTTATATTGGACAGGAATAATGAATAGGTAGGGGCACATAGGGGACTTTTTGAGGTCCTAATAATACACTGCTTTCAATTTGGGTGCTAATTCCAAAGGGTCACCTACTTTATGAAAATGAAGAGTTTACATACATTTATATACACACACGCACACACACGTATATATGTGTATATATATATACACGCCTCTATACTGTATGTAGCTATCTTTACTGTATGTATCTATATTTACTTGCAACATTATAAACTTATTTTCATCTCATTATTTTCAAAATGTGTTACTGGTAGTAATGTTAGATGATAAATGCCTTCATTTGTTTTACCTACAAGATTCCAAAGGTAAGATTATTCCCGGTTTTTATAAATTGATTCTAAGTATTAAATCCAATAAAGAGGACTTACAAACACAGGCAATTCACAACATAAGAAAGATTATTTCATTTTAAATCTTCTTAGGTTCCTTTGTATAATTCCCTGGCATCAAGACCCTGAACTTTGTTTGGGTCATCTGGTCTTGTTCATCTTCTTATGGGTCTCTCATTGTTAATATATCATGTGGCCTATACTGCACAATATCTCCATGTTTACATAGCTCAGAACCCTTCTTGTAAAGTTAGACCCTATGTATGTGGTTTATCCATAGTAAGGTAGAGATTTAATTATTAATTGATTGTGCTTCCTTCTTATATGTTCTTTATAATTCTGACATGAACTATACTTGAAATTCCTGTGCTTTAAATTCTCTAACATTTGCCTACCACTTATCTGTGGAATCAGGGAATGGGCATTCTTTTAATAAGCAGCGGACTTTTCACCTAGTTGGGATTGGGATGTGTGGTTGAGGGTAGCAATTAAATTCCCATTGATGAGAGAAAACACTTGCTGTTTGGAGGTGAAGATAAAAAACAGATTTCTCTTTTACCCATCATGTATAGCCAATAGAAATAATGACTTCTTATAATTTAATCACTTAATTTCCAAAATTAAGTCAGTTACTTTGACACTTTGACTTCCAGATATTCCTTTCTTAGCACTACTATAGACTTATTGCCTAGGCAGGGTGAATCCAGGATTTGTGGGTCTGAAACTTATACAATTGGAAGGATTCTTTAAGCTGGAAGCCTTTATCCTCAACAAACTAACACAGGAACAGAAAACCAAATACCACGTCCTCACCTATAAGTGGGAGCTGAACAATGAGAACACATGGACACAGGGAGGGAACAACACAAAATAGGGCCTGTCAGAAGGGAGGTGGGGGGAGGGAGAGTATCAGTTTAAATAGATAATGCATGTAGGGCTTAATACGTAAGTGATGGGTTGAAAGGTGCAGCAAACCACCATGGCACACGTTTACATATGTAACAAACCTGCACATCCTGCACTTGTATCTTGGAACTTAAAATAAAAATAAAAAAATATATTACAAAAATTTTTAAACACCATATTAGATATGCAGGTGGATATTTATTCTAAATGTTAATATTTTACCAGGTTGATTCCTGGTAAGGGTTCATTACATAAAGGGTGTAAGAGCTTATGTGTCAATTTCCTCATGTTAAAGGTACCCCTTGCCACAAGGTTTTTATGCTGGTTTTAATTTGAATTTTTTTTTTACCTGAATTTTCTGATACTTATTCCTGTGATCTGGTGATAAATCCTGTTTTAGTCATTCCAAAATTCTAACTGCAGATTTCCTTATTTAGAAAACAGTCATAATTCTATTTTCTATCCACTGAGATCTACTAATTTGGTGTTCCTACTAAAATGTCCTTCTGTTACATGGGTGCCCATTTTTCTTACGTCTATAGGACTTTGCATCTTTATCTAAAATACCTCTCCTCCTTGTTGAACAAAGGCAATCTTATACATTCTTCAAAGTTTATTTTTTTATTTTATTATTATTATTATTATTATTATTTTTTGAGACAGAGTCTTGCTCTGTCGCCCAGGCTGGAGTGTAGTGGCATGATCTCTGCTCACTGCAAGCTCCACCTCCCAGGTTCACACCATTCTCCTGCCTCAGCCTCCCGAGTAGCTGGGACTACAGGTGCCTGCCACCACGTCCAGCTAATTTTTTGAATTTTTAGTAGAGACAGGGTTTCACCGTGTTAGCCAGGATGGTCTCGATCTCCTGACCTCGTGATCTGCCCGCCTTGGCCTCCCAAAGTGCTGGGATTACAGGCGTGAGCCACCACGCCCGGCCTCAAAGTTTATTTTAAATACAACTCACTGAGTGAAGATAGATCCCTTTGTAGTGCCAGTTACACTCTCCTGTATGCCTCCCCTCATTGTGTTATTACTGTGTTCACTTATATTCTTTACATAGTGGGTAGTATTTTCTTCAGGAGAAAGGATTGTGCCTTTTTATTTTATATCCTTACCCAATCACCTCACACAGAGGAACCATAATAGGTCCACACTATATAATCATGCATGTGTGTTGACTGCCTTAATCTCAAATAATAAATCGGATTTTTGGTGAAAAACCATCAAGGTATGATAAAACACAGTGTTTGAACATGAAGATTTTGTTCTATTGTCCCAGAAACAATGCAAATGTGTATATGTGTTTAGAAATATATATTGTATTATATTATTGTAAACTTGTGGGAGATAGTATTTGAAAAATGGAGTGTCTATTTTCTAAAAACATGTTTAAATAATAAGTGATATTCTTGAATAAAGGACTATTTGGAAATAACCTGCCCCAATCTGTCTTCTCACTCCAAAATGATGTCCTTCAACATTTAATCAAAGAAAAGGAAAAGGAATTGGTTGCCTAAGCAGCTGCAGATCACCTTGAACAGAAACACAGAAACATATTCCAACTGTTTTGGAAAAAAAATAGAGCACCAATTATGCTTAAGAAACAAAAGGGAAGCCATCCTGAATTAATACATAATGAAGGAAGTGGTAATTATTTGATCCAAAGGTTTCCTGAATCTCACAGTTCTAATGTCTTTTGGAACTGCTTCATGCCGAGCACAGTATATACAGACAGGAATGTGAAATGAAGTCATGTTGAGGGCTCTGGGGTGTGACAAAAAGTTGCCGTGCCTTTTAAGAATGATTGAATGAAATGCTTTGTTCTCCAGTTTCAGCAGCCAGCTCAGGCTCAATTGCTTTGGAGCATGCCATATTTATTAGAGACAATACAGAGAGAAGCAAATGTATCAGCCACAACTCTATGCACCTCCTAAAGAGGGGCTGGGAATCAACAACTGAGTAATTCCTAGCCAAGTGTTGCCAAAGTAAACAAAGTTTCAATCCTATTAGCAAATATGATCCTTCTTTAAAGACTTATATTAGCTTCTTTCACAGAAGCTAAACAGCCAGTTTAGTCATTTCTCTCGGTTTTGATTTTTAAATGTGCTGCAATATAAGTCAATCAGGCAGATTTCCCTACTCAACAGAGAGAGATGACACAGTAGATGTCCTTGGGCATGTTCTATGGGCTCTTGAAATCCTTTTCTACCTTAGTGACATAAAATCATTTTGATTTCAATGTAAGCACCAAAAAATGATACCTGACTGAGTAGTTCATTAGATAAAACTGGTCAAGAAGCTAATTTTTATTATTATTGCTCTGAGGACATAAAGAATGCTATGGGTCAAAATCCTTTAAAGTATGTTTAGTTGTAGAAGAAAATTAACTATTTATTGTTTAAATAAGTTTTCAAATGAAAGTGCTAAGTAATTTTCAAGTTTTTTTTTAAAAAGATAGATATAAATTGGATGCCTTCACTCTTACCTTTTCTCGAAATATTTCCTGATGCATCAGTCCCCGTTAAACAATTATTTTTGTATACTACCATATTAATTATCGCTTTTACACTTTCTTTTTTTTGAGGCGGAGTCTCACTTTATCTCTCAGGTTGGAGTGCAGTGGTGCAATCTTGGCTCACTGCAACCTCCACCTCCCGGGTTCAAACCATTCTCCTGCCTCAGGCTCCGGAGCAGCTGGGATTGCAAGCGTGTGCCACCACACCTGGCTAATTTTTGTATTTTTAGTAGAGATGGGGTTTCATCATGTTGGCCAGGCTGGTCACGAACTCCTGATCTTAAATGATCCACCCACCAAGGCATCGCAAAGTGCTGAGATTGCAGGTGTGAGCCACCGTACCAAACCTGGCTTTTACACTTTTAATTCAATGCAGTCTAAATGATAGTTCAACAAGTTTTTTCATTATGACTGAAAAGCTTTTTTAAAAAAACAGAATTTTACATTGCATTTTCTGTAGCAGACCTGCTGCTCCTGAACATTTGACAAAAAGTAGGGAATAGATCTGTGTTTAACAACTCTAGCTGAATCTCTGCTCTCTTTCTAATTAAAAAAAAAAGTTTAATTCAAGCTATCAGCCAATTTTCCACTGCATAGATATTACTAGGTTAATGGAGAACTTTCAGTTCTTCAGCTTCTAAAGTGCTTTTTAGAAAAGCTGATGTTTCATTCTCACTATCACTTCAGAATTTTCAGCAATATGAGTTACCACATCACCTTGAACAAAATTTTTCAGCTTATACTTTGAAATATTCAATATTATTTTATTATCTATTACAAATAAATGCGAAGGATTTCTGTGTCAGAAACATAATCATAATTCCCTTGTCTTTTAAAAAATATTCACTATCCTCAGTTAAGAAATCACAGTTCAGATTATTTGGAGATTAATGTCTTAGTGATATAAATTATTATCAACATATGATACTACTCTTGTTTAGAGATAAGGTTCTTGGGTAGGGTTGAGCTTAAGATTTAATAGCCATGCTTCAGTAAAATGCTGAGTTCAGTAAAAATGAACTTAGCAGTTATAGCCATGACTTCTGAAACTGGGGAAGGCTGACATTGATGCAAAGTATGGCTTCTTATTCAACACTTACTAGGGACAAATCACTATCCAAGGTAATGAGGGGAATCCTACATGGGCAATATGCCTGGCAATTCTTAACCAGCATGTTGAGACTTATATGTGATAAAATTTACAAAGTAAAGCACAATAACCTAATAATGTTCAGCCTGTTTCTAATTACAGGGATCAAGCAGTTTGCACTGTAATAGCTGTAAGTGTTCTCTGCAAAGTGTCCACCAAGTATCCATAAATACAGTCCTAATTCAGATCTGGTTTATAGTCCCAGTTTTAGTCATAAGTGGCTATATGCTCTTGGACAAGTTTCTTAAACTGTCTGGACTTCAGTTTAATAAATAATAATATTAGGCCATTTTCTAGTATTCACTTAACCCTAATATTATTCAGTTCTAATCTTGAGAGAGAACTCAGTATTAAATTGTATGCCAGAGTACATGTGGCTACAATAAGAATCAATTTTGACATTAACAAACTATCTCCTATGAAACATTAATGTTCCAATATGCTGAACCAAGCTTCTGGATATTCATTAGGTTTTGTTAATGTTAGATGGTATTATTGCTTTTCATTTAGGAAAACTGAATGAATAAAGCAACTGAAGTCAGGCAAGTATTCTAATAACACAGAAGTTGTACCTCTAAAGTGATTAGTACGTGAGTGAAGTATATTTGCATATTTAGGAAATACACATAATATAATGCGCTTTTTCTTATTTCTATGAATATATCCTTTAAAAATTACCTAAAGATAATTGACAGTATTTCCAGCCTGTATTAGTCCATTTTCATACTGCTATAAAGAACTTCCCAAGACTGGGTAATTTAGAAAGGAAAGAGGTTTAATTGACTCACACTTCCACAAGGTTGGGCAGGCCTCAGGAAACTTACAATCATGGCGGAAGGCAAAGAGGAAGCAAGGCATCTTTTTCACAAGGTGGCAAGAGGGAGACATGCCAAGTGATGGGGGAAGAGCCCCTTATAAAATTATCAGATCTCGTGAGAACTCACTCACTGTCATGAGAACAGCATAGGGGCAACAGCTCCCATGATTCAATTATGTCCACCTGGTCTTTCCCTTGACACATGGGGATTATGGGGATAATGGGGATTATAATTTAAGATGAGATGTGTGTGGGGACACAAAGCCTAACTATATCACAGCTCAAACTTCGAACAAGTTGTTAATGTAACTTTTGCCAAAATAAAAGATTCATTTTGTTTACAAATGAATTTACCTACATTTACAAACGAATTTACCTAATTAATTTACCTAAAATAAATGAATAGTTAACTGGAAACATTCCTTTCTCATGTAAGCTGCAGCAGAGATTTCAAGTAGGCTCAAGGCAAATTTGACAATTCTTTCTTTGCTTAAGAAACATATTTGAAGATATATGTTATATTTTTATAAAAATGTTTTAACTATTACATATATTCTTTCAGGGAAGGCACCGTGAAGAGAAAAATCATTACTGTTAAAAATACTGTAATTAATTTAAAAAGTATTATACATCTTGGCTATTGTTTCACTTTCTCTCTCTAGATCTCACAAGTGTATTTTCTTGAGTAGAAAAATATATTTCAATAAATTTTTCAATTTATGGTTGTTTATTTTTTAAAAGAACATCTACAAAACTTTATAAAAAAGTTTATCATTACCTTACTTTTATAAAATATCAATAGTAAGGAAAATGACAAATTAAATATTTTATGCACATGCTAAAGAATATGTTAATTTTTAAGGTGGTATAAACCTTAGGATGTCTTTATTTTCGATTAATATTTTACGTATCATGCTTTTTTCTCTATTGATTGTTATTATCTTTCATCTTTCTTTTTAAAGTCATACATAATATTGTTTTGCTTAAATAAAAGTCTATTAAATATATTCACACCAATTTGAAAGGAAATTTTGATTTTCATCTTTAGTATGATACAGAAAGAAAAGTATTTTTATATCAATGGTGAATTCACATTTTGATTGCTAACAGTAAAAAATATAGACTATTTAATCTTACTATTTACAAATAATTTGTGAAGTTATAACCAACTATAAAAGGTTTACATTAGAAAGGCATTTTAAATCTTTCAAAAAGAATCACTATAAATAAAAACATACTAACACTATGTATCTTTTCTAATAATAGAGTGTTACAACTTTTTACACATATTAGTTTTAAAGAGTATATGATATGCAAATTTCAAATATGTCTTTCAAATCTAGTTGAAGCAGAAACATTTAATAAGTTAGCATGACCTTGCACTCAGTGGGAATTCTCATTTTTTTTTAAAATTCTTTCACCATAATTAAAAAAATACTGGAGGACAAAAAGAATAGAAATATATAACACTACCAATTTATCAATTAGATTCAGTCATAAAATAGTTCATTGAAATGTTTTGCTTACACTATGTGTACTAGTTAGCTAAGATTGCTGAAACAAAGAATGATTAACAGAGTGGGTGTTGTAAACAATGGAAATTTATTGTTTCACAGCTCTAGAGGCCAAAAGTGCAAAGTGAAAGTGTGAGAAGGGTTAAGTCTTTCTAAAGTTTGAGAGGAAACTCAATAGATGGCTGTCTTCTCCCTGCTTCCTCACCTCATCATCTATGTGTATCTCTGTGTCCAAATTTCTCCCTTCAGTAAGGACACCAGTCACATTGGATTAGGACTTACACTAATGACCTCGATTAAGGTGACTATCTCTGTAAAAAAACCCCATCTCCAAATAAGGTCCCATCCTGAAGTACTGGGGTTAGGACTTCAACATATTTTGGGGTGCACAATTCGGCCCATAACACTATGTAAATATTTGAGTAGGTTAATAATTTGACTTATTTTCTATTACAATTTTCAAGAGCTTATGCATAGGTATAACCTGAATTTCCATGAGAAATACACGTATTTCCTATGGGAGATATCAATATTACTGACAATATTGCCATTAAATAAGATGGTGGACATTATTTTTTATTACTTATTGTAATGGTTAATTTTATGTGTCCACTTGGCTTGGATAAGGTGCCCAGTTGTGTGGTAAAACACGTCTAGATGCTTCTTTGAAGGTACTTGTGAATGTGAATACCATTTACAATCATTTGACTTTAAGTAAAGCAAATTATACATCATAACAAAAGTGGGCCTCTTTCAATTAGTTGAAGGCCTTGAGAAAAGAGAAGTTTGCTGGGGAAGAAGCAATTCTACTTCAAGACCGCAATGTAGAACTCTGCCTGAGTTTTATCTGGCCTGTCCTACATATTTTAAACTCAAGACTATGACATCAACTCTTACTTGAATTTCCAGCCTGCTCGAATGCCCTACAAATTTCAAACTTTCCAGCTTCCACAATCACATAAGCCAGTTCTTTTATATAAATCTTACATATATATATGTGTGTGTGTGTGTGTGTGTGTATTTCTGTTTATATACAGAAAGAGAAAACGCATTAAAATATTTATAATCCTATTATCAATACTGTTTTGTATGCATTTGATATTCATTATATTAGGAAATATGGGATAGACTATGCCATAGTGACAAATAATTTCAAATCTCAGGAGCTCAAGAAAACAAAAGCCTAGATCTTACGTATGCAACTTAACCATTTTGTATTGGTAGGGACATCTGCTCCTCACAGACATATAAATATCTTCCATATTGTTACTCTTATCTGCTTTTCAGTGCTTCCGCCCACAAAAGACATGCACCGTTTTTAGTTATAGCTCATTGGCTGCCATTAGTCACATGGCCCTACCTTTGTGTAATGCAGCTGGGGAGGGTCATCATCTATGAGTTGAGGAGAAAAATCTTAAATAATTGTGAATGCTAGTAATGCCTACCACAAAATGTGATTAAAAACACTTAAAGAAAGTAATATCACGGCCGGGCGCAGTGGCTTACGCCTGTAATCCCAGCACTTTGGGAGGCCAAAGCTGGTGGATCACGAGGTCAGGAGATCGAGACCATCCTGGCTAACACAGTGAAACCCCGTCTCTACTAAAAATAGAAAAAAATTAGCTGGGCGTGGTGGCGGGCGCCTGTAGTCCCTGCTACTCGGGAGGCTGAGGCAGGAGAATGGCAAGAACCTGGGAGGCGGAGCTTGCAGTGAGCTGCCATAGCACCACTGCACTCCAGCCTGGGCAACACAGTGAGACTCCGTCTCAAAAAAAAAAAAGAAAGTAATATCACTACTTCAGAAAAGTCTCTATTAACACTGTCTTGTTTTTGTCTTTTCTGTATTAACTTATCCAACTTAATTATTTCTCTCTTTAAGCATTACTCTTCTGTTGTTCTTATTATTTCTTTCTATATTAATACTTAATTTCGTCTTAGCAGAAGTAACAGTGTGGCATAATGATTAAGAGAAGCTAACTTGAAGCAAAATAGTCCTGGAGTTGAATTCTAGCTGTGCCCCTTACTAGCTGTCCCTTGGATTCCTACAATTTAGCAACATTGATTAGCCTTAGACTCAATATCAAGCTTAACCTCAGAATATGTAGGAAATAAAAGGCATACTGTATATAAAGGACATAGTATAATTATGCCTTAGAAATAATTAATGATCAATAAGTTGTAATTTCAATTTTTAATCATTGAATTATTTTGATTCTTTAAACAAATTTTAACATAGTGGTCTCTCTCAGTAGTTTACTCAGGCCTTGCTAAATGAAGTGAAATAGTGCCTTGTAACATAATATGCTATATCTCACTCTCCATTACTTCCTATGTTTTCTAAATCTCAGCATCAACATTTCTGCTATAAGACTATATACTAAGGTCATTGTTATGAAGAATTCATTCATTGTATAGTATATTTCTTTAATAATTATACTCATCTGACAATTTTATATTTTTAAATACATTACATATTTATAAATGCACCAAAGGGATATATTTGGGTGAACTTTTCAAAGGAGAAGAGCTAACCTTCTGATAACATGGAATATTTGTAGCAAATTAGTTATTGATTCAATAACGTTTAATCCTCTATTCTATGACTTTTATCCTAATAATTCTGTCATTTTTTTAAAGGCAGTCACTTTCAAAACATATTTACCATTTATATAAATGTGTAGTTGTACAACCATGAAGTTTAATCCAAGAGTTGGAATACTGTTTACAAACCTTAGGATTTCAAACAATATTCTCAATCTTTCTGATATGCTCTTTCATAAAATAACGATAATTATTTACACCTTTAAGGGTTTGAAACTTTAAGAAATATCAGTATATGCAAAGCAACTAAGACTCAAAGGCAGAATATAAGTCTGAGGTATTCATACTGTGAATGTGAACGTGAATGTGTGTGTGGTGGGAGGGGATGGGGATCCGAAAAGAGAAAAGGAAAAAGAGTATGCCTCAAAATATTCTCATACCAGTGGGTAAAATAGGAGTAGCCGTATCATTGCTGACAGTGGCCAGGAAAAGAATGCCCATGCTTAAAAGGGCAGGATTTATTTTGTAAGGTAATTTTAATTAGTGTTTTGACAAAGATACAACTTTTGTAAACCAGGTATGATTTTTAATTTTTTTAATCAAAGAGATCCACTTTCTTTAGTTTTCTTGAAATCTATAGCCTTTTAATTTAATTTAGTTGTTACTTTTCTACTTATAATACACGAGAATGTAAGAAATATTTTAACTTTTTTCTTAACCTGATATTCAGAAAAGAAAAACAGTATACATGTCATGATAAGTGAAACAGGGCAATTTGGCTTCTAAATACAATAGATCTTAGTGAGCTGTAGATTTTGTACCCTTTAAGATGGAATTCAGTTGAATTCATCCCATTATTTGACAGTCACATTTTTCAAGAGAAGAGGGAAATTTGGAATTACATGTAAAAACCTTTCCATTTTTAAATGTGAGTAACATCTTCTACCTATAAACATTGACCATATTAACACTTTTTTGAGACTAAAGTAAAATATATTTTAGAGGTGAACAGGGCCTGTGTGTTGCCAATCTGTGGACATAATTAGGGAGAGAATATACAATTGTCTACAGGAATTATGTTGAAACATTTAGCAAGATCTGCCTGCTCCAAATATGTTCTCTAACATCACACTGTAGTCTTGGTACTGCCTTTTCTAGATCACTGGCCTGAGCTTTTGACTAGAATCCCTCTAGAAAGAATAGAGTTAACTTCATGCACGTTACTCTGGGTTAGAGGGAATCTTGCTTATTTCTCTTTCATTAATATGTTAGAAAAAAATGTAGTTATTATGTTTTTTGAGGGGAAGGGATTTTATGAAGGAATGAGGAGACAGAGAAAAAGAAGAAACTAGCAACAAACAAGAAAGGACTGTATCTATGACAGTCCTGGGAGACCAGATATCCTAGAATGAGTAAGAATACTGACAGACTGCCTTGCTTCAATCACATTTGCCCTTGGAAAAGCATCACAGGAAAAAAAAAGAGCTTAAGTACAAGCACAACTGAACAAAACTTCTGTTTGATTTTACTTAATTCTGGCCAATCAGAAAGAAGACTACTTAAAATGGTATTTTTATAAGCCGACTCTTACTCATTTCCAAAGCCCAGGGCCTCTGATCATTGTTGATTGTTGCATTTCTTTGTGAAGCTATACCTTAATAAAATATTAACATTGAATTTAAACTCACCAAGAAAATCTCTTTAAATATTTTAATGCTCACTCAACAGAGAAAACAGAATTCACAGAAATGTAAAGGGAGAGATGATAAAGAATGCTTCTACCACACTGAATCAATTTATGGCAAACCAATGTAATAGAAATTAAAATTTAAAAATACAGAGGCACATTCTTTCATACTTGTTATTTTAGAGAAGTACACACTGATTATGGTAGAAATTGGGTTGTTTAATTATCACACTGCCTAAAAAATATAGTTAGATGTAATTTAATTGGCCTCTGCTCATGCAGGAGAAAGCTTCACAGGTTCACTCCATGCCACAGCCTTCACCACCTTCTGATAAAATTCCCTCTGTTTGTGCTTCTGGGGTCCCAGGGGTAGGACAAGCTTTCTATTGTTCCTCTTTTCCAACAGCTTTCTCATATCTTGTCAGTTTCTCTGACCCTGACCACACCTCCATAAGTTGTCTCTTTAATAATTCTTTTCAATTTATTTCTTGAGATTGTCAAGTCTTTTTTCCTGCCAGGAGCCTTATAAATACCCTGTTTACCTCTTAAGAAACGAACTAGGCCAAAATATAATTCTGATTTGTAGAGAAGAAATATACATCACATTATAGAAGAAAGATAATTAATCAGAAGTCATTCAGTTTTAAGTGTCATAAAACAAACTTAAACTTACTTTTAAAACTACAATACACATAAAGCAAACTAAAAATAAAATGTATTTGCTCTCTTCACTGTAAGATGGTGTCATAGTGTTTCTTACTCAGTTTTTCACCTCTGCTTTCAGTTATGTTGGCTTCATTCCTTGAAAAAACTCTGCCCATGGCTGGAAAGAATTCTTCAGGCTTGGGCTTACATGATCCTTATAGCTCTTCCTCTCGTAAGAGAAGAGAAATTCCAGTCTCGTACTTCTCATGTCAATCTCCTCAAAATATACCAAATTCTGTTTTCTTGAGCCATGTGCATACTCCTGCACCCAAACTTTGGTCCTATATAAATTACCTTTATATTATAATGAATTACATAGTATGGTACAGAGTACATAGTATATGTCATATACAGTACTGTAGCATACTCTTCTCTCTATACATATTATATATATATTATCATTGTAGGGTTTTGAATTGAATAACAAATCATAGTATGAATTTACTTGAACATTTGATTATTGAGAATATATACATAGAAAACTTGTTGAATTGAAGCCATATTTTTCTATATGAATAAAGGGAGAGGGGTTGTTTTTTGAATATGTTTACAAGTATTAGTAACTATTTTGGATATTTTCTAGATCCCTGGCCTGAGCTTTTGACTAGAATTTTTCTAGAAAGGATAGAGTTAACTTCATGCACGTTACTCTGGGTTAGAGGGAATCTTGCTTATTTCTCTTTCATTAATATGTTACAAAAATATTTTATTGTTATTATGTTTTTGGAGGGGAAGGGATTTTATGAAAGGACAGGAGAGACAGAGAAAAAGAAGAAACTAGCAACAAACAAGAAAGGACCATATCTATGACATTCCTGGGAGAACAGATATCCTAGAATGAGTAAGAGTAAGTATGAGTAAGTACTCTGCAAAGAGGGCCTCTTTGTGGTCACCACATATCATACATCAGGGTAATTCCAAAACACATGGTATGCACCAAAGAATGCATTTTATTGAGGGAAATGTACAAGGTAAGTGTTCAATAAGGAGAGAAAATACAGTTCCTTCTGGCCCTCTTGTTAATCCTATGGAGAAGCATGCATGACGATGACACTTTCTAGATATGCAGTGGAGTATTTCATTTTGAACAGTAGAAGGAGGACTCTATAATCCTCACATTTTTAGAAAACAACTTTTTCAGTAGAGGGATGACAATATGACTGGGTCACCAATCATTCTGAGTTGCAATTCTAGCTGTTTAGAATTGTTGCCTAAGAAATACAGTTCCCATTACCTGGAATACCTAGGGATCTGTAGGAAGTTGACTTCAGGGACAGTACCTCCTGCCAGGAGAAGGAAAGCACTCAACCCTAGAAAAGCAGAGTTTGAGGGCACTTTCCTATTGACTAGTGAGCCTCAGGTCACTGTTGACTCATTGTTCAGGTAATAGAGTACGCTCCTGGGTTCATTCTGAAAGAGTCCTGCTTGTCAAACTACACTTCAAATGCAAAGTTTTGTTCTACCATGTTCTCACAGTAAATATCAGAGACAAATTGTCTGCTTCAAGCAGGAATAGGGGGCAAGTAACATTTTGAAATATGCCAGAACATTCTGTTCTTCTTAATAAGTCCTTCTCTCAACATAAACTATTTACCAGAACCTAACCTGTTAGGGTTTTATGAGCACCTAACCTACCTGAGGTAAGGGAAATACTCAATTTCAGCCCATGCTAGCCATCCTATCTCACCTAAGGAAAGGGAATAACCTGAGAGGTGCTTGTGAGATTCATAATCTAGGGGCACAGGCTCACCAAAAGATTGAGACCTGATTATAAAACTATAGAACACTTTTTCTCCTCCCACATCTTACCAATATGTTAATAAAAGCCTATTTACTGAAATTCCTTTTACCTAGTATGTCATCTTCAGCTTTTGGCAAAAAAAATTACGAGGCGTACTGAAAAGTAAAAAGCACAGTTTTAAGCATTGGAACCAGACTCAAATATGGCCAGAATAACAGAATTATCAGACTGGGAATTTAAATTAACTATGTTTAATATGTGAAGGGCTCTAATGGAACAAAGTAGACAACATGCAAGAACTAATGGGTAATGTGGGCAGAGAGAACATGACCAACTCAATTAAAAAATGGGCCAAAGACCTTAACAGATACTTCACCAAGAAAGATATGGAGATGGCAAGTAAACATATCAAAAGATACTCCATAGCATGTAATAAAGAAAATGTAAATTAAAACAACAAGATACACACCTATTAGAATGGTCAAATCTCAGAATACTGACAATACCAAATGCAGGTGAAGATGTGGAAAAACAGGAGGTCTCATTCATTACTTGTGGGAATAAACAATGGTACAGCCACTTTGGAAGACCATTTGATAGTTTATTACTAAACTAAACCTACTCTTACCATATGATCCAGCAGTTGAGCTCCCTAGTATTTGTCATAATGGATTTTTTCTATCAAGTTATGAGAAGGCATGAAGCATTCTTAAATGCATATTACTAAATGAAAGAAGTCAATCTGAAAACGCTGAAAGGCAAAACTATGAGGACAGTAAAAAGATCAGTAGTTCCCAGAAGTTAGGGGAAGGAAGGGATGAACAGGCAGAGCACAGAGGATTTTTTCAGTAGAGAAACTACTTTGTATGATACCATAATGGTGATATATGTCCTTATACGTTAGTCAAAACCAATAGAAGGCACAAGAGGGAAACCTAAGGTCAACTGTGGACTTTGGGTGATAATGTTGTGTCAATGTAATTGCTAAATTATCCATAGATAATTTCAAAAACTTTTCATGAGATATAAATAATCTGGGTATTGTTTGTAGCCATGAATTGAGTAAACACTGTAATTCTCTCAGGAGTTCAATGATCCCAGAAAAATGTTTGTGGATAATTTTTATGACAGTTTCGCAATGTCCCTCTACTGTGAGATAAAGAAGTTTGCAAGAAGGCATTGAAAGAACTCTTTTTTACTTTTGAAGAAAAGTGCATTTAACTTTTAAGAATTACAAAATTTAGACAACACCTAAAATTGTTAAAATGACTACAACTTCCACATAAAATGCAAGTGAGAATATCAAAAGATACTCCATAGCATGTCACAAAGGAAATGAAAATTAAAACAACAAGACACCACTACACACCTATTAGATTGGCCAAAATTCAGAATACTGACAATATCAAATGCATGTGAAGAAAATGCAAAGCATTTATTTGCAATCAAGCACAATGATAAGTAAGATTTTTGTTAGAGAATTAGTATATGTAAGTGTAAGACAGACTAATTGTCATAAATAATAAAGGTAAGTAGGAAGGATTAGAGAGTTATACCTCTGGATGAGGGTTGGCTCTGTGTCCCTACCCAAATCTCATGTTGAATTGTAATCCCCAGTGTTGGAAGTTGGGCCTGGTCAGAGGTGATTGAATCACGGGGTTAGTTTCTAATAGTCTCGCCCATCCCCCTAATTCTGTCTTGTGATAGAGTTCTCATGAGATCTGCTTGTTTGAAAGTGTATAGCACCTCCCTGTTCACTCTCTCTTCCTTGCTGGCCATTTGAAAATGTGCTTGCTTCCCCGTTGCCTTCAACCATGATTGTAAGTTTCCTGAGGCCTCCCCAGAAGCAGAAGCCTGTACAGCCTGCAGAACTGTGAGCCAAGTAAGCCTCTTTTTTTCAAAAATTATCCAGTTTCAAGTATGTCTTTATAGCAGTGTGACAATGAACTAATACCTCTCTTTACCTTAAATATCATTATAAGTTTTCATTTCTCCTGGAAAGCTTGGGCCCAAAAACATAGAATTGGATGCCTCCATGTGGTATGGTGGGAAATTCCAAGACTCCAAAAGGAACATCACAAACCTGAGTAGACCATGGCATCATTCAAAGATAGAAAATATAGGGCAAGGTAAAAATTGAGGGTGAAGGAAGAGAAAGGCAGATAATATGAATATGGCTCAAATGGAGGGGAGGGTTGATTAATGAGATGCCTTGAATATCCAAGTAGAGATATTCAAAAGACAATTAGCTACATGGGCTTAGATACAATGGAAAGGAAAGAAACCTACTTTTTGTTAGAGAATCTATAGGGAAGGGACAAGGGAAAATAAACATTGTTTTTATAACTGATAAATTTTCGAGTGCCCCAGAGCATACACAAGGAAGAATCATGTTAGCCTGGTGGATCAAGGTAGACTTCCCTGAGGGAGAAACATTTAAGCTATAAATTTAATCAGTTACTGAGTATTAGCCAGGTGGAATGAAGAGTGTTCTGATCAAATGGAATAAATTGTACAAAAGCCTGAAATAGGGAGAAGTACAGCACAGCAGAGGAACCAAAATCAAGCCTTACGTCTGCTCAATGGTCATCATTACTGGTAGCTGAGTCCTTTGGTAAGAATGGGTTCTTCCAGAGACACAACCGAGCAAGAAGCGAAGAGGTTCAAACAAGAGACCCTGGGGGAACAGTAACAGTTTCCATTCAAAGGAAAGACCCTATGTTGAAAATTTTATAGAATGACCATGAATCAATATCCATATCTTTTAAAAAAATTGCTTATGTGTTTTCAGTATTGTGTGAATTAACATTGATAATATTATTTTTTAAAAAGCAATTTCTGTTAAGACTCCTATTATATAATGAGAGTCTTAGTTAATATTCTAATCTTTGGACTAATTAAATTGTTTGAAGTAAAAATCTCTAACAGCATTGCTGCCGTAGATGTGCTCCCTGAATGTATGTCTCTATATTATACTCTTCACGAGCCTCACTTATTCCCTTAGTACTCAGCTTACTTAAGCCAGAACCTTGCCGTGCAATACTGTGGGAGAGTCAGCTCCTTTTTCTTTTGGAAAGTGCACAAAATATATGAAAAGATTTCTTCCAGTGGAAAGAGAAGAATGCCCTCACTCACAGCCTTGTTGTGGTCTGTCCTCTCTTACTCTGGACTGTAGCACATGCTTCTCTGAGGCACCACTGGCCTTCTCATGGCTACCTCCCATATAGTTGGTAAAAGGCATATACACAAATATATAGATCCCCACCTTATTCCCCAAACACAAGTAATACAGTGTTGTCATATTTAACAGAACCTAGTACGGTTTTTAGATGGTATATGGACATTATGAAACAAAATATTGCTGAATAATGACTGCGGGGCACATTTTACATTAATAAGTGTGATTCCTATAAGAGTTATCTCTAATATTTTATGTGACTACAGATAACTATATTCTTTAAAGTCTTACTTCTTTAGGATAAAAAAATTAACATTTAATAGAAGACTAAGAGAGCCTACAGAGGCTACCGTTCCAGTGACTCAGTAGGTTCCAGTGCTACTTAGCTACTAGAGATCTTAAAATACACTTCATTAACTGGTGTATAGATGTCAGTGTGCACACATGCAAAATTCAACGTGATTTAATAATTTAAAAAATTGTAAAAAAACGAAAGCAATGACAACAACAAAAAACAATGTCAGTGAGTTAATTAACTCAATGTGTTAATATAATTTTTTCGTGAGTATAAGAAGAGTAGTTTTATGGTTTAATGGCTACTAACTGCATTTACTTTAAATACTGCATCTCTAATTCTTAAAAAAAAATCCCTGGAAGTATTATCATACAAACAAGAAAGCGAAGTCTGAGACAGAGCATGTTATTTGTTCAAAATCAGCTAACACCAAGAACATGATCTAAACCTAGTCCTTCATTACTCTAAACACATCCTTCTATTAAGCCACTCCAAATTGCAATGGTCTACAGAAAAAGTTAAACGCCTTGTTTTTATGATAACATTTTAATCCATATCTACAAGCTTTGAGAAGCCAATGAAATCAACGCTAAGACTAATTACATATTTTTTATATATTCTTTATATCATGTATTTCTCTGCCATTCTTAAAGAAAGGTGCACTTATCTCTTTTATAGTTATATTTCAGATAAACTTGGATCTCTGACCATTGACAGTCATGTAGCTGGGATGGTGTCCTAGTAAATTTCAGATAATCTCACTTTGGGACCAACAATCTCACTGGCATCTCAGTGTATTCACGAAGGCGATCTGGCACCCCAAGCTAAGTATAAGCTTAGTAGTCGCAAGGATGAATGTGAACTTTAAATGCAAAGGTAACTGATTTCTGCGTGTGACACATTTGTGTGTGAGGTTCTGGTTTTAAATTGTCAGGTTTAGGATAAAGAGAGTACCATTAAACTTGCTGTCTTTGATTTTGTTAAAGTATCTAGGGCTTAAAGAAGGCATCGGAGCTGCCAAATCTTTTATCTTGCATGGTATTCAGCAGGTTTTAAAGGTCATTTCCCATTATAGGGTTTTAAGAAAGCTGTTGTTCATAAATGAAATATGATCTGACCATACCCAAAGAAAAAAACTAGGACATTACCTTCAGAAGGTGTAGATTTTATTTATTGAAACCTAAGAAAGACTTGCTTGCATTGTTGTAATAAAAGAGAAATATTTTAGTTATCATATCTAAAAGTTAACTCTGCATGATATTTCTTCTTTGTCCCTCCAGAATTCTTTGCTATTTTTCTTCACCATGCTCTTGCCCCAGGAGGCTAATCTGTATAGATAACATCAAAGAAGAACCTAGTTTTCTGGCTTGTAGTGTATTTTTATTAATAAAAACAGTGATGAATGTCAGAGAGAAGAAACTTGAGGGCAGGATGTTTTCCCCAACTTCCTCTTTGCAGAGTTGCCTCAGGACCGCTGAGCCCTTCTAGCAATAGTCATCCTAGCAGTTCTCTCTAAAAATCTCTCCTCTCTAGTTCTTGGAACCTCTACATCCCCCTGCAAATTTATAATTAGAAATGGCAACAATGATAAATAAATACATAACAAATAAGCAACTCCACTGAAAATGAAAATAAGATAAAAAAACATGCAGGTGAAAGAGCAGTTATTTCTTACAGTAGAGTGTAAATAAATAAGCATGACAAAAGACTGATGAAATTAGAAAATCACCATTAGACAAATGCTACATAATATAAATGTTGTAGGCAATAATCATCAATGGATGTTAAAATTAACAACTAAAACTATAATGAGAGGTTATTTGGAAGTTCTGGCCAGGACAATGAGGTAAGAGAAAGAAATAAAGGGTATTCAAATAGGAAGAGAGGAAGTCAATTTGTCTCTGTTTGCAGATGACATGATTGTATATTTAGAAAACCCCATTGTCACATCCCAATAACTCCTTAAGCTAAGCAACTTCAGCAAAGTCTCAAGATACAAAATCAATGTGCAAAAATCACAAGCATTCCTATACGCCAACAACACACAACCAGAGAGCAAAATCATGAGTGAAATTCCATTCAAAACTGCTATAAAGAGAATAAAATACCTAGGAATCCAACTTACAAGGGATGTGAAGGACCTCTTCAAGGAGAACTGTGTTCCACTGCTTAAGAAAATCAGACTGGACACAAACACATGGAAAAAAGTTCCATGTTCATGGACAGGAAGAATCAATATTGTGAAAATGGCTATACTTCCCAAAGTAATTGATAGATTCAATGCTGTTCCATAAAGCTACCATTGACTTTCTATGCCAAATTAGAAAAACCTACTTTAAATTTCATATGGAACCAAAAAAGAGCCCGTATAGCCAAGACAATCCTAAGCAAAAACAACAGAGCTGGAGGCATCACACTACCTGATTTCAAACTATACTATAAGACTACAGTAACCAAAACAGCATAGTAATGGTACCAAAATAGATATATAGACCAATGGAACAGAACGAAGACCTCAGAAATAAGACCACACAACTACAACCATCTGATTTTTGACAAACCTGACAAAAACAAGCAATGGAGAAAGGATCCCCTATTTAATAAGTGGTGCTGGGAAAACTGGCTAGCCATATGCAGAAAACAGAAACCAGATCCCTTCTTTACACCTTATACAAAAATTAACTCAAGATGGATTAAAGACTTAAATGTAAAACCCAAAACCAAATAAACTCTAGAAGAAAACCTAGGCAATATCATAAGGACATAGGCATGGGCAAAGACTTCATGACAAAACATGCCAAAAGCAATTGCAACAAAATCCAAACTTGACAAATGGAATCTAATTAAACTAAAGAGCTTCTGCACAACAAAAGAAACTATCATCAGAGTGAACAGGCAACCGACAGAATGGGAGAAAATTTTTGCAATCTACCTATCTGACAAAGGTCTAATATCCAGAATCTACAAGGAACTTAAATTTACAAGAAAACAAACAACCCCATCAAAAAGTGGGCAAAGGTTATGAACAGACAGTTCTCAAAAGAAGACATTTACGTGGCCAACAAATATATGAAAAAAAGCTCATCATCACTGGTAATTAGAGAAATGCAAATCAAAACCACAATGAGATACCATCTCATGCCAGTCCAAATGGTGATTATTAAAAAGTCAGGAAACAACAGATGCTGGCAAGGCTGTGGAGAAATAAGAATGCTTTTACACTGTTGGTGGGAGTGTCAATTAATTCAACCATTGTGGAAGATAGTGTGGAGATTCCTCAAGGATCTAGAACCAGAAATACCATTTGACCCAGCGATCTTATTACTAGGTATATTCCCAAAGGATTATAAATCATTCTACAATAAAGACACATGCGTATATGTTTATTGCCACACTATTTACACTAGCAAAGACTTTGAACCAACGCAAATGCTCATCAATGAGAGACTGGATAAAGAAAATGTGGCGCATATACATCATGGAATACCATGCAGCCATAAAAAAGAATGAGTTCATGTCCTTTTCAGGGACATGGATGAAGCTGGAAACCATCATCCTCAGCAAACTAACACAGGAACAGAAAACCAAACACTGCATGTTCTCATTCATAAGTGGGAGTTGAACAATGAGAACACATGAACACAGGGAGGCGAATATCACACACCAGGGCCTGTCAGTGTGTTGGGGGCAAGAGGAGGGAGAGCATTAGGACAAATACATAATGCATGCAGGACTTAAAACCTAGATGATGGGTTGATAGGTGCAGCAAACCACCATGGCACATGTATACCTACGTAACAAACCTGCACGTTCTGCACATGTATCCCAGAACTTAAAGTAAAATTTAAAACGTAAAAATAAGTAAATAAAATAATCATCAATGGATGAATGTTAAAATTAACAAGTAAAACTATAATGAGAAATAAGATATTTGCATAGTTTTAAAGCATTTCCCAAATGATAACAATTAATTATAAAAATAAAATGGTTAATTTTACAGATAAACAGCAAATTTAAAACAGGTAAATTAGACTTAAAAACAAGTAAATTAGACTTATGGGCATCATATATTCCCTGATACTATGCACTGAGAAGAATGAAACATCACTTTTTTTTGGATTCTTACCAAGAATGCGTAATCTCAATCTACTTATGAGAAAAGACCAGAAAAAAACAATGTTTAGAAACATTGTACAAAATCACTTAATATCTTAAAGTCAACGTCATTAAGAAAAAGTAGAGAAAAAAGAAAAGAAAAGAAAGAAACGACAACAACAGTACTCTCCTTCCAGTTTTCAGTTTTCACTTTCCCTTCTCATCCACTTGGACCTAGGATTATTAAATTTGCACTTTCACTAGCCTGGGTTTCTGTACCTTTTCTGTTTTCCCTCTGTCCTATACATATCTTTGTAAATAGTTTCCATGTTAATCCATGTTTTGAATTATTCTTATTTGAGTATATAATTTAGATACCTTTTGGACACCTGACAGACTTCAAGAAACAGCGTCAATGAAATATACACTTAACATAGGATTTTGAGACTATATTGCTCATATATTTGAGGAGTACAAGAATGACCTTATTTAGAAGGGGACTGGAATCATTACCATGATGATTCCAATTATTACTGGTGGTGGCATGGGATGAAGCACAGGTGGGAAGATACGGCATTGGGAATGGCTGTGACATCTCATCATTAGAAGGATTGGGTATCTGTTTGGTTCCTTTAGCATCCCTAGAAAACATATATAGAGAAAATAAGAGAAATAAAAATCTAGAAACATATATGTAAGAACACATATAAAGAATCAGAATGCCTCATTTGCAGTTTGAATGAGTCTTTCATCTTCTGCAATCACAATACCACACCACAGGCATGGCTAAGAACCAAACCCCCAATTTCTCATGAAAATTGTATGGTTTCAGCTCCAAAAAGTGTTCAATCCCTCATATCTTTTTCTGCAATCCAGAAGTAAAGGCATTGTTGGGGAAGGATTAGGTTCCTGAAGCATAGAGATGTGCAGATAGATATGAATGAGACGGATAACGTTGAAATTTTAAATTTCTCTAATGCTTATTTGCTGATGCAAGAAACCCCCTATCTACCAAAAAATAAATAAACAAAATAAAAAGCATTTAATAATTACACTGCTGATGATTGCCTCCCAACCTCACAAGAGCTTGATGATATGGGTATAGACAAATCTCTGCCACTTTTTGTTGCCTCCATGCCAATAGTTCTGAAACTGGGATGACTTTTGTCCTCCAGGAGACATTTGTAAATCTCTGGAGATATTTTTTGGTTGTCACAACTAGGAGAGCGGGTGCTGCTGGCATTTAATGCATAGAGGTTGGAGATGCTCCTAAATGTTTTATAATGCACAGGACAATTCCTAACAATTAAGAATTATCTGGTCCAAAATCTCAAAGTACTGTGGTCAGGTAATCTTGCTCTAGGATTATAGTAAAAAATATTTCTTATATTAGTTTTCTATGCTGTGAAACCAACTACCATTAAAATGGTGGCTTAAAATAATATCCTTCCATCATCTCATAGTTTCTACAGGTTAGAAGTTGGGGAATAAATTAGTTGGGTTCTAGGTTCTCTGGAGCCTTATAAGGCTAAAATCAAGCTTTTGGCTGAGCTGTATTCTTATATGGGTGTCCTACTAGAGAAGTATCTGCTTGCAAGCTCCCTCACATTGTTGGCAGATGTCATTTTATCATGACCATGGAATCCATAGCAGCTTACTCCTTAAAAGCTAACATTAGAAAGCCTCTGCTCCTTGAAGTCTCTCACTTTAAGAAAAGCCTAGGCCCTCTTGTAAATGACTCAACCAGGATTATCTCTCTTTTGTTGTCCCAAGTTAACAGATTAGAGACCTTAATTACATCTGCATATTTTTTTCTCCTTTGCCACATAATGTGAGATAATCAGGGAGATGTTTCTTTCATTATCTTTGCCATACTTAATTGGTTACAAGCAAGTTGCAGATTTTACACATTTCCAAGAAAGGGTTTACACAATTCCAAGAAAGGCAAGTATAGCTGGGCTCATTGGAGGGCACCTTTGACTGGTTTAACACAGTTTCTTTCATAACTTGCACTGTAAAAAAGAGTCTGGCTTCAAGAGGATGTAGTATTATTTTGTAGCCATCCTGTGATTTATTTCCTAATTTAAGGCAGAAGATAAGAAAAAGATATTAACTGAAAGACATGTCATATTGCTTTCCTGACTTGTGAATTCAGAATCATGATGGCAGGAAGGGGAAAGTAAAAGCACTGGAAGTTCTGTCAACCATCAAAAATGGTAAATTAAAAACAATACAACTTCACTAGGACAAATGTAGAATACAAAGCCACTATCAAAGATCTGAAAGATGCATGGATGGTGACTCCCATCACATCTCCATTTTATCACCTGCTTGGCCTGTGCAAAAGTCCAATGTACCTGGGAAGTTGATAGTAGATTTTCATAAACTTATGAGGTGGTAATGCCAATTACAGTGCTCTCCTGGATACAATATTTTATTGGGGAAAATCCTCATAAAGCTGACACCTGGTGTGTGGCAACAGGCCTGCTTAATACTGTTGGTCATATTCTTGTAAGTAAGGAAAATCAGAAGCATTTTGCATTTATGTAGCAAGGAAAATAGCATATGTTTACTTCTTTGCTCTTTCTCTCTGTTATACCACTATCTGAAGGACTTTTGATCATCTTAATATCTTTTATAACACCTTACCTATCCATTATATTGATGATGTTATGCTAGGTGATATAGTAAGAAGTAAGTAGCAAGAATCCCTGCTGCTTTGCTGTTAGATATGTTTCCAAAAGTGTGGTAAATAAGCCCTAAAAATTTAAATCCTACCTTATTGGTAAAATTTCTAAGAATCAAGTGGTATGGAGCATGTAAGTATATTCCCATTAAAGTACCTGAAAACTTGCTTCACTTTATACTGCCCATCAAAAGAAGGAGGCACAGTGCGTGGTGAGAGCCCTAAGGTTTTGGTGGCAACATATTCTACATGTGATCATTGTTCTCTGCCCATTTTTTAGATAACTCTTATGGATGCCAGTATGATTGAGACCTAGGGCAGAAATTTCTACAACAGGTCCAGACTGAGTACAAGCTAGCTTACTGCTTGGATCATATGCCAAAGATCCAAAAATACTGAAGATATTAAGGCAGAGAGATATATTCTAGGAGCATCTGAAAAATCCCAAAGAAGAATCATAGCACAAGACATCTAGAGTTATTTCCTCCCTGAGCATAGGAGAAAAATGCAGTGACATGGTTAATGGGTAAGCCTGCATGGTCTGCTAGACCAGGCTGACGTTGATGACTTTCACATTACCACTCCACTAAGCACTGACCTTATACTACCAAGTTGAATGAAAAGTTTCCCAGGTGGCACAATTTTGAAGGTACATTTGGTCGGTTATTTAGTGTGAAAGAAGAGATGGCTTGAGTTATAGATTCACAGTGGCTCATGGTCCCGAAAATTGGTAGAAACACGTAAAAAAATAGAAAATTGGTGACACAGAGCTGGGAAAGACCATGAAAATGACAATATTCAAAATGGGCACAAAGTATGAAGATATTCACGTCCCAAATAATTACCCACAAGAGGATATCCATCATAGAAGAGGCTACCAGTAATCAGCTGGATGAAATGACCATTCTTCCAGCATTTGCCCAGGAAGCTCATATATAAAGTGGCTAGAGCAGCAGCAAAGGAGTTAGGCATAGACTCAATGACATGAACGTCCTTTAATAATGATCTGATTATTATGTTTGTCATGCGTTCAATATGACAATAGCAAAAGCTAATGCTGAGTCCATAATGCTTCACCATTCTCTGAGGAGATCACCTGGCTCCCCAGCGCTAGGTTCATTATGTTTGATCCTTTGATCCCACAGACACATAGCACTTTATTGGAACCAGAACACACGTATGTTCCAGGTGTGGATTTGCATCCTTTTCATAGTGGTTCTGTCAGTGTTCCTGTTTGCTCACTTACTGAATGACTTATGTACAGCTATAGCATCTCTTATAACATCACCTCCAACCATAGGACTTTTTTTAAATAAAGAAAGAATTCCTGCTGTGACTAATACTGTAGACTTCAAGTTTTGAGTACAATGCATTTGCTATTACTCTGCAATTTGCTATTTCTCTTGGTGGTAATTTGTGGATCTTCTGTGACTGAAACATAAACGTTTCACTACACAAGTGGCAGAGTGGGTACTGGAGAATAAAAGACATAGATCACTTCAGATACTTTCCATTTCTCCCTCAGAACCACTCTCCACTTTTCTCCAACCTGTTCTGTCTCATAAAACTCATATGTGCTGTATGAAAGAACTCCTAGGTCCTCCAGTTTTGTTTCTGTTTTGATTCAGTCAATAAGGAGCTCAAGGAAGAGATCAGAAGGAAGGAGATAGCCATTAGTGAAAATGAAGTGTCTAGTACATTGGCTTTTTCTCCTTGCACTCTTTAGGTGGCCCACATACTTCTGCTGAAGCTCATAGCTCCTCTAGAGTTGGTCCCATCTATACAACTCTGCTGGGTTTACTTAACTGGCTCCTGCCTTCATTCCTTTGGGCCTTGGGGAATCAGAGGCACCACTCAATCTTTTCAGTTTCTGGTAATCACTCCCTCTCTTCTTCCATTTAAGTTCAAGTGCATTAATAGTCTCTTATTTCTAGTCCTGGGTATTACATTGCCCCTTGTGATGCGGTTTGTGCACACAAACTGGGGCACAAAAAAATAGTCCCTTTGTTAATTATTATTAACAAAGTCTGACATCTATTTACTATGGCGGTCCTGACTTATATACAGTGGCAGAAGTCAGCACACAATTGAAAGAGGAAGTATTTCAGAGCTCATCCTGATGTAACTCCTCAGGAGATGGGATCTAGGAAACTGCTGAAACAAACCTCTTAATTGTACAGGTAGGGAATCAATAGAAAGAAGAAGTAATTAATACTTCTTACAGGTTTAGACAGACAAATAGAAAGAAAACTCAGGCAATTTTAAAAGAAAATAGGAGAAATCAACAAGAAATATGAAAAGGACTGCTGGGGGAACTTCAAAGTAAAATAATATTAAGTAGGAGGAAACAGTTATTCCCTGAACTTTAAAGTCATATGAGCAAGAATACCAGAAATTGCACTTCAAAAATGATGTGTATTAAGTGTTTGTGTTGGGGGAGGGTATAAAAAATAATTGGTTCAGTCCACGCCTCCTTTAAAGAATAATTTTATAGTAAAATACCTTTCATCTGGAATTACCCATATTAAAGAGGCTAATATAGACAAGATTTTTTTTTTTAAAAAAACAGAGTATTTTTTGGTAGACCAGAATTCTTTATATCTGTCACTATGAAGTATATACCATAAGATACAGATGTTTTAATATAATATACTTCTCCTAAATATAAAATGTAGTAGTAGCTTGGCCAGAACTTATGTAAAGGGAAAACTAGTAGAATTTTAGGCTTAGCAACCAATGCTTGCTTCTATGGTAAGAAAATTAAACTGACTAACTTAAGATACAGGTAAAATTCTTGAGGGCTCAGCTGAGTTTTCCTGAAATATGCAGATGAACAGCAGAAAAAAGCCCCTGAAATACCAGGGCTCTGTGTCAATGTTATAAAAGCAAAGAAAAGGATGAAAAAGTAAGGAAAACAAAATGAAGAAAAGGAAGAGGAAAGAAAAGTGAATGGGTAGAAAAGAAAGGAAAAAAACAGAAAAGAAAACAAGGGAAAAGAAAAGAAAGCAAAGAACTTACTAGAAATATATGCTACTTATAGCTTTATATTAACTCTCCAAAAAAGATATCATCTTAAGTGGTATATATCCTAATAATAAGTCCTCCCGTAGCCCCTAGGGACACAGTATCTGGCCATATTTTAAGAAGTTTCATTTTACTAAAACACTAATGAAGCTACTTCCTTTTTGATAAATTGAGTAACAAAAAGAATCCTTCCCTTGAGCTGAGGCTTTAATGGTTTTAGCAATTCCACTGAAAGAGGTAGGGATTGTGGCCACAGTGGGGCACGATTTAAGATGTTTATTCACAAAACTGCTGGAGGACCCAAAATAAAGTGAAAATTAGAATAATTTGAAAATTATTATTTTCAAATAAGATCTTGAAACTTGATCTGCCACAACTATCAATAATTTCTGCAAGAGACTAAAAAATCTTAAATGACACACTCTGAAACTGTGGACAGTAGCTATAGGTAGATTTCAACCCAATTCCCAGCCTTACCCCAGATATGCTGAATCACTTTTGAAATATTAACCTCTTGCATTTTTCCCAGTTGAGTTTATATGCATTCATCACCAACTATAGATTGGGTATATTCTCTGGTTTACCTGGGACAGTTCTGGTTCATCTGTGTCTTTCTAAAATATTTTGCCTCCACTACTAGAGATATTCCTGATTTCATGACAAAATTCATCAGTATTTTCTGCCCTTTTTAAGGCTTCAAATAGTATTCTCCCATTTACTCTCCTCTATCTATCTATCTATCTATCTATCTATCTATCTATCTATCTATCATCTATCTATCTATCTATCATCTATCTATCTATCTATCTATCTATCTATCTATCTATCTATCTATCTGTCTGTCTGTCTACCTGTTTATCATCATCCATCATCTATTTTCTTTCTAAATTCATCAGCAGCCTTTATTTCAGGGATCATAGTTGAAGATCTTTTTTTCTCTGCAGATCTGGGTCCACCTATGGAGAGCACATGTGAAGTGTTCATGGCTACTCCAGTCACAGTAGAGTAGCACATACCTTCAGTAACGCTGGCTTAGCCCTTGGGAAAACAGCAGGATAGCAATGATTGTAAATTTAAAATGGGAAAGAAATCATTTTTGAGATGTGGATACATTTTAGTTGAACATAACTGTGACTTTACAAAGACAACCTTTCTGTTTTAAATTCACAGTAATTGAACTTCTTGTGTCAACTTTCCTCTCCACAGGCTAAGCCAGCATGGCCACTTTGAAAGAATTGTTCCTCTGTGACCTGAAGAGCAATAGACATTTCAAACAATGGGCTCAGAGGCAAAGCACAACAGTGCGTGAGAAAATGACTAAAAAATCCTGAAAGGATTTCCAGTGTAAGGCCTTTAGAGAATTAATCTAGCCCTGTACATGGTTTCCTGAAAAATAGTCACATTTGAGCATAGAGAAACAAAGAAAGCTAAAACAAATCCTGTTGTAAAAAGATTAATTTAAGCTATCATTTGGGATTTTCCTGTTTGCTTTTTTTCTTTATTTTGTTTTGTTTTGTTTCACTGTTCCCTCCTTAACTTGTATTAAAATTGAAAAATTTTAATTAAGGTTATCAGACATTATTTCTGGCATAAGCCTTGGGCAAAATGGTGAAGCAATACTTTCAGGGACATTTTAATCTCTTCTTTTATTTTACATCTTTCCTTTTCTTCTTCTTAATTCTTTCTAACATTTACCAAATGGCTTCCTAATTGTCAAATCCAATGGGTCATCTTTGCATTTATTGTATTTCCTCTCTGTGGCATTATACAGAAAATGCCCTGCCTCCCTTGATTTTCATTACAGAACTCTGACAATGTCTTCATTTTTTTTATTAAAAATGTATTCTGGAAATCACTCTATAGCAATTCAGGGACATTGTTTTTATTTGTTTTTATAGCTTAATGTATTTTATTTTGTTGCATTAATCCTTAGCTCTATCTGACCTGAAGCAAAAGGAGATAGAAACTCCTTCAATTAAAATAAAGACTATTTCCCACCTAAAATATTAGTCGAGAATTCAAGACTTTCATTTTTCTTTTCTCCTTGTAAGTTTTCCAAGGTTGTAGGAGTTTCTACAACATGCCACCATCTTTGTAATTACCATTTTTACTAAAGCAACTAATTGTCAAATCTCTTTGATCACCTAATACTTTGTGCTTTGTCTATACTTCCCCTTATACTACCATTGATAATAATTAGGTTAATTATGATGCCACCATATATCGTAATTTCTAGCATATCCTTCAGGTAAGAAAGATGATTTCTGTTATTTGGGTTTTCTTTACTAGAAACACTGTTACTTCAATAATAAATGTGTTAATTCACAGATTCAGCGAAAAGATTTGTCACCCTAAATTACACTAAGAAAAAAAAGTTTTCCTTGTGTGTCTTCTTAAGATGGTTCTTTTTGTTGAAAGTGTCCAGGATTTAAGTTTGACACTGTGTGTGTGTGTGTGTGTGTGTGTGTGTGTGTGTGTGTCTGTGTGTGTATGCACATGTGCTCAGGCTTGTTATGTCACAAGTCTTTACTTCTTGTACTGAAAACTCAAGACTCTGAGGTATTCAAATTTGAGGTAAGGAAAAAAATCTCAAAACATCTTTGTGGAAGAGACAGATTAGAGTGAAATACATTGGAAATTGAGGGTCATCAAATGCATGACTGATTTCCCCATGTTACATTCACTGAGTTCTGAGATTCTGTAGGACACTGAGTTACACAAAAAAATTCTCCAAAGGCAAAGGGAAATCTTTCAGAGTTTGATGTACTAAAGAAATCAGAACCTTTTGGGAGAAGGGGTTGAACTGAAAGCATATGGCCAGCTCTCCCGTTAAAGTCTTAGCCAGATTTTCAGGCTACATTGAGTAGGAAGCTGGATATCTGTGTAGAAAAAAAATTGCAGAGAATAGCTGGATCACCCAATGTGCTGGTTGACCCAACGTTTTTAGTTCTGCAAAGCCATATATGTGCCAGACATATAAACAAAATCTTAGGAAAGATACACTCAGAGAAAAGAGATAAATAAGAGATAAACTGGGTCTTACTAAACTGCAACCCACACCTGACACCACTTAATTTGTTTGCCAGAGGAAAGGGGTTACTCCAATATCATATGGAGTCTGTCGTTCTTTATTTACACACGATCTAGTGTCAAAAATAAATACTAAGTTTGCAAAGAGCCAAGAAAATAAAATTCATGGTCCAAAGAAAATGAAACAAAAAAAGAGACACAAAATAATTCTATACAGCAGTATACATACAAGAATTTAAAAATCACAATCCTAAATAAAATATAAGAAAACATTGCCCAAATAAATAAAAAGATGAAAATAACTGATAGATAATTGGAATCTATAAAAAAGTATTATACAGATTTTTTATTAGCCAGGTGTGGTGGCAGGTGCCTGTAGTCCCAGCTACTCGGGAGACTGAGGCAGAAGAATGGCGTGAACCCGGGAGGCAGAGCTTGCAGTGAGCCAAGATGGCGCCACTGCACTCCAGCCTGGGGGAGAGACCAAGACTCTGTCTCAAAAATAAATAAATAAATAAATAAATAAATAAATAAATAAATAAATAAATATTATATAGAGTTTTTAAAGTTATTTTTAAAAGAAAATTCTTAGCCAAATTAAATTTAACAGATTTTATTTGAACAAAAAAATAAATTGTGAATTGGGCAGCCTCCTGAGCCAGAGTAGGATCCAGGAGACTGCAGCACAGCCACATGGTGGAAGAAGATTTATGAACAGAAAAAAAGAAACTAACATACAGAAAACTGAAGTGAGATACAGAAACAGTCATATTGGGTACTTTATCTAGGCATTTGCTTTATTTAAACAGAGTTTGAACAGTTAGCCCCCTTTGATTGACCCAAACTCAGTGATGGGAACAAGAGTAGCCTATAATCTGTTTACACCTCCATTTAGGTTATAGTTCACTATGTATAGGTCAACATTTGGGCTGAACTTAAAATATGTGAGAAAGAAGAATTAAGCTAACTTGATTTAACACTATAGTATATTAAACTAATAAAATGAAGAATAGATTTAACAGAAAATTGGACACAGTAGATTAGATAAATTAGTTGAATAATGAATGAAGCAATAAATATAACTTTAACTATGCTTGCCTTTCTTCAAATAATTTTCCACATGTAGTCATAGATATTATTCTAAACTGCCAATTTGGTCACTTTCTTAAAAAATAATGAAATATTACTGCCCTCAGATCCCAATCCTTCATATATTCCTGAGGTATAACCTCAGTAACTCATAACCATGTGTAAGCATACAGTTCAAACCATCCCCACTGTCAGTCCCCATAACTACCTGGGCATCTGAAGCTGGCCCCTTCTTTTGTGCATATGCATGCTGCTATCTTTTGCTATCTGTGGCTTTTGCATGTGGAGCTGACCCTATGAGGGTCCCTCTCATAACAGATGGGAATTCTGGGAGATACAATTCAAGTTGAGATTTGGGTGGGAACACAGCCAAACCATATCATTCTGCCCCTGGCCCCTCCAAATCTCATGTCCTCACATTTCAAAATCAATGATGCTTTCCCAACAGTTCCCCAAATTCTTAACTAATTTCAGCATTAACCCCAAAGTCCACAGTCCAAAGTCTCATCTGAGACAAGGCAAGTCCCTTCCACCTATGAGCCTGCAAAATCAAAAGCAAGCTAGTTACTTCCTAGATCCAATGGGGGTCCAGGTATTGGGTAAATACAGCCATTCCAAATGGGAGAAATTGGCCAAAACAAAGGCTTTACAGGGCCCATGCAAGTCTGAAATCCAGTGGGGTAGTCAAATTTTAAAGCTCCACAGTGATCTCCTTTGAGTCCAGGTCTCACATCCAGGTCATGTTGATGCAAGAGGTGAGTTCCCATGGTTTTGGGCAGCTCCACCCCTGTGGCTTTGCAGGGTACAGCCTCCCTCCTGGCTGCTTTCATGGGCTGGCACTGAGTGTCTGTGGCTTTTCCAGGAGCATGGTGCAAGCTGTCAGTTGATCTACAATTCTGGGGCTTGGAGGATGGCGACCCTCTTCTCACAACTCCACTAGGCAATGCCCCAGTAGGAACTCTGTGTGGGAGCTCTGACCTCACATTTCCCTTCTGCACTGCCCTAGAAGAGGTTCTCCATGAGGGCCTCACCCCTGCAGCAAACATTTGCCTAGGCATCCAGTCATTTCCACACATCTTCTGAAATCTAGGCAGAGGTTCCCAAACCTCAATTCTTGACTTCTGTGCACCCACAGGCTGAACAGTGCATGGAAGCTGCCAAGGCTTGGGGATTCCACTCTCTGAAGCCACAGCCCGAGCTCTATGTTGGCCCCTTTCAGCCATGGCTGGAGTGGCTGGGACACAGGGCACCAAGTCCCTAGGCTGCACACAGCACTGGGACCCTGGGCCTGGCTCACAAAACCACTTTTTCCTCCTGGGCCTCTCAGCTTATGATAGGAAGGGCTGCCATGAAGCCCTCTGACTTTGCCTGGAGACATTTTCCCCATGGTCTTGGGGATTAATATTAGGTTCCTTGCTACTTATGCAAATTTCTGCAGCCACCTTAATTTCTTCTCAAAAAATTGGGTTTTCTGTTCTACTGCATCATCAGAATGCACATTTTCTGATCTTTTATGCTGTTTCTCTTTTAATTATTCTATTACCTCCCACTGGGTCCCTCCTACAACATGTGGGAATTTTGGGAGATAGAATTCAAGTTGAGATTTGTGTGGGGACACAGCCAAACCATATCATTGCTAAAGTTATGTGATTGTTGACATTATGGACCCCACCTCCTTGAATCAACAATCTGCCAACTCCCATTCCATCCTGGAATCACTTCATACCCCCACATTTGGCATCCAAATCCACAGCACACTCCAGCCTACCTACCCTACCATTCTCCACACCTCTTGAGTTGAAGGTCTTCCCTTACCAAAGCCACTTTATAAAACCTGGAAGAAGTGACTACTTCTTCAAATGCACAGATAGTTATCCAAGGCTACAAGAGTCACAAAGAATCAGGGAAATATAACAGCAACAAGAAACACAATAAAATTTCTATAATTAAATCCATATTATGAAGATTCACAAATTGCCTGACAAATACTTCAAAATCATTAATAAGGAAGCTCAATGAGCAAGAAGAATACAGATAAACAATTTAACAAAATTAGAAAAAATGAAATGACAGAATGAAAAGTTCAACTAAGAGATAACATAAGAAAAAACAACAAAGAAACATTTTGTAGTTGAAGAATATAATGACTGAACTGAAAAATGCAATAGAGAGCTTTCACAGCAGACTCTATTAAGAAGGGGAAATAATCTCTAAACTCAAAAGTTTGTCATTCGAAATTATCCAGTCAAGCATAAAAAGGAAAAAGCAATGAAAGGAATAAAGAAACAATGGAATTTATGGGAGACTATCACAGAACTAAACTTTACATTGTGGTTTGCAAGAAATAGAAAAGAGAGAGCAAGGAGCAGGAAGATTTTTTTAAAAAGAAATAATGGCTGAAACTTCGCAAACCTAGGGAGAGATATGAATATTCAGAAACATAAAGCTCAAACATTCCCAAACTGGTTTGATCAAAAGAAAAGTTCAATGTAACATGTCATAATCAAACTGTCATAAATTGAAGAAAAAACTGATAATTTTGAAAGCAGCAAGAGAAAGAGAATCACCATATAGAATGGAACCATGATAAAACTATCAGTAGCCTTCTTACCAGAAACCTTGCATTCCAGGAGAGAGTGGGATAATATATTTACAGTGTTGAAAGAATAAAGAAACTATGAATAATACATTATTTGGCAAAGTTGTCCTTCAGAAATGAGAGAGATAAAACTTTCCCAGAAATACCAGGGCTGAGGAAGCTCATTGTTACTGGATCTGCCTTGTAAGAAATGCTGCAGAGAGTTTTTCAAGCTGAAATAAAAAGAGGTTAATTAGTAACATGATAAGACATAAAGGTGTAAAACTCACCTTTATATAAAAGGTGTAAAATTGAATATATACATTAAAATTCAGAATACTTTAATACTGTAATGGTGGTGCATCTATCATTTAAACATAAAGTTTAAAAGACAAAAACTATTTAAAAATACATAGCTACAGTAATTTTTAGGGATACATAATATAAAGAGTTGCATATCATAACATAAAAAAACCCACAATGCATGCATATGAGGGAGAAAATACGGAGTTTTCTATTTAAATTTAGTTAAGTTGCTACTTAAGAATTTACAGTTGTTACTAGTCTGTTATAAGTATATGATATTTTATTAAGAATCATGCTAACTACAAAGCAAAACCCAAGGGAGATACTCAAAAGATAGATGCAAAGGCATTAAATCATACCATTTCAGATGATTATCAAATCACAAAGGAAGATAGCAAGAGAGAAATAAAGGAACAAAGAATCTATAAAACAACCAGAAAAAAATAACAAAATGATAATTGTACATCCTTACTTATCAATATTTATGTTAAATGTAAATTGATGAAATCATCCAGTTGAAAGACATACAGTGACCAAGTGGATTAAAATATAAGACCCAATTATATGTTGCCTACAGTAGACTCACTCTGGTTTAAGGACACAAAAAGAAGGGTGGGTTGAAAGATATTGATTAAAAAATAAAAAGTTTCAGTTAGGAGAAATACATTCAAGAAATATATTGTATGTCATAACAAATATAGTTAATAACAATATATAGTATTCTTAAAAATGCTAATACAGTGGATAACTGTTCTTACTACATGAAGTAATGAATATGTTAAATAATTAAATTTATTTATTATGCAATGCATGTATACTTGAAAACATCATGTTGGACATGGTAAGTACACACAATTTTTTTTATTATACTTTAAGTTCTAGAGTACATGTGCACAACGTGCAAGCTTGTTACATAGGTATACATGTGCCATGCTGGCCCACTGTACCCATCAACCCGTCATTTACATTAGGTATTTCTCCCAGTGCTATCTCTCCCACTGCCCCCCACCCCACGACAGGCCCCAGTGTGTGATGTTCCCCACCCTGTGTCCAAGTGTTCTGATTGTTCACTTCCCACCTATGAGTGAGAACACGTGGCTACACACAATTTTTAAAAGGGTGATGATTATTACTTCGAATATAGCAGGTGGCAGTCAAAAACATGTAACATTGTTCTGAATTCTGTTGACATTCACCAATTATAATCTATAATCATCAGCTTATGTAACATTTTATTTATCTATGTTGAAGACATTTACTCTTTTGAATAGGGACTCCACCTGCTGAGAGGAGACACAGCTCAGTTTAAAAATGCTATTTCTAAAAACCATCCAATAATTTCAAAATTACTAATATTACTACATTGATTTCATGATTTTATAATGGAAGATTTTATATTTTAAAAATGTGGTCCCATTTTTGCTGGTATCATTTGTCTACATAAAGTTAAAGCGTTTTTATGTTAAGAATAACTATAGCATGGAATTTCCTTAAAATAAAGTGAATAGGAAAGAAAGAAAGAGGAAAGAAAGAAAGAAGAAAGAAAGAAAGAAGGAAGAAGGAACGAAGGAAGGAAAGAGGGAAGGAAGGGAGGAAGGGAGGAAGGAAGGAAGACATAAACTGAAAATAAAAAATGGAAAATGATATTCTATGCAAATAATAAAAGTAAGGAAGGGTAGCTATAGTTTAACAAAATAGACTTTTAGTCAAGAAGAAGAGGCAAAGAAGGTTATTGTGTAATGATAAAAAGGTCAATTACTCAAAAGGTTATAAAAATAATATACATATGTAGGCCGGGCGCAGTGGCTCACGCCTGTAATCCCAGCACTTTGGGAGGCCGAGGCGGGCGGATCATGAGGTCAGGAGATCAAGACCATCCTGGCTAACCGGTGAAAACCCATCTCTACTAAAAGTACAAAAAATTAGCAGGGCGTAGTGGCGGGCGCCTGTAGTCTCAGCTACTCGGGAGGCTGAGGCAGGAGAATGGCGTGAACCCGGAAGGTGGAGCTTGCAGTGAGCCGAGATTGCGCCACTGCACTCCAGCCTGGGCTACAGAGCCAGACTCCGTCTCAAAAATATAAAAATAAAAATAAAAATAATAATAATAATATACATATGTATATCCAATATGAAGTTCCTACATATATAAATCAAATATTAACAGATATGAAGGGAGAAATAGACAAAAATACAATAAGAGTTGGGGATTTCTGTACCCCACTTTCATCAAAGTACAGATCATATTGATAGAAAATCAATAAGAAAATATTGAACTTAAACTACATTTTAGACCAAATGTAACCTAACAGACATATACAAAGCATTCCACTCAACAGCAATAGAACACTCATTCTTTGTATGCTCACATAGAACATTCTCCAGGATAGGTCATATGTTAGTCCACAAAACAAGTCTCAGCATATTTTAAGACTAAAATAAAATCAAGCATCTTTTTCCACCACAATAATATGAAAGTAGAAATCAATAATAGGAAAGAAGTTAGAAAGCTAAAAAAAAAATAGAAATTAACAAGTTTCTGATCAAGTGATGGGTCAAAGTGTAAATCAAAAAGAAATCAAGTATAAATTAGTATCTTGAGATAGTGAAAAAGGACACACAACATACCAAAACTTATAAGATGCAGCAAAAGCAATCTTGAGCAGAAAGTTTCTAGTAATAAATGCTTACGTAAAGAAAAGAAAGTTTGAAACTAGACAATCTAACATTACACCTCAAGGAACTAGAAAAAGAATGACCATATAAATCCGAAGTTGGTAGAAGGAAGGAAATAACAGAGATCAGAGGACAAATAATTGAAACAGACACAAGAAAAACAATAGAAAATGTCAACAAAACTAAGAGTCGCTTTTTTGAAAAAATAAACTCAACAAAGCTTTAGCTAGACTAATCAAGAGAGAAGAGAGAAAACTAAATAAATACAGTCAGAAATGAAAGGCATTACAACAGTTGCCATAAAAATACAAAGATTCTAGGAGACTACTGTGAAAATGTATATTCCAATAAATCAGATATCTAAAAGAAATGAACAAATTCCTGGAAACATAAAACCAACCAAAACTGAATCATGAAGAGATAGAAAATCTGAACAGAACAATAACACATAAGAAGATTGAATCAGTAATCACAAACCTTCAAAAATAAAAGTGCAAGACCAGATGCCTTCATTGCTGAATCTACCAAACATTTAAAGAAGAATTAATATCAAACCTTTTCAAACTCTTCTAAAAAAATTGAAGAAGAGAAACATCCTATCTCATTTTATGAGGTCGGAATTACCCAATTACCAAAGCCAGGCAAAGATACTACATGAAAAAAAAATTACAGACTAATATCTCTGATTAACACAGATGCAAAAAATCTTTCACAAAATACCAGCAAACCAAATTCCACAGTACATTAGAAAGATCATAAACCATTATCAAATAGGGTTTTTCCCTAGGGTATAAATATTATTCAATGTACACGAATTGTTAAATAAAATACACCACATGAATAGAATAAATAAAAGTCATATGATCATCTCAACATATGCATAAAAAGCGTTTGATTTTGTAATCTGCAACTCTACTGAATTCCTTTGTCTGTTATAAAAGTTATTGTTTGGTGGGGTCTTTAAGGTTTCAATAGATAAAATCATGTTATCTGCAAACAGACACAATTTCACTTTTTTTCTTTTCTATTTAGGTGACTTTTTTTTTCTCTTTCTCTAGCCTAATTGCTTTGTCTTAGATTTCCATTCCTGTGTTCAACAGAAATGGCAAGAGTGAACATCCTTGTCTTGTTTGATCTTAGAGGAAAACCTTGTAGTTTTTTTTTTTTTTTTTTTTTTGAGACGGAGTCTCGCTCTGTCGCCCAGGCTGGAGTGCAGTGGCGGGATCTCGGCTCACTGCAAGCTCCGCCTCCCGGGTTCACGCCATTCTCCTGCCTCAGCCTCCCAAGTAGCTGGGACTACAGGCGCCCGCCACTACGCCCGGCTAATTTTTTGTATTTTTAGTAGAGACGGGGTTTCACCGTTTTAGCCGGGATGGTCTCGATCTCCTGACCTCGTGATCCGCCCGCCTCGGCCTCCCAAAAACCTTGTAGTTTTACACCATCTAGTATAACGTTAGCTGTGGGCTTTCATATGTGGTATTATTGTGTTGAGGCCACACTCCTTCTATACCTAATTTGTGAGAATTTTTATCATGAAAGTATGTTAAATTTTGTCAAATGCTTTTTCTGCATCTATTAAGATGGGTATTTTTAAAGAGACAGAAAATAACAAGTGTTGACAAAGATGTTTAGAAAAGAGAATCTTTACTGTTGATGGGAATGTAAATTGTTAGAGCCATTATAAAAATACTACAAAGAGGGCTGGGCCCGGTGGCTCATGCCTTTAATCCCAGCACTTTGGGAGGCTGAGGTGGGCACATCACGAGGTCAGGAGTTTGAGACCAGCCTGGCCAGCATGGTTAAATCCTGTCTCTACTAAAAATACAAAAAATTCGCCCGGCATGGTGGTGTGCGCCTGTAATCCCAGCTACTCGAGAGGCTGAGGCCGGAAAATAGCTTGAACTTGGGAGGTGGAAGTTGCAAGTTGCAGTGAGCTAAGCTGAGATTGTGTCACTGTACTCCAGCCTGGGTGACAAGAGTGAGACTCTGTCTCAAAAAAAAAAAAAAAAAAAAAAAAAAAAAGAAAAGGAAAAACATACTATGAAGATTTCATAAAACATTAAAAATAGAACTACCATATGATCTTGTAATCCCCCTTTTTGGTACATATCTGAAAGAAATAAAATAACTATCATAAAAATACATTTAGACTCTCATGTTCATTGTGGCATAATTCATAATAGTCAAAATATGCAAACAATCTAAGTGTCCATTGACAGATTAATAGGTAAAGAAAATGTGGTATACATAGATAATGAAAATGTTATTTTGTCTTAAAATACAAGGAAACCATGCTATTCATGGCTACATGTATTAACCTAGAAGGTATTGTGCTAACTGAAACAAACCAGACGTGGAAAGCTAACTACTGCATGATCTTACTTATATGCAGAATTTAAGAAAGTTAAACTCATAGAAGCAGAGAGTACAATGATGGTTACCAGGGCCTGGGGTATGCTGGAAAAGGAGGAATATTGTTCAAACAGTACAAATTTTCAATTTAACATGAATAAATTATGCAGACCTATGGTACAACATGGTGACTAGCGTTAATAGTAATATATAGTATGCTTGAAATTTCCTTGGGGAGTGGATTTCAAGTATTTTCACCACGAAAAAAGGTAAATATGTGTGATGATGGATATTTTAATTAGCATGATTGTGGTAATTATTTCTTAATGTATAAGTATATGAAAACATCACCTGTGTACTGTATATATATATATAATTTTTATTTATCAATCATACCTCAATAAATCTGGATTAAAAAAGACAAGCTGATGTCAAAAAAATTAACAGACTGTAATTACACATAAGGTATTGTACATATTCTCTATATGATTAACATTATCTTACATGTCCTGTCTCTTTCTACCTTCCTAGAACATGCTATTCATGCCATACGTTAGTTAAATAAAACTTAAGTTTATTAGTGGGACACTGAAGAATCCCTCCTGATAGAAAGAGAGGACATGTTCTGGGGTGGATTCAGAAGTAAGCATGAAAAAGTAGTTACTGTGAAACCACAGTTCAGAGAACTATCAATGGAATATCATTTTTGAGTAGTTAAAATGGTTGGTTGGGCCAGGCACAGTGGCTCATGCCTGTAATCCCAGAGTTTGGGAGGCTGAGGCAGGTGATCACCTGAGGACAGGAGTTCAAGACCAGCCCGGCCAGTATGGTGAAACCACGTCTCTACTAAAAATACAAAAATTAGCTGGGCATGGTGGTGCATGCCTGTAGTCCCAACTACTCAGGAGGCTGAGGCACGAGAATCACTTGAACCCAGGAGGCAGAGGTTGGAGTGAGCCAAGATCATGCTATTGCATTAGCCTGGGTGACAGTGTGAGACTCTGTCTCAAAAACAAAACAAAACAAATCAAAACAATATTGGTTGGGAAACACTACAGGATCTTTGTGCCACTGAAAATATTGTTCGAGAAAATGTAGCCTGACAGACTGTATAGTACTGAATATAGTTTCAGAGCATTTAGTTTTAGAAATTAAGTACTGTCTTCTAAAAAAATAAAATTATAGGCATGTGGGGGTAGTATTAATATTTCTTTACAGTGAACTCAGGCCAAGACATAATTATTTTCCTCCCTAAGACTTTCTCACTGTCAAATGATAAACTTTATGTACACAACGTGCTTTTCAATGCCATCTTCACACACCCTCTGTGAATGTGGGACCATGCCAGATTTTTACATCAGAATGTTGGTAAATCCTCCACACTATTGCAGTGCATATTTCTCTTTCTTGGCAACAAAACTTGGTGTCAAAAACAGAATAAAATAATTAGAGATTTTCTAAGATTTAAACAAAGATCCACATCAATTTAAATTTTGAATAGGAATCATTAGCTTTATTAGTTGAGTTTTTCCCATGTATATACTAAATCCAGATTACAGCATATCAATTTTGGAAAAGATGTATTAACAGATGACATTTAAACATGCAGTTTGTTAACGAATATTTCAAAAGTGTGTGTTCTTCTGAAATAGTTAAGTTAAACTCTATCTTTCAAACTAAAAAGTTACCATTTTATTTTATTAACAAATTGTATTGTATAATTATCTGAGAATCCTTACACTATATTGAAAATGATTTTAAATAACTACCTCCATTAAGAACATATTTGAAATAACACTAGCAATTGTATAGCACTTATATGATATAAATAGGAATATAATTACTTCTTATATCAGAAAAATGATACTGAATTTCTTTGGAAATATTTGAGAAATAGATTTCTGTTATTAATTTTACACTGAATAGATTTAAGCAGAAACGATTGCTAAACTTTGGACAGTAAGAGTATTATAAGTACAGATTCTTATGATGTAACACATGGGAAATTACACAATTCTCATAAAACAAAATGCAGAAATTCAGTAGTAACTTATTGTCTCAAGAGGAGTTATACTTGAATTATGTTTGTCCTTCTGCAGTATCAGGTCAGTTGAACAAAATATGGCATTAATCAAGGTATGGTAGTGGTACATGCAATCTCTACTGATGCCATTTTAATTCCTATTTCATGTCATAAATTTTAACTTCCAATTTAGGGAGCTTACAAATATGTTCCATTAGCCATGCGGAAGAAGCAGTGGGGTCAACACAAAACTGATTCTTAAAAATATGCCAAAATACATGTGTTCTGGGTTATTAGTGATACCTTCAAAATTTAAATATAGAAGTAGCTTAGTGTAACTACCTAATATAGAACTGTTACTTCATTCCAATTCACTTCCTTATCTAAGTCAAAAGCTAGCCGTGAGTTGTAGAAAATGTTTTAAATCCTTGATGTGGAAACAACACATTTACATGAGTGCCTACTCAGGCAAGGCAGCAATAGAAACTATTGCTTCTTAAAATGGTTTTATATTGAAGTGTGATTGTTATGTCTGTTGGTTGTCTTTGTTAGTTTTACCATACATCTTATAATGCCTTGGTTAAAACACATTAAAGTCCAAGATGCAATTTTAAAAGCAGGATAAATATGCATTGTAATATAGAAACTCAGTAATTAAACAAAACTCTAGCAATCTTATGATAATTTGTCAATATTATTGCTTTATATGGAATGCATACAGTATAGAGAATATAGAAACTACATGTGCAGTGCCTGTCAAGCACTCATTACTCTTATTTTTACAATATCACTGCAGGTTAAGTGTTATCAGTTCCATTTTCCAATTAGAGAAATTTAAGCGTCTTGTTTGGTTCAAATGGTACTAAAACCTTATAAATATCTTGCTCTAATATATATTGAATGAAGGTATGTGCAAAGAAATGTATATGTAAAACCTGCTAAGAGAATGTTGTGTTTATTTGTAACACTGGAATTACTTATACTTATTTATGCATTTATGCCATTAATTTTAAATTATAAATGTGTAGGAAAACCTGTCTTTCAGGTATGAGTCTTCACTTGGTTCCTTAGCTATCACAATAGTGTTTAAATTTTGACCACTATTTGCTTACTGTGAAAACATATGGGACTTTCTGAATTATCAACACAGAATTTCAGCTATCAATACAGAATTTCAGCTCTGTGAATATTTACTATATCAGAGAAAATGGAATTTATTGATGCTAAAGCTTTATCAAAAGCTCAAAGGTCAAGCCCCCGAACAGAAAGCTTTACCCTTGGATATGGCCAATTAATTGCAAAATTATGTACATGGATACACTGCCCTGATCCCTCATAAAATTTCCTCTGCTAAAGTGTGTTACCAGGAGAGTGCTATTAAAACAGTGCTATGAGAGTTGTTTTATTTATGATTGGAATATTGTTGATGATAGTGTTTAATGCATCAGAATGTATTGTCTTATGAAGATGCAGGAGACAAAATTCACTCAGTCTTAGAAACTAGAATGGTTAGAAATCCCTAACTTTTTCTTGACTTTGAACACTACAAATCAAATAACTGAGAATCTTTTACCCTTGACAGTGATTTCTAGAATGCTCAGGACAAATTCGTGGCCCAATTCTAAGAAGTGTGCGGGATCTTATGGCACACACTACATCCCTGGCTTCATTTTATTTATCTTACCACTAATGCTCTTTGCTGCTGTTTCTACAGTTATTTACATTATTGTGCTGCTTGTGTTTTTGAGCTGCTTTTATATCTCATAAATATGACTTTACTCAGATTCATTCTACAGAAAATTTGAGGCAGTTTTCTTATAATTTAATATATTAAATTTATCAAAAGATTATAACACAGGAATATATTACCATGGGAAATAATAGTGTGAGTTAAGCCAATATACAGAGGTGAGTAAAATACAGTTTTTAGAAGTGGGCTACACATTTGGTTCAGTAGTTTTTTGTGGCCAAAGCAAAGAAGGCATATGATTAGTTACAAAATTTACATTGTCAACCAAGGGAGATACCTTTTTTTTTAAGACCATATTGTTTCCAAAAATGTCATTTTCCCTTAAAACTTAAGTTTTAAACTTGTTTCTTTTCAGAAATACATTATAATAATATTCAACTCTATTTTTATATAACGATAGTGTTTACTACTGAATCAAGTGAGCCAATAGTATTGTGTGTAACAGAATGTCATTCCTTTTTCTGTGGAAGAAAGAGCTGAAGAGAGTAATTACTAGCAATGATTTTATGCAAAATAATCAAAATAACTTCCACATGCTAATAAAATTTAATACAAAAAATACTAAGAGAAGATATTGGGAATGTCTTGTTTTGTAATTACAAAGTAAATTGCAGATAATTATTTTTCTGTAATGGTCAAATTGCCTCTTATTCAAGGAATATAAAGCATCTGTTTTTTTTCAGTGCTTATAAGCCTCATAAGTACACATTAAGACCTTACTTTGCAAAGAGTTTTGTTAATGCTGCAAGGTCTAAAATAATGACATTGTCCAGAAAATTTAGTGCTACTCTTCATCTTCAATGCCTTCCTACTCCTCATTCCAAGTTTGAAAATGAATATACCTCAGATTCATGAGCATATGGGAATTTGGCATTTAAAATATGTGGGGAAGTGTGGACTACTTAAAAAGTAATTTGGAGAAAATTAGTATTAGCAAAAAAAAATTAAGTTATATTCCCACTTCTTATCATTCACTCCTTTAACTAATACAGTATATCTCTACCCCTAACCTATCTCTGTCTCATCTCTTATTTTTCTGTATTTTGCTTATAGTGTTCATCTTTACATAGTATAATATTTATATGTTTGTTTTTAAGTTTATTGTCTATAGTTTCCCAATAGAATACAAGTCTGTGGAAAAAGGGAGGGTTTTCATTCTTCCAGAAAATGGTCTAGATAATGTAGTTGAGCATGCTAGATATGATACATAAGATTTACTCCTATTGTTTGTGCTCTTGTTTGTGTTTATTATTCCCCCAAACTCCTTACTTCCAGAATTCCAATCAGCAAGAGAAAAGAGTCTAATACTGAAATAGGATCATTTCCTTTACCCTTTCATGGGACTCGCAAAAGGGTTGGCTCATTTACTCAGCCTGTAGTGCAGTGCTCAGACCCTCATGGCATGGAGAGTATGCAGGGGAGTGGGTGCAGGGTCCAGGATGAGCGCTTCTGGGCAACCAGCATGAACAGAACTCCTTGTGGGCCCGCAGTGGTGTCTAGGGGTTGCCTGTGACCCCTGAAGCCCCAGAGGGCTTGTATTGCAGTATGATCTCTTAGCTTTGCCATCCATGGAAGGCTTAAGTGTTACACAGCTCAGCGGAGGGTCAGTGTGACCACTTCTTGCACCTGTCCTTGTCCGGCATCCAGGAAGAATCAGGTCGTGTGAACGAATTGAAAGGGTGGTGAATGTGGAGTATTTTATTGAGTGGTGGGAAGTTGCTGTCAGTGGGATGGGGAGCTGTAAAGGAGATGGAGTGAGAAAGTGGTCTTCCCCTGGCCAGGAACAGCCAAACTATTCTCCAAGGTCCCACTATCAAGCTGTTCCTCTGAAGTCAAGCTGCTTCTCTCTGATGTCTGGTTGCTTCTTTTCTCTCTTTCTCTGCTGCTCTGATGCTCTGCTAGTGGAGCCTGGGGTTTTTATGGGTACAGGACAGGGGGCGACACAGGCCAGGGTGGTTTGGGAGAGGCAACATTTGTGTAAGAAAACAGGAATGCATGTTCTCACTTTGGGCTGCGGGTCCAGGCTTGAGGGTGGCGCCCTCATCAGGGACTCTGCCCTTTTCTACCTAGTATTTCCTGCCTCCTGTCCATGTCAATACCTAGAAAGGAAATCCCATCAAACTAATAGTTGTTTTGTCACCAGAAACATTATGAGCCAGTAAAGAATGGGGTCCTACTTTCAAACTTCTTAAAGAAGAAAAAAACTGCCAACCATGAATTTTGTCTACTGCTAAACTAAGCTTCATAAATAAAGGAAAAATAAAGCATTTTCCAGACAAAGCAAACACTAAGGGAATCGGTCACTACTGGACTTGCCTATAAGAAATGCTCAAGGGAGTTCTAAATATGGAAATAAAACATCTATAGCTGCCATGATAAAAACAGATGAAAGTATGAAACTCACAGGTCTTATAAAACAATTACACAATTGTGAGTACAAAGCAACTAGTTAACAACATTATGAGAGGAAAAAAACTTTATGTATTAATATTGACTTTGAACACAAATAAATTAAATGTTCCACTCCAAAAATATAGATTGGCAGAGTAAATTTTAAAATTGTCACAAAAACAAAACCACGCATATCAATGTTAACTTTGAATGTAAATGAATTAAATGTTCAACTTAAAATATACATATTGGAATAATGAATAAAAAAAAAAAAAACAGGATCCAACCATAGGCTTCTTAAAAGAAATCCATCACACTAATAAAGACACTTATAGACTTAAGGCAGAAGAGTGGGAAAATGTATTTCATATGAACAGAAACAAAAAGGGAGAGGAGTGTCTGTACTTACATCAGATAGACAGACTTTAAATCAACAATGTAAAATAAGAAAAGGGAGGTCATTATATAATGATAAAGGGATCAATTGAACCAGAAGATGTAACAATTCTAAATATGTATACACACACCCAACACCAGAGCAGCCAGATTCATAAAACAAATATTACTAGATATAAAAAAGGAGATAGCAATATATTATAGTGGAGACTTTCAACATTTCACAGACAGCAGTAGACATCATCAAGACAGAAACATAAAGAACGAAACACTAGGCTTAAGTAGACCGTAGATCAAGTAGACCTAACAGACATTTACAAAACATTCTACCCAACAAGTGCTTAACATACACTCTTTTTTAAGATTGACTGTATGTTAGGTAACAAAAAACTCAATAAATTTTAAAAAGTGGAAATCATATCAAATGTCTTTTCATGCCACAGTGGAATAAAACTTGAAATCAATTCAAAGAAGTCTTGAAGCTATACAAACACATAGAAATTAAAAAACCTGCTTCTGAAAAATCTTTAGGTCAATAATGAAATTAAGATGGATTTTAAAAAATAATCTGAAACATGAAAACAGAGCTACAATGGTCCCCAAACCTCTGGGATACAGCAAAAGCAGCATTAAAAGGAATTTTGTAGTGTTAAATGCCTACATAAAAAGGATAAAAAGACCACAAATTCACAAACTAATGTTGCACCTCAAGGAACTAGAAAAACAAGAACAAACCTACTTCGAGCTTGCAGAAGAAAAGAAAAAGATCAGAGCAGAACTAAATGAAATTGAGCAAAGGAATAAAAAGCATCAACATAATTAAAAGTTTATTCTCTGAAAAGGTAAACAAAATCAACAGACTTCCAGCTAGAATAACCAAGGAAAGAATGAAGATTCATGTAAGTACAATCAGAAATGAAAAAGGAGACATTACAACTGATATCACAGAAATACAATAAATCATCAGAGACTGCTATGAACATCCGTATGCCCACAAGGTAGAAAACCTAGAGGAAATGGATACATTTCTGGAAACATATAACCCCCTAAGACTGAACTGGAAGAAATAGATATCCTTAACAGATGCATAATAAGTAGAGAGATTTGATCAGTAGTAAGAAATCCACCCTCCACTCCCAGAACAAACCCAGGACCAGATGGATTCACAGTCAAATTCTACCAAATGCATAAAGAAGGACTGGGACCAATCCTAAAAATTAAGGAGGAAGGACTACTCTTTAACTCAATCTGCTCAGCCAGTATCATCCTAATATCAAAGTCAGGCAAGGACACAGCAACAACAAAAAAGAAACTATAGATGAATATCTTTGATAAAAATAGACGCAAAAATTCTCAACAGAATACTAGCACATGAATCTAACAGCTCATCAAAAAGACAATATGCCAAAATCAAGTGGGTTTTATTCTAGGCCTACTAGGGTAGTTCAAAAATACACAAATCAATAAATGTAATCCATTCACCACGTGAACAGAATTAAAAAACAAAAACCATAAAATCATCTCAATAAACTTAGAGAAAAGCATTTATTAAAATTTCCTATTGATAAAAAATCCTCAATAAACTAGGTATACAGAAAATACCTCAAAATAATAAAAGCCAATTATGAAAAACACAACCAACATTATATTTAATGGGGAAAAGATGAAAGCATTCCCCCTAAGAATTGGAACAAGACAAAAACGCACATTTTCATCATGGCCATTCAACATAGTACTACAAGTCCTAGCCAGAGCAATCAGGCAAGAAAAAGAAATGAAAGGCATCCAAATTGGAAAAAAGGAAGTCAAATTATTTCTGTTTGCTGATGATATGGTACCATAATTAGAAAACCCTAAAGACTCCCCCCAAAAGACTTTTCTAGATTTGATAAATAAATTCAATAGCATTTCAGGATATAAAATCAACATCTAAACATCTGTAGCACTTCTATACACTAATAATGAACAAACTGAGAACAAAATCAAGAGCTCAATCTCATTTATAATAGCTACAAAAAATTACCATACCAAGAAACACATTTAACCAAGTAAGTGAAAGATCTCTGTGATAAAAACTACAATACAACTGATGAAAGAAATCATAGACAACACAAATGGAAAAAACATCCCATGCTCATGTATTAGAAGAGTTAATATTAAAATGATGATGCTGCCCAAAGCATTTTGCAGATTCAATGCAATTACTATCGAATTGCTAATGTCAGTTTTCACAGAATTAGAAAGAAAATCTTAAAATTCACACAGAACCAAAAAACAACCTAAATAGCCAAAGCAATGCTAAGCAAAAATAAATATTCTGGAGGCATCATATTACCTGACTTCAAATTATACTACAAGGTTATGGTAACCAAAACATTATGGTTCTGGTATAAAAATAGACATACAGATCAAGGGAACATAATGGGGACCCAGAAATAAGCCAGTCAACTTATCTTTGACAAAGTCAGCAAACTCATACACTGGGGAAGGAACATTCTATTCAACAAATGGTGCTGGGAAAACTGGATAGTCATACGCAGAAGAATGAAACTGATCCATGTCTCTCATCGTGTACAAACATTAACTCAAGATGGGTTAAAGACTTAAATGTAAGACCTGAAACTATAAAAATCTTAGAAGAAAACCTAGGAAAAACTCTTCTGGGCATTGGCCTAGACACAGAATTTAGGATTAAGACATCAAAAGCAAATGCAACAGGACCTAAAATAGACAAATGGGACTTAAGTAAACTTAAAAGCTTCTGCACATCAAAATAAATAATCAACAGGGTAAAAAGACAGAATGGTAGAAAATATTGCAAAGTGTGCATCCAACAAAGAACTAATATCCAGAATCTTCAAGAAACTCAAACAACTCAATAAGAAAAAAATCAATTTCATTAAAAGGTGAGCAAAGACAGGAACAGATATTTTGCAAAAGAAGACATATATTGAATAACAAGCATATGAAAAAATGTTTATCATCACCAATCACCAGGGAAATGCAATTAAAACCACAATGAGATATCACTTTACACCAGTCAGAATGGGTATTAGTAAAAATTTAAAAAGCAGCAAATGTTGGCAAGGATGTAGAGAAAAGGAAACATTACTATTGCTGTTGATGAGAATGTAAATTAGTACTACTTATATGGAAAACAGTATGGAAATGTGTTAGAGCACTAAAAATAGAGCTACCATGAGATCCAGCAATCCCACTACTGGGCATCTACCCAAAGGAAAGGAAATCAATATATCCAAAAGATAATTGCACTCACATATTTATCACAGCACTATTCATAATTGCAAAGACACGGAATCAACTTTAGTATCCACCAATGAATGGATGATTGGATAAAGAAAATGTGGTATGTGTATACCTATATACATACCAAGGAATACTACTCAGCCATAAAAAAGAATAAAATATGTCTTTTGCAGCAACATGGATGGAACTGGAGGCCGTTATCTTAAGTGAAATAACTCAGAAACAGTCCAATACTGAATGTTCTCACTGACAAGTGGGAGATAAATAATGTGTACACATAGATATACAGAATAAAACAATAGATATTGGATACTCAGAAAAGTGGGAGGATGGGAGAAGGTGAGAGATGAGAAATTATCTAGTAGGTACAATGTATTCTATTTGGGTAATGGTTACAATAAAAGCCCAGATCTCACTACTATGCATTATATCCATGTAATGCAACTACATTTTGCACCCTCAATCTATAAAGATAAGAAATATAAAAATAAATAAAACTAAAAACAATTATTTGGGCCAGGCATGGTGGTTTATGCCTGTAATCCCGGCACTTTGGGAGGCTGACACAGGCAGATCACTTGAGGTTAGGAGTTTGAGACCAGCCTGGCCAACATGGTGAAACCCCGTGTCTACTAAAAATACAAAAATTCACTGGGCATGGTGGTGTGCACCTTTAATCCCAGCTACTCAACTTGGGAGTCTGACACAGTGGAATCGCTTGAATCTGGGAGGCGGAGGTTGCGGTGAGCCAAGACTACACCATTGCACTCCAGCCTGGGTGACAGAGCAAGACTCTATCTAAAATAAATAAATAAATAAATAATTATTTGGATGCTCCAGGAGAAAAGGTTGCCCCTTACTCTTTCAATGTCAGGAACCAATCAATCTCGTAGGTATACAGACTTTAGTGAAAAAGAATAGAAATCAACCTGTCAAACTTCTTTCTTATCTGCTTGCACACAACAGAGAGAGTTCATTTCAACTTCATCGCCCTTTTGCAGCATTTTGGGATATAAATCATATTTGTTCTTGTTTTCTTGTCTCCTTTCATTAAAAATACTTACCTAAACCTGCCTCTGTGAAACCCGAAACACCAGTTCATGTTCTGTCCCTAATATTGCATGGATTGTGTGGTCCACTTCTCACTTTGCTTTTGGCTTTATGAACATGGTTCTTCACATACTCGAACTAACTTAAATCACGTTTTATGAAAACCTAGTCCTATTCTCCTTCAAACTGCCAGTACATACCATTTACTGTGAAACTTCCACTTCCCATGATAGCGTAACAAGATAATAAAGATGTGCAAAATGCCTTTCTCTTGCCGTATTAGTCTCGTGCAGGTTCAGACTTAATGTATGGTTATCTAATCTGATTTTGGACTATCACGCTTTCATTTGGACATTCTGATTCTAACTTAACATAGGTTGCTAGTGGTTTCCTAAAGTTACTGAACTAGACACTTGTGAAAGATTTTGCTTGGGTTTCATCCATCACTACAATCTCATCCTGATTTTGTAAATAGCACAATCACCACCTTCTGGGCTAAATATTCTCTACAGGCTTTCTTTGTTCAAAGCAGGAAGATTTTCATTGGCCCCAGTGTCTTCTGATCTTGCTGCTGGAGAGCCTGCTCCACAGACCACTCAAGCACTTTTCTCCCATTGGCAGATAGGGGAAGGACATGTCTTCATGCAGTTACTGCTAGTCAAACAAATTCCAGAAATATGTCTATTCCTACATTCATTAAACGTACTTACAACCTACTTGTCTCCGAAAACCACACAGGGCTCTGTAACCATTTAAAATCAAGGCTCAATGATGCCACAGAGCTCAGATTTGAGTACTATACTCACAAGCCTACATACTCTTAAATGACAAGCTAGTGACAGCCATTCTTTGTAGGTTTGGTTTTAGATGACACCCCATTTAGTACAATTTTAGTATTTACTGAAAATATATATTTGGAAGTTGCAATTGTATAACAAATATGCATTTAACATTTAAAAAGACCAAACAAATGGTTGTTTCCCACCACTTTAAACCTGCTTTACCCCAATGTTCCCCATGTTGGTAACATGGAGCATCCAGTTGCTCAAGCCTAAAATATTATGTATTTTAAGGCTTCTTTTCCTTTACTCTCGCATTTAATTAGTTAATTTGCTTCCTTTCTCTACTCTTCTCACTTTAGTGCTTGGATCACTGTCATTTCTTTCTGAGATTTTGCTGAGCCTTTGGCCTGGACTTCCCACCTTTGACCCTGCCAGTCTCTCATAATGATGATCCGTATAAGTCTATGTGTGTGTGTGTGTCTGTGTATGTGGTAATGGGGGCTGGGTTGAGAAAGAAATTGGTTAGGAAACTTTAACTTTTAGGTTGAGCTTCAAAAAGTTTGGATCGGAGACTTCTTCTTAAAAATTGTAAAATTTGACTACACTGGATCCATCTTCCCACATTGCCATAGGGTATGTGCTTTTTAGGTTGCCAATGTGTCAAGTCTTCCCTGTGGTATCCTAACCCTGAAAACAGGCTTCAGTTGCCCATTTTCATCCTTTATATTTATGCTGCTGCTTTTCTCCTGGTAAAAGAGGGAAAAAAATGTGCTTCCTGTATACACAATTTCTATCAAAAAATAAAAAATATAAATATATCTTATGCATAGGATTATCAACTGAAGTCATGTATACATTTGGAAGTGTAGAATATTTCCACATATTTAATACTGAAGGTTAAAGCATCCATAGTTGAAATAATAAAATTTAACGTGCCATTGTAATACCTGGGTTGTAGAAAATTGAGGACAGAACTACTTCTTCAATAATAATCCTTTATTTACAATAAAGATGCACATAATGCCTTAAAGTTTAAAAAAGACCATTAAATATAATATCTCATTAGATACTCATGACTCTACTAAGCAGAAAAAAAGGGAAGCTGATTTATGAAAGTGGACACAGTTAATGATGAAGCAGTGAATGTATCTTGGTCTTATGACTCTAAGACATCAACATTTTCTAATCGAGGACATAAACATCCTATAACCTCTCAGTTATAAATTGACTTAACATGCCTATCTCATTTGCTTCTCATATGCACAATATTGATAACTCAATGCTTCCTTATCAAGGGATATGACTGTATGTCCCATAGATCATAGCCCTTTAACTTGAAGGGGATAGTCTGGTTTAATGAAGAGAATGCAATCCAGGGTTGACATTCAATTCTGACATCTACCATTTTCTGTAGGAACTAAAGCATGATATAGTTTCACAAATTAAATTTATTTTGCATATTATAGAGAGGAATAAACTTACCTATGGCATTACTGCTTTCTATGCTATAATCCAGGGGTTCCCAACCTCTGGGCCATGGACCAGTAGTTGTCTGTGGCCTGTTAAGAAGCCTGCCATACAGCAGAAGGTGACTGACAGGCAAGCAAACAAAGCTTCATCTGTATTTACAGTCCCTCCCCATGGCCCGCATTACTGCCTGAGCTCTGCCCTGTCAGATCAGCAGTGGCGTTAGATTCTCAGAGCAGTGTGAACCCTATTGTGAACTACACGTGCAGGGATCTACGTTACATGCTCCTTATGAGAATCTAATGCCTGATGATCTGCCACGGTCTCCCATCACCCCACAGTGGGACTGTCTAGTTGGAGGAAAACTGCTGTTTTTCTAAGAGGAAAAAAAAAGTGCTTCTTGTATACACACATCACTATCATATCACATCAGTGTAGTCAAATTTTACAATCATGGCTCCTGCTGATTCTACATTATAGTAACTTGTATAATTATTTCATTATATATTAAAATGTAATAATATAAATAAAGTGCACAATAAATGTAATGCACTTGAATCATCCCCAAACCATCCTCTCCTCCACACTGGTCTGCAGAAAAATTGTCTTCCACAAAACCAGTCCCTGATGCCAAAAAGGTTGGGGACCACTGCTCCAATCAACTGTTCATTAAAGTCAAACTTTAGGTACATACTGTAGTTGTACATTCTTTATTTCATTATTTGTTGAAAACATAATTTGAATTTTAAATTTTTATTCTCACTATATTTATGTGGAGAAATCAAAGGACACCTCAAGTTGAGGTTTAGGTCCAGAAACTCATTGGCCAATTTATGGAACTTATTTTGGAGAACTAGTGCTACAGATAATTTAAAAGTATTATAGTAATTACCAAAGAGGATGGTGGAATTGAGGGAAGGGTAGACAAAGTTGTAGCACAGAATTAAAAACATCTGGATTTATAACAGCTATATTTTAAAAAACAAAAAGCTACGCATATGATCCATAATTTTAAAAGTGATTTAAAAAGTTAATCATTGACTAGAACAAATGTATTTTTTATCCTCACACATCAAACTGAATTTGAGAATAGAGTATTAAATTCACTCTGGAACTCTCCTAAAGTGACTAATTTGAAAGGCTATGGTGAGCAATTAAAATTGCATTTTTGTTTTTCAAATCTGTAACTTGAGATGTCATTATGTGTTTACAGTTTCTTTCCAAACTTAGATATGTCAATTTACTGTTATTTTTCTTCTGTTATCTAAAAATGCAAATAGGCTAGATACATTAAGAAAAACCTCTTTGAAGTAAGGGGAAAAAAACAACATTTTTTAAAGCAGATTTTGATTGAATATAGCCTTTGCTCATTTGGCAAAGTACATTCTTAGGAATATTTGTTTTTCTCAAACCCATTTGAAAATGCTACCTTGAAGACTGATATTATAGGAGAAGCACTTTCTGAGTTGACAAGCCTCCACTATCCCTTCTCACTAAACACTCTACTTTTTATTTCTTGCTATGACAATAGTGTTAAGATCTCCAAGGTAGTGTTTAGGCTGCTCTCAAACTGTTCTATTAATTTGGGAGCCTTAAATTTCTTTCTAAAGAAACTAAGTTGATAAGTCTTTTGAGCTTGAAAAGAACAGTGTTTCTTAGTTTCCACTGAATAATGCATAGATATGTTTTTGAAAGCATGCTGGGTTTATCTAATATTTCTGCAGTAATGGAAAATTTAGAAATTTTACATAAAGGAAAACCTAGCACTTGAATCTCTGGATTTCACTTTATATAATAATTGAAACACATAGAGACATGATCAAAGGCCAGAATACGGCAACCAGTGGCTAAGGGGCTTTTTGTTTTACCTAGATTCAAGGTTTCTTAATGACCTGTTCATAGTGTACATTAACAAACATGCTGGGGTCATTGTCATCCTAAGGCCACTGCATCAAACATGCACAATTGATCTGCTACCACACCCCAGTCCCACCGAGCATACAAAGGGAGGCTTGCCACCTTCCCAGGTTACAGGCCCAGAGCTATCTTCCCCTCTTCGCCACTCATAGGATTGTGCATTTCATGCAGGTGAGTTGCATAGCTTTAAATCCTCAAGAGACCTAGGGAGACAACCTCTCCAATCGGGCTAGGAACTTAAGACACCATTTTTCCAGACAAAAGTCTGCATACTTTCGACAAGCTGTACTAATCAATTATTAATATTTTTGTTCACTTGGTTTTTGAGTATTTACTTTCTTTTATTTATAAATAAAAATTTGAGGCAAATGAATTAAAAATGAACAATTATGTTAATTGCACAATTATTGATAATCATTACGTTTTAGGTTATTTTTCATATCCTTGTAACTATGTTATATATTTTATTTTATTTTATTTTGGGGGGACATTTTCAGATACAGAGCAAAAGTAGATGTGATTTTTAAGGCACAGTTGCCCTTAAAGTATCTTCCTTTTAGTGACTAGATATTGGAAGGAACGTAATTCTTCAGTAGGAATTAAGTACATTATCAGTACCCTTCACCACTAACCCTGGAGTATTAACTATGGCTAAAATCTCATAGTTTAAAGACTAATGATTCTATTCCATGATGAAAAAGGTACCACCTCTCCCATCTTATACATCCTCCATTATCAGGCTGCAAAGGGAGAAGAGCTGAAATTTCTGGAGCAAGTTGTATGCATGTTGGACATAGTCTATAGGAACAAAATATGGGAGATGCTGGTTTGAAGCTGATACGGCCATCGGTGTGACATTAACAAGTAAAACTAGGCAAAAGTACGTCTTAGCAGAACTGATTATTTTGAATTAACATTTGAAACAGAAAAATAAGTATAATTAACAAAGAGATAAAAAACGTGTTAGACTGGGCACAGTGGCTCACCCCTGAAATTCCAGCCTTTTGAGAGACTAAGGCAGGAGGACTGCTTGAGACCAGGAGTTCAAGACCAGCCAAGGCAACATAGAGAAAGAGAACATCATCTCTATGCATTTTTTTAAATTAGTCAAATGTGGTGGTGCACACCTGTAGACTCAGCTATTCAGGAGGCTAAGGTGAGTGGATTACTTGAGCCCAGGAGGCTGAGGCTGCTGTGAGATATGATCATGCCACTGCCTGAGTGTCAGAGTGAGATGATACCTCTTAAACTCTCTCTCTCTCTCTGTCTCTCTCTCTCTCACATACACACACACACATATCATATATTATATGCTAAATTTCAATAGGACAGACAGACAAGGCTGTGTTTATGTGTTGTTATTATATCAGGTGTTAGAATAAATCTAGGGGATATTTGAAACCATGCCCTCCCTTTTAATCTCTATACTTTTTGAACATATTGGAATAAAGTATAGTAACTGAAATAGATAAATTATTATTATTGAATAAACATCTTTTGCAAACACTGAACACCTCATGGCTACGATAAGATGCTCTAGTTATTATTCATGATATGAAACACCCAGATACTGTAGTGGAGATCCATGGTATCATTTTATGCTATGCAGAGAACAATATAACGAATAGAGTATTTAGTAGCAATTTTTAAAAACCTAAATACGAGTCACACACTGTTTTAATTCCATATAAGTTTAAATGTGTAATCTGACAATAGCCTATGTTTTTCATAATAATAACTTTCTACATTAGAATGAAAGATACCAGGAAGGTGAATTACTCTTCCTGTACCAGACATTCTGGTAGATAAATTATCACTATTTTTTGATAACTGAGTTTTACAACACTGTTTATAATCTTTTTTTTTGAGATAAAATTTTCAGTCATTGTCCCTTTAAAAGTGTTTTTCTAGCAGAACAAATTTATAAGTCTTATAAGTGAATAATGAAAAATAGCCCACAACTTTATTCAATAGTTGTGGTGTCCCAGAACTTGCGCGTCTATATATGAGACATAAAGTAATTGAAAAGAGAGAGAAACTTGTGCTGTAAATTCTCACATGATATGAGTTCAAACAGAAATTCTCAAATATGATTGCTATTACCTGCTCAAGTACTTTGCTAGAGGAAAAAGAAACAATACATAGTAGACAGACATCCAGTGTTGGATATTTTCATCTTCTGGCATTTCTTTGGAACAGAGCAGGTTTTTCTTAAATACACATATACACACATTACAATATATACACATATTGCACATACATACACATTTTAATACCTATACAGAAAATACATAGATACAAAAAATAATTATTATAAAAATCATTGCCAAATAGAGATTATAGCAGAGAATTTGTTGTTTTGGGTTCTCCTGTTTCTGATCAGAGAACATTGCCCTCCCCTTCTTTTTTCCTTGACTTTCTTATTTCTGTTATACTCTCCCTCCCTCAGATGGATAAAGAATGACTGGGTGGAGAAGGTGCAGGCACAGAAAATAGTTGGAGCCAGGAAATCTATGAGGTTAGATAGACTTTTCGTACTAATAAAGAAAATAAATTGTTCATTGAATTTTGTTTAGTTTTGAGCAGAGTGTATATTTAATTTTGTAAGTTAAGCATTTTTTGGCATGTCTGTCAATCTTAACTTGGCATTTTAGCCTTTACTTCACCAGAGCCATAATGCAGTATAATGGAGAGACAGATGTGATATTATCTACATTTCAATTTATATAAATTTTTACTATTTTTTTCTTTGTCAGTAGCAACCCTCTGGAGGGTTGAAATAGAAAGGAAATAGTGAAAGTAGTGTTTGCTGATAGCCCTGTTACTAACTGAACCTAAGCTGAGGTTTCGGTTTGCTATCCATGTTAATATCCCAGGAGAGTAAAGGAAATTGCGATTTTAAAAATTCCACAGGGACACAGTTCTAACAACACAAACTTTATAGTTTGTTCTTTATCAGTGAAAGATAATTTTTCAATTGTCTATGTAGTCTTATTAAATAAAAAAATTATATTATATTAGCCTATAAAGCTCATTTTGTGGCCTGAATATGGAGATGATTCTTAAAATTTTTTTTCCTCTTGTTTTATTTTTCTTGTTGCTCCAAAAAATATCAGTTATATTCCTTATGTTTCTTTATTTTGTTGTAGATATGGCTTATTTTAATGAAAAAAAAGAGAGTGACATTTGGATACAGCTTCTGTGATTCCAAAGTTGCAGTAGAAATAAACTGATGGCTAATAATAAGAAATGATGGTTGGGAAGTCCCCTAGCATAATGAGTGGATATCCAAATACCTGAGAGCTCTAGGTTGTTCTAACAATAAAGGGTATCATATTTTCACATCTTCTAGTGAGTAAGGAGGAGAGAAAGTTAATTTTCCACTGTCAACCTTCATACATTTTTTTACAATTCATTATTTATTATTAACCTTTCAGGTAAATTTACATATAAGGAAATGTACAGATTTTAGTTTACAACCTGATAAATTTTGTCAAATATATATACCCATAAATACACATAATATCAACACTCTGAGACATGAAATATATTCATCCTCTTACAAAATTCTCTTTTGTCCCTCTCTGTCTCGCTCAACTTCTGCTGACAAATTAGTGTTTTGATTTTTATCACTATAGATTAGTTATTCATAAACTAATCTTAAAACTATTATAAATACAATAATAGAATATAACAGAATAATAAACATTGTAGCCTTTTGTGTCTGGCTTCTTTCACTCAATATAATACTTTTGAAAATCCGTCTATATTGTTGTGTATATCAGTAATTCATTCTTTGGAGAATCCCAAGTGATCTCAATAAGCATTTCTAGTTCCATAAAGTGACATTGATATACATGGATGTCAAATATACAAGGAAATGCCTTTTGATAGATGTATATTTCCATATAACCATCACTCAAATCAAAGATTAAAAAAACTTTTCATCATTGCTAATAATTTTCTTGTGTTTCTTTTCAGTCATCCCCACCTCACTCTTCAGAAAACCATTGTTCTAATTTTTATCAAGATAAATACGTTTTGCCTATTTTACACTTAACATAAAGTCACATAGTATAAATATTTTAGTACTTCACTTCTTTTGCCCAGCATAATATTTTTTGATATAAATCAGTATTGTTGTGTGTACCTGTATATGATTGATTTTTACAGCTAAGTCATATTATATCATACAGACATACCATTCCTTTTTCTTAAATACTTCTCTTGGTGGACACTCAAGTTGTTTTTTGCTGTGACTACTACAAGTAAAGCTTTCACAGTTCTTTACGTACTTCTTTTTCGAAGATTTTTTTAAATTTTCATTTATTTATCTCTAAGTTATGGATGAGCCTAGTTCAATGAAACTGTTCTAGGCAATAGCAGTCCCCAATCCATTAAACCTTTCAGTCCTCATTCCTTTGTGGGGTGGTGCACATTAGCTTTTGAGATACTTTACAAAAATGAGATTAAGTTACTTCCCTTAATGAAAAAGCCATTCATTTAAAATTATGGATCCAGCCCAAATAATGGCTTTGAGTTTTCCTTCAAAAGAAACTTGCATAGGCATGGAAAGACGAAAATCAATTCGAGAAAAGGTTAGTTCATTTATTTCCTCTATTCTGTTATTTATTTGTTCAACAAATGTTTATAAAAACACTCTCTTTAAATAAAATACTATACTGGAAGATATATTGGAGTTGCAGTAACATTGTTTTATAATAATCAAAGATTATGTTTATACTATATTTATGAAATTTAAAACTAATTTTAAATAAGAAAATTGAGTGAAAATAGAAGTCACAATGGCTGGCAGGTATCATTTTGCTACATAACCTGATTGATGTTTTTTTGTTTGTTTTTGAGCGCATGTTTTAGATATATTTGTAGTCAGTATATGTTCTTTATTTAAATGGCTTTTCCAAGTCTCATTCCTCAAGTCAATTATTGAATCTTTTAATCCAAAGCAATTTTTATTATGTAAAATGTAAAGAATAACATTTTAAGTTATTCACTCTTTCCACTGTAGAAAGCAGCCAAATTTTTCCTTCATTTTATAATGAAGAATTTCTTGGTATGTAAATGCTATTTTCCTGGATCAAGGATATATATCAAAATTAAGAATGGTGACACTCTAACAATAATTCCTCTAATTTACATGTCTAACAAAGAAAACCATAGAAACACAGTAACACTTTCTGATTTTGTTTTGTTTTGGGTTTTTATCTTGAATTTACTAACTCTAGGGTTAGACTTCCAGCTAAGTGGTTGAACCATGCAGCTTGAGTCAGCAGGCTTCTCTTCCCCTTCTGTGGCCTGACATGATGATTTCTTAGCTGATATAATATCATAATACAGATATCAAAATAATGAATAGGGATAACCTATTTCTACAATACTGAACTCCCTCTTTGCAAAGCCATTTTGTTAGAATTAGATGTGGCAAGCTTGGCAGCATTCACTTTACTGGGTAACATTGACTCAGCCATATATATATATATATATTTTTTGCTTTCTTTTATGTGAATATTTAGCTGCCATCTATAGGATCTGAGAGTTTAAAATGATAGGACACAGGTATTATAAATGTATTTCTAGATCTTCCAATTATCCTATTGATATCTTCAAAAATAGTCACTTCTTTCTATAACCTTATAGCATCTCTTTGTGCGGTCAGATTTTCTTATGTTGTCAGTAAACAGGCTTATAAAAACATCAGGCAACTTATTTCAGATGTAAAACGAGATCCATAAAAATGAGTATTCTTTCCGAAGATTCTTTAAAGAATTCTGTTACTGTATTTTTTTAGATTGTTTCTTCTACCTGTCTCCAAATTTTCCAAAATTAGATTATTTATCATTATTCGAGGAAACTAAAGATGATCTAAAATTTATTTAATTTTACAGGTCAGTTTATCCTCTTATTAACCCAACTAGATTTTTGCTAAATATCTATAATGTACCCAAACTGAAATGTCCAAAATAGTGCCTAGGTCCAGCCTTCACATTTTCAATATCAAAAGTTAAGTTGAAATATTTGTTTATTGATTGGATTTTATCTCCATCTAGTGCCTACTTGTTTAACAGTTCCAAAATATCATCTTCATTTTTGACCTATGCATTAAATACAAAGGAGGTTTAAGATTTCCAAATATTGACTGACCTCACACAGATTCTGCACCTTCTACTGTTTTCCCTGCATACCCATATTCCAGGGTATTTTTTTTAGCATATAATTGTTTGGATATGATGTTGTCTGATTCATGGGTATTGCTTGTTTTTATTTTTGTGAATGAACAATAAAATAGCTGGTTTGAAAGGACACCTGTCAATATTTGCAAATATGTCTTCTTGGAGGTCATTTCTTTCATCTCTGAATTACTGGATATACACAATCTGGGGACTTTGCACATTTGAGAACCTGTTGGAATGGTTTTATTCTATTGCTGCTTCTAACAATGGTCCCTAAAGAATATAAGCCTCTGTGCTGGAAGACTACAAAAAACTAACTGTAGAGATGAGTAGTCGTTTTTCCTCATAATGATGAAGCAAAACAAAACAACATCATAATAGACCTAGAACAAATAAAGGCTATAAAGAAAACCAACACGTAAATCTACAGGGGCATAGAAATATGAAGAAAATAAGCCATTCCTACTGACAATAAAGATTATGCATATCAAGTTAACTGAATAACCCTGCTAAGCTAAAATAGTAACTTTTCTTGAAGAAACAACTCATTTATTTTTTTTCTGACAGTTTCAAATTAAACTTAGCTATTAATTTTAATTAATGGTCAGTTTGATATGTCTTTATTTTATAATAACTGTACGCTAATAGCAAACAAAATAACCATAATGGAGACCTCCAAAATAGTTTGAATTCAAATTTAGGAGGAAAAAAATAACTGAAGGTCACATATTTTTGGGAAATGAAGTAAGGTCAAGCCTACTTCCAACCATTTACTAGAAGTGGACTAAAGTGACTTAAAAGAAGCAGAATTGGAGATAAGATGATGCATTGGCTTCAGTTACTATTGAAATGGAATGAGTTGGAATAGTGCTAACCATTATGAGGAAAAAAAAGTATATCAAACACTGTATAGATAGAAAAAAATTGATAACGGATATCAGTAATTCACATATATTTCTTCTTTCTAAAAGAATCGGTTTTTTTGTTATTTTGGGGAGCAGTGTTTACCTACACATTTCACATAGGCCATTACTATGAATTAACTTTAAAAAGGTTTTATGTCATCCATAGAATGTATGGAAGGGTCCGGCATGGTGGCTCACACCCATAATCCCAGCACTTTGGAAGGCTGAGGCAGGTGGATCACTTGAGGTCAGGAGTTTGAGACCAGCCTGGCCAACATGGTGAAACCCCATCTCTACTAAAAATAAAAAATAAAAAATTAGCTGGGTGTGGTGGCGGGTGCCTGTAGTCCCAGCTACTTGGGAGGCTGAGGCAAAAGAATAACTTGAATCTGGGAGGCAGAGATTACAGTGAGCCGAGATTGCATCACTGCAGTACAGCCTGGGTGACAGAGCGAGACTCCATTTCAATGGAAAAAAAAAAAAAATTATGGAGGCACATAATTCATCAGAATAAGAGACAAAATGGAACATAAGTAGGAAAATTATGGCATGCAAGGTCTTAAGGTTAGCACTGAAATATTTAAAAATAAAAATAAGTTTAACTGTCACAATGATATGGTTACAAAAGTACAAAAATTAAATATAATTACTCAATGACCATATATAACAATAATATATGTATAATAGACATTTTATTCTCCAAGAAAAACTAGGAGTTTGCAGTAGAGGAATTATAAATGTGTGCCCTATTTCCCTAAAAGATAATATAAAACACAAAACACAAAGAAAAATATGGGAATATTGAGTAAAACCTTAAGTAAGCATTGCAGTTGAACACACACACAAAAATGACAAATATAAGATCAAACATAATTTTATTATAAGAAATGTAAATGGAGTAAAGCTGAGTATTTAAAATATAGGCCAAATTATAAGCACCTATAAATTACAAACTGTGCAAGAGAAACTTAAATATAAAAAGATAAAATATTAAAAACATTCTATTAATCCATAATTAGATCACTCTCAAACAACTAGGGGTTTTTATTTAACAATAAAAGTATAGGAAAAAATTGTAGAAACATGAGTTAATTAATGAAAACTATTTAACATGATTATTGTCGTATAGTAAGCACTCCTTATTCATGAACCATAATCTTGTAATACAACTGTGAATCAGAACTAGGGGAACTCAAATGTGGCTTTAATACTAGGAAATATATACCACATAATTAGATAGCACAAGACAATATTGTAAAAATGTTATTTATTTTAAAATTAATGTAAATATGCCATGTAATCACGATCAAATCCCTATGGATGTTTCAGCTATTTGTTTTTCTGAGGTTTGGGGGAATAAAATTACTCTTTATTCCTCCACTTAAACGTAATTAAGCACATGGATTAAATTGCAATGACAACTTTATTATTCAAATTATGAGGGCTGGATTCTAGAACTTGTCTTGTTTCTGAAAGTAAAATAGGATTGTGCACTCTTTCCTCTTAAACTGAATTTACTTATGTAGTTTCAAAGGGAAAATCTGGATAACTAAGGAGACATAAATTGAAGGAAGGAGGTCACAATGGAAGCAGAAAGCAAATCAAGTAGCAACTTACGGTTCATGGAATGAAAGATCTATTTTGTTTAGGTTTCAAGGGGAAAAAAATCAGACATTTTAAGTTGAGATTATATGATCTGATTTACACTAAATCACTTCTGCTTTCTTAGTGATAGAATACAGTGTGTGTTGTGGGGAGGCAGGCAGTGAAATAGGCCTGTAAGAAGGGGGTTGCAGTTGAATAAATGAGCTACATTTGTGGCTTTGGCTAGAATAACTGTAGTGGAGATAGTATCAGTGGTTCAATTGGAATATATCTCAGAGTTATAAACATCAGGGTTCAGTTACAGATTGGATTTGAGGAATGAGAGAGAGAGATTTAGGAAACTCCAAGTTTCACTGAATTTAGAGCTGAGAAGCTAATGGATGATAAGCAACTCAACTGAGATAAACCTTGGATGGAATTGAAGTGTGTGTGTGCATGTGTGTAAGGGAGGGAACAGTTCTACTCTAGCATTGCAGGGTTTGAGGTACTAGACATGCAAGCTGAAGTAGCAAATAGATATGTGGATATATGTAGCTTAGACTCAGTAAAAGAGGAAATAGCTAGTGATGTGAATCTGTGAGTCTTCAGTTTACACAGGTTGTTTTAAGACTTAGAACTGGATGAGATCATCTAAAGAAAAGATTGTCAGCAGAACAGAGGAACAGGTCTTTCTAAATTAACAGCTATGTATAAGATACAGTCATTGGGTAGAAATATTGAGAAAGAGAGTACAATGAGGAGCAAAGAAAACAAGATGAGTGTAACCATGAAAGTATAAAGAAATGTTTCAAGTTAAAATTAAATATTAAAGCATGCCAAATAATCATTGATGACCTCAACAATGTCTATTTCAGCCATGAAAATTCATAAAGGAAAATCAGTGAATGTAATTAGCTCTTTTGAAAAAGAGAAGATAAATGGGGAAAAGTACCAATGGAAGTTCTCTGATTTTTATTTCTAAATGTAATTATATACATGTATGAGAAGAAAGCACCCTTGCATGCTGATAGAAATGGACAAGCAGGAAGATAAAAATGATGATGCTAGTAAAAGGAGATAATTGCAGAAAAAAAGCCCTCAAGAAGATGACAAGTGATGGAATTCAATAACCCAGAAAACTTCTGAACAATATATTTTGGCTGTATATCACCTTCAGAAGAAAAGAAAAAAAGAAATTTATAAAGAAATAGTGAATTCTCAATTATAGGTTTTGTGACTATATTTAGCAATATGACTTGGCAGATTTTAGATTAGTTTCTGTGTATTTAAGGCAGCTAATAATGAAATATATCAATATGTTTATTTTAAACATAGAGAAAAGAGAAATTGGAATAAAGCTTGAGATGCTGAATTGGAATGAATTTATGTCTAATAAGATAGATATAGATATAGATAATATAGATATATATGCATACAGTTGCTAGTTATGTATGTTGAGAAGGACAAGAAGTGATGAAATTCCATAGCAATAATTCCATCTAGCATGTAGAATTTATAAATATACAAACACACATACATTTCTAAATTACTTTCTTTACTAAGGAACTTGGGGATTACTGGAGAAATGTCTTATTCTGATGCTGAAACAGAGGAAGTATTAAATGTAATTAGAACATTTTATGTTAGAAATTAAAAATAACAAACGAACCCACTTGTAGGGTCTTCCACTAGCTCAATATTAGATAATTTGAAAATCAAAATATAATGTTGTTAGTAGATTGAATAAAAATTTAAAAATCCGTAAATTTACTCATAAATATTATATAAATAAATAAATTGTTGTGAGGTAAATATGAGCTCTTCTGTACAGCAGAATCATCCAAAACTTGAAGAATATTTATTACCAGCCTCTGCAACTCCATCTCAAACGGATTTAGAAAACCACTATTTTGTATTCATCATAGTAATAGTTAATTCACACAGCAGTCATTAATGAAAAAAATAATTGGGAATGTTTGATCTGAAACAGCATTTTACATAGTCTCAAGTACCTCCCACAGTTCCTTATAGATTGAAAAGTAAAAATGAAACAAAGAAAAAACAAAACAATATTGCTACAATAATGCCACAATGAATAGGATGGCAGATGCCATATTAACCAGTAATCAAGGTTCATGTCATCAGTCATGGTACAATCCAAAAATCTTCCCAGCATGATGCATTAAGAATAAAACATCATCTCTTGGTATTTCTACTAAGAATTCCTGGTATTTTTATATTCATGAGGAAACATCAGAGAAACCAAAAAATTGAATGACTTTAAGAAAAAAAGAAAGAAAAAGAAAAATCTTGTCTATACTTTTCAAATGTCAGATTCGTGATGGCCAGATAAAGTATATTCAAGATTAAAGGAGACAAAATGCCATAGCAACTAAGTGCAATGTGCTATACTGAATTTGATCTTCACTAAAATTTCGATATTTTGGGTTGGTGCATTATAGCATTCTCTCAATGTTAACTAATTTTTTAATTGTGTTTAAGCAATTGTGTTCAAACTTGAAGTAAGTAAATATACATTAAACTATAAAGTAGGAATGGAATATCACACTTGTAACTTACTCTCAAATGGAAGAGAGAGAGAACCCAAATGTTAGACATAATCAACTAGTCACAATATACTAACCTTATATAGATCAAGATATTAAATATCCAACTATGAAACAAACAGAAAACTTTTTAGGACAATTGGGGACATGTCGACACTGACTGGATATTTAATTACCATTAAGGTAATGTTATAATTTTCTTAAGAATTGAGTATTATATAACATAAATAATTCTTATTCTTTAGAGATATTCTAAAGCATTTACAGGAAGCATGTATGAAATTAGACCTTTACTTCCAATGTTCCAGAGAAAGGAGCTTATTGGTTAGGGTATCAATGAAATAAGATTGACCATTAAATAATAATTGCTTAAAGTGAAGGTTGTTATATGAGAGGTTATTTTGCTTTTCTCACTACTTCTTTATACATTTAAATTTTCCATAATAAAAGTTTTACACATTTTAAGAAATTTATTGTGAATTCATAAAGTTTACCATGGAATACTATTTATAGAACATCAAATGGTATATCAAATGCATATTTTTGGAGAATCCATCTTTTAGTTTAATTTAATTTTATTGTGGTAAAAGCAACTTAATGTGAGCCCTACTGTCTTAACAAATTTTTAAGAGTACAATAAAGTATTGTTAGCTATAGGCACAATGTTGTATAGCAGATCTCTAGGACAGATTCATCTTGCATAATTGAGATTTATGCGTACTGATTAACAGCACTCCATTTCTCTCTTCCCCCTGCTCTTGGTAACCACTGTTCTATTCTCTGCATCTATGAGTTTGACTAGTTTAGATAACTCACACAAGTGAGATCATGAGGTATTTGTCATTTTGTGACTCGTTTATTTCAGTTAGCACAATGTCATCCAGGTTCACCCATGTTGGTACATATTGCAGAATTTCCTTCTCTTTAAAAGGTGAGTAAAATTTCATCATATGTATATGTCATATTTTCTTTATCCATTCATTCATCAATGGACATTTAGGTTGTTTCCATATCTTGGCTATTGTGAATAATGCTGCAATGAACATGGGCAATACTCTTCAAGTTCCTGTTTTCAATTCTTTTTCATAAGTATCAAAAAAGTGGAATTGCTCAATCATATGGTAGTTCCATTTTTCAATTTTTTGAGGATACTCTAAACTGTTTTCTGTAGCAGCTGTGCCATTTTGTTTTCTCATCAACAGTGCAAAAGAAGTTCCAATTTCCCCACATCCTCCCCAAAACTTATCTCTTCTTTTTTTTTTTTTTTTTTTTCTTGAGACAGTTTCGCTCTTATTGCCCAGGGTGGAGTGCAATGGCGCGATCTAAGCTCACTGCAAACTTCGCCTCCCAGGTTCAAGCAATTCTCCTACCTCAGCCACCCCAGTAGCTAGGATTACAAGCATGCACCACCACGCCTGGCTAATTTTGTGTTTTTAGTAGAGACAGGGTCTCTCCATGTTGGTCAGGCTGGTCAGGCTGGTCTTGAACTCCGGACCTCAGGTGATCCGCCCACCTCAGCCTCCCAAAGTTCTGGGATTACAGGCATGAGCCACTGTGCCTAGACTTTTTTTTTTTTTTTTTTACAACCATTCTCACCGGTGTGAGGTAATTTTTGTAGGTGTGTGTGTGGTTTTTACCAGTGTTTTCCTGATGATTACTGATGTTGAACATATTTTTATATACCTGTCAGTTATTTGGATGTCTTCTTTGGAGAGACATCTATAAGTCTTTAGACCACTTTTTAGGCTATTGAATTGTAGGATTACCATACATATTTTGAAAATTAATCCTTTATAGTTACCTGGCTTGCAAATATGTTTCCCCATTCCATAAATTGCCTTTTCATTCTAATGATTATTTCCTTTGCTTTGTGGAACTTTTCGGAATTTTTGAAGTTTGATACAATCTCACTTATCTAGTTTTGCTTTTGTTATCTGTACTTTTGGTGTCCTATCCAAAGAAATCATTGCCGAGATCAATATCAAGGAGCTTGTCCCTACATTTTATTCTAGGATTTTTACAATTTCAGGTCTTACATTTAGATCTTTAATCCATTTTAGGTTAATTTTTAATATGATAATAAAGGTCCAATTTTATTCTTTTACATGTGGATATCCAGTTTATTCAGCTTCATTTATTGAAAAGACTATCGTTTCTCCATTGTGCATTCTTGGTACCCTTGTTAAAGATCAGCTGACTGTATATGCATTTGTTTCTGACTCTCTATTTTGTTCCATAGGTCTATATGTCTGTATTTACACCAGTACCATATTTTAAATTACTATAGATTTTTAATATATTTTTGAAATCAGGAGATGTGATGCCTCCAGGTTTGTTCTTCATTGACAAGACTTCTTTAAAAACCCGTTGACACCAATAAATTTATTCAGTAACATTGCAAGAAACAAATCAATACACAAAATAAGTAGCATTTCTGTACACTAATTAACTACTTCAAAAGTAATTTAGGAAAATAACCCCATTTACAATAGCACCAAAAGGAATAAAATACTTAGGAAAAAAATTAAACTGCCAAGATGAAAAACTTATATACTGAAAATCACTAAAGAATGATTAAGGAAATTAAAGAAGACACAAACAAATAAAAAGCCTGTGTTCACAGACTGGAAGATTTAATATTGTTAAAATATCCATGCTACCCAAAGCAATTCAATTCAATCCCAATAAAAATCCCAAAGGCCATTTTTTTAGAGAAATGGAGAATCCCATTTTTTTTAGAGAAATGGAGAATGCATTTAATGTGGTAATTTATATTTTGAAAAAATATGACAGCCTAGGTAGTCTGCTTTAGATAACCTTTCTTTACTCTACATACATTAAATTCCTTCTTCCTTTCCTAGGCTTTTAAAATTTCACAAGGTGAAGAATATGATTTTCCCCATTTTCTGATGGTAGAATAACCTGTGTGTCTGTTTAGCTTCTTAGTTCCTATTAGCTTTTAGCTCTGTGTTGGTGACTTGGTTGAATACTGATGGAACAGCAGGAGGAGGGAGGGAGTGTAACAGTTGCTAAGATTACGGAACTCAATGGGTAAAACTTGATTTTAAAAAAAATCTCTGAATTATTACTCAGTGTATAGCCTTTTGACCCTATAAATGAGAGCCTATGGTCTATAATGATTTATAAGGAACAAAGTACACCAACATTATGATAGAACTGAGAGTGATTTATTATTCCTCTGAAACCACAAGATGGGATTCTCTCAAAATCAATTTCTGCAATTTCTTTAACTGAACATAGAGATTTTTTTCTCACGTTTTGAATTTCAGATTAAATTTTAAATGACAGAATTTCATTAGTATCCTTAATCAAGATATTCTTAGTGATAGCTTTCAAGTTTGCATAGTGACTATTCAGTCATGTAATACAAGATATTATGAATACTTTCATGTTTTAAACAGTTTTCACATTTCCCCTCTCTTTCTCCACACACATATTATACATTCTGTTAAAATCATATCTTTAAATGTTATCATTTTGTACAATCAAAATATGATTGTGAATCAATATTGAGGTATAAAAAGACATAAAGCTGCCAATGTAATGGATTTATCTGAAAGTGTAGCAATATAGTACCTATTTAATTCAATGGAACACACTAGCACCTACAGAAATGTTATCGACTCATTGGTATCAAAATACTGAGATGTGCAGAGGACTGCTAATGAATTTGGTGACATATCATTGATATTCAAATAAAGATACCAGTGACTGGTTTTCTGTTTCACAAACTAGATAACTTGATATATTCTTAGATAGAGCAATTATTTTGTGTCATGTTAAAGTCTATTGTTGATTAATTCATCTCCCCGTCACCCATCCAATTCTCACACTGTTGATCCAGTATTCACTGGGGACACATGATCCTGAGGGGCAAAAATAAATTTATATTTTAATTGTTCAAACAAAAATTTTCTTACCTCTGAGAATAGAAAAATATGTAAACAAATTTGAATGAATGAAAATATGATTTTTCTCAACTACTTGAAGCAAGGAAATTAATGGAAAATATCTATATCTGAGATCAGCAAAATTATGATATTAATAAAAAGCCTCACATCTTAAAGTACGGCGGGGAGTGAAAGAGTAAGTAATGATGTATGTCATGGCATCACAACCATATTACAGAGCTATAGATAAATCTTACTGTCATTCAAATAGCATTTAAGAATTTATTTATTAATTATGGCAAAAGTGTTTTATTCTAGTATTCAAAATATAGTAGAACTTCATCATAAACTTTGTGTTTAGCACAAAATATAGTGGAACAAAGAGAAATTCTAAAATCAGAAAATTATGAAAGCATGCATACTGATATCAACATAATGATGTAATATTGTTATCCTTTTTATGAATATTATTATTGTCTATCACCAACCGCTATAAAATAGCTGCATTCTATTTTCTAAATATGTCCACCAGCACTTCAAAAATAAGCTAGAACTTTTTTCTCACTTGATGAGAATAAATGTTGTTAATTAATTTTATAAAAGTAAATATACTAAGTATATTATTATAAGTAGGACAATTATGTAGGAAATTATATTCGGAAAAATTAAAATAACATTATTATTTATTTGGTAGTTCTTTTATCAAAGAGAAGTTAGGAATTTCATTTATTTGGGAACCTGAATACTTATAGGACTGCTTTATCTGAGTTACAATTTTATTTTAAATTTCTATTTAGTGGGTTCAGATTAATGATGGTATAATAAAATGACAATGTATAACCACATATATTCATATCTGATTTTTAAATAACATGGCCGAATTGAAATAATATAACTAGCCTCACAGCAATCAAATATCGTTAGATTAAGTATTCTCTACAATTATACTATCTCAAAGGGTACTGAGAAAACCGTATACCAAGGCATTTCCTGTGACAATTAAATTCAAGAAGCTAAGAAAAAGGGTTTACTCTGAAGAAACAAAATATTGCATTCCAAGTCTCTCCATCCAAAAGGTAAGAGCTTTTTGAAAGCAATGCTACCCAACAGCTTGTGCTTTCTCTGCTGACTGTCATGCAGACTTGCTGCTGTTAGCTATTTAAGCAGCCTTTTGGGACATTTTTCTTAAATTTGCTACGTGAAACCCCTGCCATCCTAAAATAAGATTATACAAGTGCCTCTTTGAACTGTGGTTGACCACCAGCCGATAAAACTTTCTACTTCAGGGGCACCAGCACAGATTTCCACAAATTTCAAAGGATATAAAGAAAAAAAAACTTCTGAAGCAAACAAGTCTAGCTACTTAAAAAGCTTCTGTATTCCTTTCAGAATATGGATGTTTATGTTTTTCGTATTAGCAGAATATGTAGTCAGCCTTTAAATAAGTTCACCTTGAGTGATCAAGGATTCTTTATGTGGAATACAGTGGTTACATTGATATATGCTTTCTTATTTGCTGTATGCAAATAACCTACCTATTTCCTCATATTTTGGTATTTGTTGCTGCTTCTTGTTTTTGACTTTGGAAGAATTACAATTTGGAGACTTAATTCTCTTAGGCAACATTTCTGCAATTATTACAGTTTTGTAGCAGATGTAGGAATTCATCTTGTGTTTAGTCGCTGAGGCCAAATTTTAAGTAGTTGTGAGAAATATAGTGAATAATAAGCCTTTATTGTATCTATGACTGAATGTAACTCTTAAAAATAATATATCACTGTTAAGTATGAATAAAAGGCAAGATATATAAAAACACAAAATATACCAATATGTCATCCACACAGAAAGTTCAGCTATTATAGATCTCTACTTAATCTTATTGATTTAAATTTCCTGTAAAAATATATTTTCTTTCTTAGTCTACCATTTCTTTTCCTTTCTCTTCCTTCACTTTCTTTTCTCTTCCTTCACTTTCTTTTTTATTCTATCCTCTTTCACTTCCTTTATTTCTGTTTTCTTTTTCTGCACAAACATAGTACCCAAAGAGCCCAGGGCTCATTTGAGTAACATGCAGGTGATACTTTCTTTAATTTTTCCTGCATAAAGTCCTAGGACAGGTTTGGCACCATCAAAGCAGTTGACTATGTGCTTGTTCCAAATTTAAGGATGTTTGACTTTTTTCATAGTCACTCTTTTTAGACCTCCACATGGTTAGTGTATGTTTCTGTTGATTCTATTTACATACGCATGCATACAGGATCAATATTAAAAATTAAAACTATGCAGTGGGGAAGAGACTATTTACCAATCGGTGTACAGATAAGTAATCCTAAAGTAATAATAATATTCTTCTTTATGGAAAATTTTGACCATTTGCTCCTACCTTCTTCTAATCTCAGTGAATTTATTTTTTCTCTAATTTATATGTGTATATATATAAATATATATACACATATATATATAGGAAAACAAGCTTCTAAATCACACAGGCCTTTTTGCAGTAGACATCTTATTTTCCACTTTTAAGACCAAGATTTTTGTTGCAATAGGCCTCTTAAAATTAAATATAATTTCATCACTTTTATCCTTCATCACAAGGAGTAAGTCTAGAGAAAATTTAACTCAAGTGTATAAGTTATTTATAGTTTTGGTAAAAAAAAAATCTGGAAATGGTTTGAACTGCTAATAAAAAAGAAACATTAAGGACATTTAGGATTGAATATTGATTGAAGAATTTTATTTTTATTTTTTGTATATTTATTTTTGATAAAACCAATGTTATTTTCAAAAGCAATTTGAATGTCTATTCTCTTCTACAGGGGGGTCCAAATCCTATGGAAATGAAAAAATCAGATACCGTGCTTTAACTGAAAGAGAAAGCATTTTAAGAAAGGAGGCAAGTAAGAAGACAAATTTTTCAGTACAACACATACAGACTATAAAAACCAGATAGATGTGATGCATACGTTTTAGTATTATTATTAAATAATATAGATTTATTAATAATGTGTTACATAAGGAAAATATTGCTTTATAATAAAAGTTGATTATATACCTAATAACTTAATCAGACAAGTTTCACTTTATAAGTAGAATGATTTAAAATATAGAGGTAAAATAGAAGCTAATGAATAAAATTAATAGTTTGAATAGCTCAATAAACCAATTTCCTTTAGAATTAGTAGATATAAATATACATTGTCACAGAGAAAATCTCAAAAATTCAAAAAATTGACTTTGTGTGGGCCGTATTTTGTCCAAGAGTTAAGAATAGAAAATATTTTAAAATTATATCTGAAAAAAAACACTTTAGAAAATTAAGTTAAAAAAAGAGAGAATAATAACAATATTTCAAATAACTTGTAGGCAAAAGAAGAAAAGAGACATGCTATTATAAGTAACTTAGAACAAAATAATAAAAAGCTAGAATATGGAGCTGAAGAGGTTGTGGTAGATTAAAGAGAGTCACAAATTCTTGACATTCTCCCTACAAGAAGTAGAATTTATGAATCTGATTGCTTTGGTCATAATACAGAGATGAAGCTATACCTATTTGGCATTTTTACTTTCTATCACTTGGAACACTCCCTGTTGAGGAAGCCAAGCTCCTTGCTAGGTGACTCATGACCTAAGACTGTCGCATTAGGCCGTTCTTGCATTGCTTAAATAAAGAAATATTTAAGACTGGGTGATATATAAAGAAAAGCACTGTGATTGGCTCATGGTTCTACAGGCTTTACAGGAGGCATGGTGCTGGCATCTGGTTAACTTCTAGGGAGGCCTCAGGAAGCTTACAATCAAGGTAGAAGGCAAAGGGGAAAGCAGGTATGTCACATGACCAGAGAAGGAGGGAGCAAGAGAGAGAGTGGGGAAGGAGGTGCCACATACTTTTAAATGACCCTATCTAATGGGAACTCACTCACTACTGCAAAGACCAAGCCTTGAGGGATCCATCCCCATTACCCAAACACCTGTCATTAGTTGTTAGCTGCAGCATTGGGGATAAAAATTTCACATAAGATTTTAGCAGGAACAGAGATCCAAACTATATTTACTCTCATGATGTGGGAACAAGAACATGGAAAAGCCTTAGAGAATAAAATGCCACAGGAAGGGAGAGACACTAAGGAAGTTGTCATATGAGTGCAAAAGCTAACTTGGAAGTTGACACTTCAGATCCAACTGAGCTCTTATCAAATTTCTGAGCAACAAAATGACTAAATAAATTATTGTTTTAGGGACTTAAGTCCCTAAATTATTTTAGTCATTTTTGTTGGTCAGAAGTTTAAGTCTTGGAGAAGCTCAAAGCACAAACATTTGATTTAAATAAATGTTTTAGAAATATAAAATATTGAAAATAAAAAATATTGAAAACAATTGAATTTATTATCCACTTCTGGAAAAGAGAAATAATAACATGCTAAAAGAAAACCTTAAATTAAAATGAAATAAAAAGTGTATAAAACAAAGAAACAAATATTATTTGAATATTAAATTTAATGGAAAAAATTAAAAAGAATTCCTTTAAAAGTTTAATAAAATTAACTAGCGTGGCAAATCTGAGCAAATAATGGAAAGATACAATAGCATCAGAAACAGTTCTCTCTCTATATAAAAACTATTCTAAAACAATTTTATTTGTCAATTCCTTGCAATAATTTTAAAAATCATATCTAATAAATGGATTTTATATAACTTTTAATTAGAATTAAACTCAAGAAGAAATAAAATTCTAAATAGTATCCACAGAAGAAATGTAAAAGAATTCCTCATGACATAACTTCTATAAAGATAGAATTGAAAGAAATTAAGAAGCAGATATACATTATATCTTTTGAGTTTGCATGTCAGTCTCTGCTAATCATCTTTCATCAAGCCCTGTAGACTACTTTCCATCGTGAGTACTCCAAATACGCAATCTTTCTTCTCTCTTATTCCATTATATCAAAACTGCTATATAAAAGGCATTACTCATGAATTATTTGCCAAGGCTGATGACCATGTTATTTCCTATGTTGTCTTCTAGGATTCATATAGTTTGAGGTCTAAAATTTAAATCTTTAATCCGTCTTGAGTTAAGTTTTGTATATGGTGAAAGGTAGGGGTCCAGTTTCATTCTTCTGCATATGGCTGGCCAGTTATCCCTGTACCATTTATTGAATAGGGAGTCTTTTCCCCATTGCTTATTTTTATTAAATTTATCAAAGATCATGTGGTTGTAGGTATGCGGCTCTATTTCTGGATCCTCTATTCTGTTCCATTGGTCTATGTGTCAGTTTTTGTTTAAGAACCATGTTGTTTTGGTGATTGTAGCCACATACTATAGTTTGAAGTTGGGTAATGTGATGCCTCTGGCTTTGTTCTTATTGCTTAGGATTGCTTTGGCTATTTATGCTTTCTGTTGGTTCCACATGAATTTCAGAATAGTTTTTTCTAATTCTGTGAAAAATGATGTTGGTAGTTTGATAATGATAGTGTTGAATCTGTAAATTGGTTTGGGCAGTATGATCATTTTAACAATATTGATTCTTTCAATACAGGAGCATGTAATGTTTTTTTCATTTGCTTGTGCTGTCTGATTTCTTTCAGCTGTATTTTGTAGCTCACCTTGCAGAGATCTTTCACTTACTTGGTTAAGTGTATTCCTAGATTTTTTTTCTGCTATTGTAAATGGGAGTGCACTTCGTCTGTTAGCTTTAACATTATTGGTGTACAGAACTTCTACTCATTTTTCTGTGCTTCAATTTTGTATCTTGAAACTTTACTGAAGTCATTTATCAGTTCTAGGAGCCTTTTGTCAGCCTTTAGTGCTTCTAGGCAGAGAATCATATCATCAGCAAAGAGAGATAATTTGACTTCTTTTTGTATTTGGATGCCTTTTATTTCCTTATGTTGCCAGATTTCTCTGGCTAAGACTTTCAGTATTATGTCAAATAGGAGTGGTGAGAGTGGGCATTCTTGTTTTGTTCCTACAGAATGGGAGAGAATATCCACAAACTATGTGTCTGACAAAAGTCTAACATAAAGAATCTATGAGAAACTTAATTCAATAAACAAAAAACAAGTAATCCCATTAAAAAGTGGGCAAAGGACATCAACAGACACTTCTCAAAAAAAGGCAAATAAGTGTGCAATAATATATAAAAAATACTTTAACATAATTAATCATCAGAGAAATGCAAATGAAAACCACAATGAAATACCATCTTACACCAGTCAGAATGGCTATCATTGCAAAGTCAAAAAATAACAGATGCTGACGAGGTTATGGAGAAATGGGAACGCTTATATATTGTTAGTGGGAATGTGAAGTTAATTCAGCACTGTGGAAACTATGAAGACTGATCAAAGAACTTAGAACTACCATTTCGCCCAGTAATCACATTACTGGGTACATATCCAAAGGAAAAATAAATAATTCTACCAAAAAGCCATACTCACTTGTATGTTCATTGCTACACTATTCACAAGAGCAAAGACATGGAATCAACCTAGGTGCCTATCAATGGTGAATTAAATAAAGGAAATGTGGTACATACACACCATGGAATACTATGCAGCCATAAAAAGGATGAAATCGGCGGGGTGTAGTGGCTCATGCCTGTAATCCCAGCACTTTGGGAGGCCAAGGTGGGCGGATCACAAGGTCAGGAGATGGAAACCATCCTGGCTAACACAGTGAAACCCTGTCTCTACTAAAAATACAAAAACATTAGCTGGGTGTGGTGGGGGGCGCCTGTAGTCCCAGCTACTCAGGAGGCTGAGGCAGGAGAATGGCGCGAACCCAGAAGGTGGAGCTTGTAGTGAGGCGAGATAGTGCCACCGCACTCCAGCCTGGGCGACAGAGTGAGACTCTGTCTCAAAAAAAAAAAAAAAAAATGAAATCACGTCCTTTGCAGCAATATGGATACAACTGGGGACCAATATTCTTTTCTTTTCTTATTTTTATTTCTTCTGGAGAGAGAGTCTCGCTATGTTGCCAGGCTGGAGTGGCACGATCTCGGCTCACTGCAACCTCTGCCTCCTGGGTTCAGGCGATTCTCCTGCCTCAGCCTTCCGAGTAGCTGGGACTACAGGCGCCCGCCACCACGCCACTGGGGGCCAATATTCTAGGTGAATTAGTGCAGGAACAGAAAACTACCGCATGTTCTCACTTATAAGTTGGAACTAAACACTGAGTACACATGAACCTGTAGATGGGAGCAATAGACACTGGAGAATACTAGAGGGGAGAGTGTGGGACGAGGGCTGAAAAATGACCTACTGGACACTATGTTTACAACCCGGGTGATGGGATCATTTGTACCCCAAACCTCAGCATCAGGCAATATACTCATGTAACAAACCTGCATGTATACCCCTGAATCAAAAATAAAAGTTGAAATTATAAGAAGTAAAGAAACAAAAGGCATTACTAAGGTAAGAAACACAAATGGTAGATGAAAAAGTAATGTTTTAACGTAAAACTGCCAGCAATGCCATCATGTAGCAACTGCAACAAAAAGCAGTTTTGGTTTCAAAAAGGATTCATCAAAAAGTTCTTCTTTATGGGCAACAGAGATTATACTACATTATTTTTTGATAAATCTACAGCATCTGTCTTAAAAGAAGTACATTTTGGCTATTGTCTCATGGGAATTGTCTTATAAAGCAATGTTAGGCAGTTTTGTATGTGGTCCTGCATAGTGACTAAAGCCATATGCATAGATCCAGGAGGATACTAGACTAGAAGCAAGTAACTTGAAAACCCAGATTCAATATAAATATCTGAATTTTAGAATTAGAACCTCGACTAAGAAGTCTGATTACAGTTTTGACATAGAACCCTGTCCCCCACGAACACATACAAATACTTGGCAAAAGAAGTGGACACAATAAAAGTGTAAATAGTAAAATTCATTTGGAAACTTCAGGGTTATATATACTTAAATAATAGTTTTTATTACAGTATGTCTTAGCAATTTCTTATGCTAATACAATTTGTGCATTACTTTTAAAAAGGATGTAGGTTACAATGTTTTCCAACTACGTTCACTCATTTTCCCCAATGCTAGACTTTGGAAAGGCTAATATAATGGAGAAGATAACAGATGCAAAAATGACAATTTTTGAAATAAAATTTTAGCTCTGCAGCTGATTAATGATTTTTTCAGTGGCAAAATGGGTATAAGTAAAAACTACCTGATGGGACTGTGATTAGGATTAAAAAGAATGATCTTAAACTTTTTATCAGAGTTTAACCCTGAGTAAGCATATAGATAAATGACATTTATAATTATTATTAAATATTATCCACAATTTAAAAATAGATATTCTTCATAAAATGTTTCTCTCTCAGATATACACAAAATATAGCTAAAATTATATAAGTATGTTCGAGTACAATTTTCAAAGGGCTTTAGCATGTATTAATTATTTCTTTCTGGAAACAACTTTCTGAATTATGATTATTATTATAGCTTACATATAATACAAGAACACTGAAATTTAAATAAGTTGTAAGTTACCTAAGATCAAGAATCTATTAAGTAGTTGTATTCGTCTGTTCTTACACTGCTACAAAGAACTACCTGAGACTGGGTAATTTATGAAGACTACCTGAGAGACTGGGTAATTTATGAAGAAACGAGGTTTAATTCATGGTTCCACAGGCTGTACAGGAAGCATGGCTGGGAGACCTCAGGAAACTTGTAATCATGGCAGAAGGCAAAAGGGAAGCAAGCATGTCTTACTATGGCAGAGCAGGAGAGAGAGTGAAGGGGGAGGTGCTACACAATTTTAAAGAACCAGATCTGGTGAGAACTCTCCCATTATCAGGAGAACAGCAAGGGGGAGACCTGCCCCTATGATTCAATCACCTCCCACCAGGTCCCTCCCTCAACATTGGGAATTATTATTCCACGTAAGATTTGGGTGGGGACACAGAGCCAAACCACATCAGTAGTGGAGTTGCTATTCACTTGTAGTCTAATAACATCAATGCTCAAGTTCCTTCCTCTGTAAGATATCTTAATACTCCAGAAGGCATATAAGCAAGCACATATATAAAGATATCCAAACAACTGAGTACATGTAATTTTATTTCAAGCAATCCCTGCCATTTTTATCCATATTTTAGATCCAATATTTATATAATTGTATACATCCTATATGACAGGATACTTTTGGCTTCTTGAATGAATGTGCTATTATTATGTATGACCTAGATTCAAAATTCAGGTTTATAACAAATATATATGATTAAATATTGGCATACTTAATCAGTAGTCTTAATTATGAATTTGACTAGCTCTAAACTCATAGTTTTAAGTGTTGTGAAAGGTATAAAATTATTCATCAAAGTGACTTTAAGGATCATTGAAAATTATCCAATCAAAATAAACAGTATGTGGAGGCTAATTTGCAAAGAGTGTATACTTATAAAATGTAAATTTTTAAATATAAATAGCCTTTACACATGCTTTAATAATATCATTTATAAAAAATACTGATGGTATTTTAGGCGAGTGAAAACTCTTATTGTTTTTCAAATGTTTCTGTTGGCTTGTTTTTAGTTTCATAGCTTTGCACACTCAGGAATATAAAAATAATAAATAAAGAAATAAGAAATAACACTGCCCTTGAGAAAATACAACTATGATTGTGTTTGTCAAATTTGAAGGTCATGAAATGACCTTATTAGTTCAGATGAACAAGAACCATGTAGCATAGCACTTCCCTTTGTAGTCTGTTTCCTATTCATCACATTCCTGTTATTACATGCCTTCTTTCTACAAGGTTTAATACATGTCAGAGTACTTCATGTCCTTCTAAAATGTGTAACTTCTATGAAATAAAATTATAACAATAGGGTTGTAGATGTGAAAATTTAGCCTCATTCTTCAACTGCATTGTAAAAGGAAAGATGATTTCCAGATAAAACTGCAAAGAAAATAAACTTAATTTTGCCCACATTTTTTTTCTGTGTCCATTTTTGGCCTCAACATACCCTCATAAGCTCTATGAATCTGATATTCTTACATTATTCTTTAGTGAAGTTCTTATCCTACAAAGCCTCCTCAACACCTGAAAAATCCAAGCATTGTCTTGTCCTTTTGTCCTCTCTACCCATCATAACAAAACACTGAAAAGTTGTGTAAGGTAGTAGAAAGTTCAAGAAATTGTAAACACAAGAGGAAGCAGTAGAGGTATAAAAATCTATGAACAAACTAAAATTTAGGAGATTGCATAATTATATAAGAAGGCATATAGTCAGTTTAGCTGGAGATTAAGAAAAATGGGACATTACAAAATCAGTCAGAAATCCTTCCCATTCATGTATTCAAATTCCTCAGTCACAAATTCTTCCCATTCATATACTCAAATTCCTTTTGTAAAGTGATTTTTGCCATTTATGCCATTAAAAAAAGAGGACTATTTTTCTGTCTCTTGAAATGGGCTTGCCTGTGTGACGCTTTGGCCAATTATGACGTTAGCAAACTTGATAAAAGCAAAGGCATGAAGCACACTCATTTGGACTTGCCTTCTCTTGCTTATGTTTGGAACCCTGCAACTGCCATGTAAAAAAGTCTGGCTGGCCTATTGGAAAACAAAAAAGCTATATTTTGTAGAACCAAGTCATCTCACCCAGCCCAACTCACCCACCAAACTGACAAGCCATTTATTACTAGACAAGCTATGGTCTATCCTAGACCATCTGGGTCCAGCCAGATTAGTCCAGACCTGAAGAACTGTCACACTGTCTCCAAGAAGAGTGAGAGAAAAATAAATGTTTCTGATGTAAGTCATCAAGATTTGGGGTAATTTTCAGACCGCAGTGATAAATGATACAAATATTTGGGTTACTTTTCATCTTTATTTTTCTTAAGCTTAAATTATGTTTAAATTATTTTCGATATTTCACGTAATTGTAGTTTTGAAAAATCTGCAATTACCTGGAAGATAATTTAGCCTCACACTTTAATTTTATAATTCAGAAAAACAAGTCTTAGAGAGGTTAAACTGATGGGTCCAAATCACACATTTAGGGAAAAAAACAAAACTAAAATTCATATATTCTAATTTTTAGTATGAAACTCTTTCTACTAGGCCATGCGGTAAACCAGCATTTGACATCTATAATCATTTTTCTTTGTTTCTAAGAATGAAATATGGAGCATGATAATTAACTCTCTAATTTTTAAATTTTACTTTTGTAACCCCAATATACCAGTTATGATTTTCAAGATTGTCAATATTAACACAGCAGAAGTATACTTTCCTATACAAATTTTATTATTAAACTTTCTCATCAGGAAATACCTCTGGTCTTTTACAAGTAAGTATTGCTTCATATTGATTTATGGTCTGTAATACTTTTACATTGGTATACAGATGCTTTTACATTGGTTCTTAAATTATGTATACTTTATTTGTATGCATATCAAATATATACATATGTTTACTTACAAATTTCTGACATATATTTCTATATGTACATGTATTTCTTATTTTTCAGTGTATATTTATTTTATAAATATATTATATATATATTATTTTCATATGTACATATACATACATTTCATATAAGTATGTATGATGAAAGAGAGCACATGGAAAGATTTAGAAAATGAATAAGTGAGAGACAGAGAGAATATGAAACAAACCCATTTGAAGTATTGACACATTGGTAATGACATGTTTGACATAATTAATATTTTAACTGTCATTCAAAACTGGGTTCATATATTAGGCAATTGATGTGATAGCTTCAGCAAAAACTCTTTTTAAGAGAGAAAATAGTCTTTTTAAAATATGCATATGTGTGACCTGTAATTTCGTCTAATATCCATTAAGTTCCAGGTTAATTTCCTAATCCTTAGTCTACATATATAAAAATTTTGATTCAGTTTAGAATGCATAGAGATCTCAGACTGAGGAACTCAACTGATAAATCTTGGAGAATTCACAAATGTTTACTTGTGTAAGCATGACCATGCTGGATCTTCTCCTTTTCTTTCTTTCCTTTTCTTTCTTTCTCTTTCTTTCTTTCTTTCTTTCTTTCTTTCTTTCTTTCTTTCTTTCTTTCTTTCTTTCTTTCTTTCTTTCTTCCTTTTTCTTTCTTTCTTTCTTGCTTGCTTGCTTGCTTGCTTGCTTGCTTTCTTTCTTGCTTTCTTTCTTGCTTTCTTTCTTTCTTCCTTCCTTCCTTCCTTTCTTTTTTCTTTCTTTCTTTTCCTTTCTTTTTCTTTCTCTCTCTCCTTCCTTCCTTCCCTTCCTTCCTTCCTTCTTTCTTTCTTTTTCTTTCTCTCTCTCTTTCCTTCCTTCCTTCCTTCCTTCTTTCCTTCCTTCCCTCCTTCCTTCTTTCTTTCTTTCCTTCTTTCTTTCTTTCCTTTCTGTTTTTTTTTCTTCAGTCTTGCTCTGTCGCCCAGACTGGAGTGCAGTGGCATGATCTCGGATCTCGGATCACTGCAAGCTCCGCCTCCTGGGTTCACGCCATTCTCCTGCCTCAGCCTCCTGATTAGCTGGGACTACAAGCGCCTGCCACCACGCCCAGCTAATTTTTTGTATTTTTAGTAGAGACAGGGTTTCACCATGTTAGCTGGGATGGTCTCGATCTCCTGACCTCGTAATCCACCCACCTCGGCCTCCCAAAGTGCTGGGATTACAGGCATAAGCCAGCATGCCCATCCCATGCTGGATTTTCTATCGTTAGTTCAGCTTCACCATATTCTAAGGCTGATTACGATGTTTCCAAGAATCCTCTGGTTCTTTGCCCAAAAGAGGACCTTCTACAAGAATAGCAGAAGCCATTGTTCTCTGTAGGTGTTTGCAGCTAGGCTGGTAGGTAGACAAAAGATTCATGGTAACTCCCTTGCAAGCTTGTGAGAACCACCTCACCACTGTTTCAACGTCAAATCCTCTGACCTGCAGTGCAACCTCTTTGACCTCTCTTCTCTTTCAACTTAATTCTTTGTTTTAATTCAGGTTATATAGAGTAGCTTCTGTTTTCCTGGACAATCCTTGCTCAGTATCAATTTTAGCATGTGAATAGGGATGGTCTTGTTATAGTGGGAAGCTAGTTAGGCATGAGCAGGGCAGGAGAGGGCTCTCCCCCTACACACACACCAGAAATGTCTGGCAACCATTAGATGATGGTCAGGTGGTTATTAACAATCTCTCTAAAATAATAATTGGTCACAGCCGACACTAGGAAAAGGCAGTCTCCCAATAGAAAGAAAACATCTGAAACTGGTTTTCAGCAGCTTCTGATAAGATCTTAGGAGTTTGGGCAAGTGGGTTCAAGCATGCGCATTAAGAGGCAAATGGTAGAGTTTAACTGTTATATGACCTCCTATGGACATTAAACTGGTAAGGAAAGGACACCTCAAGTGAGCATGCGTACAGCTCCAGTAACCACACCGTTCATGCTCTCCACCCAAGTGCTAGTAGGCCCTACACCTGTGGGAAGAATCAAGGGAGAAATAATGCAAGACCCCAGAAGTATGCCAACGTATAAAACCCCAAGTCAAAAGGTCAAACCATGCATTTCATCTCTCAAGTCACCCACTATGCCCTATTCCAAGTGTACTTTACTTTGTTCATTCCTATTCTATAGCGTTTCAATAAACTTTCACTTCCTTTCTAAAACTTGCTTTTGTCTCTCCTTCTGTCTTATGACCCTCAGTCAAATTCTTTCTTTTGAGGAGGCAAGAATTGAGGTTTCTGCAGACCCGTATGTATTCGCCACCCATAACATACTTTGGTGTCATGTCTCGGATACATTCTGCTGCTAACAATGTCAAAACAAACAAACAAACAAAACTAAAAAATGTACATTGGCATATGACAAAAAAAAAATCAGAGGCAAAAATTACAATCTATAATGTTCTGTAGTAATAAAACATTTAGTAAAAACTATTTCTACAGTAACTTTCACATCTGAAATGTATGTAATAAGTGTGCTGTGTTGAGTAAGAAAGTTTTGATGCAAAGATTTGAACACATGAGGTAGCTTCCATAATAAGGTACAACAAAAGGAAGGTGAGCAGAAAAAACATGGCCTAATTTAAGGGGAATATTAGGGGGAATATAAAAAGACCAGAAGTTTCAGTGTTTTAAACTATATCTGCAGCACACTAAATCAAAGGTGGATGACATAGCCTTGGGTTATGTGAAAGGAAAATACCTAATTGTTTCTAATAATGTCGACTATGGCTTCCTCGGTCATGGAATATGCTGCTTCTCCTATTGAGGTTTTCTATGTGACTTCTTTTGAGCAATGAGATATTAGCAAGTATAACATGGAGAAAACTTATATTTCTTGTACAGTTTGGTTGCCTTATTGTGCAACTGCCTTTGTCATAGAAAAAAATACACTAAGGATACACATGGTCTGTCTCTTGGTCCAAGAGACAGGGAGCCAAAGTAGGTCCTCCATAGTCCCATAACTTGAAGCAGAGGCATCCCAGCCAACTATAAACATGTAGGCAAGAAATACATGTTTATCATTGCATGGTATTGAGATTTCTGTGGCTAGGTATAAAACATTAGGTAGTAAAAGCTAACTAATGAAATAGGCCTGACCAGGGAGTATGTTGATTGGTAGAAATTCTTCCCAAGGAACAGAAGAAGGTCAAAATACACACATTTCTTCCTGAATTAATAGATTCTCATCAAAAGGAAACGTGAAAGATTGAATTGCTATTCTTTTTTTTTTTTTTTGAGACAGAGTCTCGCTCTGTTGCCCAGGCTAGAGTGCAGTGGCGCGATCTCGGCTCACTTCAAGCTCCGCCTCCTGGGTTCACACCATTCTCCTGCCTCAGCCTCCCAAGTAGCTGGGACTACAGGCACCCGCCACCATGCCTGGCTAATTTTTTTAATAGAGACGGGGTTTCACCGAGTTAGCCAGGATGGTCTCGATCTCCTGACCTCGTCATCTGCCCGCCTCGGCCTCCCAAAGTGCTGGGAATACAGGCGTGAGCCACTGCGCCCAGTCCTTGAATTGTTATTCTAAATATTACTCCATATGATATATCTACACATTTAAAATATTTCAGCTTACACATTTGCAAAGTTTCCCTCTCTAAGAGGAACATGTATTTCCACCCCATTGAATTGGGTTTGGCCAGTTTACATGATGCAGGCAGAGGTTTTTAAAATGCTTCCTGCTTTGGATTATCTCCTGCTCGCCTATAATCATCAGTAAGAAGCATGTTCTACAGCAACCACTGATCTCATATTCATGAAGACACACGAAGCAGACCTGGCCCAAACTGAAAGCCTTAGGAAGAGTCATTCCACCTGATCTACAGATCCACCAGCTAGAGAAACAAACTTTTTTTTTTTTTTTAGTAGTAAGTATAGATTATGGAGTAATTTGTTATTCAGCAAAAATGGACTAATAAAGGGTAAGTATGATATTAATAACAAAATGCTCTTGGTTATTTGTATGGCCTGCTGTCTTTGAATCCAGGTTAAATATTCTAACAGAGGCCATCCAATAAAACAAAACAAAGTAAAATAAACAACAATGAGATCCAGTCATATTGACCAGGCTGTCCTTGACTTTCAGAATAGCTGGGACTCCAAGCACATGCTACCATGCCTGGCTGCACTGTGGCTTTAATTTATGTTTCACTAATGACTTTTTGAGCAAAATGACATAATTACTGACATGGTTTGGCTGTATCCCCTCCCAAATCTCATCTTGAATTATAGGTCCCATAATTCCCACATGTTGTTGGAGGGACACAGTGGGAGATAATTGAGTCATAGGGGCGGTTTTCCCCATACTGTTCTCATGGTAGTGAATAAGTCTCACGAGATCTGATGGTTTTATAAGGGGATACCCCTTCCGCTTGGTTCTCTTATTCTCTCTTAGCTGTAGCCACCTAAGACGTGCCTTTTGCCTTCGGCCATGAGTGTGAGGTCCCCCCAGCCACGTGGAACTTTGAGTCTATTAAACCTCTTTTTCTTTATAAAATACCCAGTCTCAGGTATCTCTTTATCAAGAGCGTGAAAACAGACTAATACAATGAGTAATGATTAATGTTAGATGTTGAACACCTTTACATTTGCCTATTAGCCATATATATTCCCCAAAATCAGATATTTTGCCCATTTTTAAATTGAGTTGCTTTTCATCTTCTTTTTTTGAGCTTTATTGAGATGTAATTGACAAACAATTATATATATTTATCATGTACAAAGTGTTGTTTTGATATACATGTGTATATCACCACAATGTACAATGATCACCACAAGCAAGCTGATTAATACTTCAACTTACAGAGTTACATTTTGTCATGATAGCACTTAATATCTATTCTTCGCAAATATCAAATATACAATATAATATTATTAGCTATAGTCATCATGCTGTACATAGATACATACAAATTGTTAATCTTATAACTGAAAGTTTATACCCTTGACCAACATCTCCTCATTCTCCCCTCACCCCCAGCACCTGGAAACTATCATTCTACTCTATTTCTATGAGTTGGACTTTTTTCAGTTCCATGTATAAGTAAGATCATGCAGCATTTGTCTTTCTATATCTGGCTTATTTTACTTAGCATAATGTCTTCCTGGTTTATCCATGTTGCAAATGCAGGATTCTCTCATTTTATAAACGCTATTGCAATTAAATATACATGTATGTGTGTGTGGGGTGTTATATGTATATATGTGTATATATGTACATGTGTCTCTCTGTGTATATATACATATATACACATACATATATACGTATATATACATATATACACATACATATATATGTATATACACACACACATTATATATATGTTATATTTTATGTATCTATTTATCCGTTGATGGACATTTGAGTTATTTTTATATTTTAGCTGCATTGAACACAGATGTGCAGATATCACTTCAAGGTACTGATTTCATTTTGGGGGGATATATACACAGAAGAAGAATTGCTAGATCATATCATAGTTCTGCTTTTAATTTTTAAGAGACCTACAAACTGTATTCCATAATGGCTGAACCAATTTATATTTCACTACTAGTGTACACACATTGCCTGTTCTACACATCTTTGCCAACACTTGTTAAAATTTCCTTTTTGATTATAGCCATTTTTGGGGTATGATGTGATAGCTCATTTCAGGTCTCATCTCTTCACATTCTTCTGCCTGCTTTTTATTCTGGCTGTGCTGGCAGCTGTTTAGATGGTATTCACCCAGATTAAGGGTGGGTCTGCCTCTCTCAGTCCACTGACTCGAATGTTAATCTCCTTTGACAACACTCTCACAGTCGCACCCAGGAACAATACTTTGCATCCTTCAATCCAGTCAAGTTGACACTCAGTATTAACCACCACAATAGGATTTTATCAAAATTAAAATGGTCTGTTTTTTGATATACACCATTATATAAATGAAACCTAAGCAACAGGCTCAGTGAAAATTTTTTTATTCAAAACAAAAAAATTATATGTTACAATAAGAAAATGACAAGACAGATAATGAAGAATCAGGCTGTTATTATGCAAGTGGCTGAGCTGCAATTAAAGGTGCACTCACAGCCTCACCAGGTGTCTACTGTTAAAGTGAGGGCATCAGTTGGTAAAGAATGGGACCCTGCAACTTGTAATGGGATGTGTGGGAGGACCCTAATGAAGCTAAGAACACTGAGCTTGTAAACTCCGATGAACCTTTTTTGCCAGAAGAAAGAGTTTCCCCATCCCTGGTAGTGGCAACATCCCCTTCCTGACCCATGCTGTCATCAGCCTTTCCACCTTTGTCTGAGGAAATAAACCCTGCATGGCTGAGGCAACAGTGATGGCCTCTCCTGAGCAAGTTGTGAGGCAAGACAATGTTGATTCTCTTCAGGACTTACCCCGAGCACCCCTGTTTACTTCTAGTCCTATAACCAGGCTAAACTCCCAGCAAGCCCCTACAGGTGAGGTTGAGAGTGTGACCCATGAGGAGGTGTGCTACTCTCAAAAATAACTGCTTGAGTTTTCTAGTTTATATAAGCAGAAATCTGGAGAGCAGGCATGGCAATGGATATTAAGAGTGTGGGATAATAGTGGAAGGAATATAGAGTTGAATCAGGCTGAATTTATGGATTTGGGCCCACTCAGCACAGATTTTGCATTTAATATTGCAGCTCAGGTAGTTAAAAAAAGGTTCTAATATTTTATTTGCTTGGTTAGATGAATTATGGCTTAAAAGACGGCCCACTGTGAGTGAGCTGAAAATGCCTGATCTTCCTTGGTTTAACGTAGAAGAAGGGATCCAGAGGCTTAGGGAGATGGGGATGCTGGAGTGGATTAGTCACTTTAGTCCTAATCATTCCAGCTTGGAGGGTCCAGAAGATATACCTTTGACCAATACTTTGCAAAATAGATTTGTGAGGGGAGCACCTGCATCCTTAAAAAGCTCTGTGACTGCTCTTCTCTGTTTGCCAGATCTTACAGTAGGAACCACAGTCACTCAACTACAAAATTTAAATGTAAAGGGAATAATTGGATCCCAAGGTGGCAGGGGCCAAGTGGTGACACTCAACCATCAAAGGCAAGGTGGACGTAGCTACCGTAATGGACAGCAGAGGCAAAGCAGCAATCAGAATAGCCTGACTTGTGTAGAGCTCTGGCATTGGCTGATTAATCACGTTGTTCCTAGAAGTGAAACTGATAGAAAGCCTACTGCATTCTTATTTAATTTATATAAGCAGAAAACTTTCAGGCCAAGTGGACTAAAGACTAATTTGAATTATAGAAACCGAAAATCAAGATCCTTTAATCAATTTCCAGACTTCAGCCAGTTTACAGACCCAGAGCCCCTTGAATGAATGGGGGGCCAGGTCCCCTTGAGGAAGGACCCTATTACACTATCAACAATTTATGCAGTAAATCTTTCTCCAATCTTTCCCCAAGAGGACCTACAGCCTTTTACCAGGGTAACTGTGCACTGGGGAAACGGAAATGTTCAGACATTTCTGGGACTACTGGACACTGGCTCTGAGCTGACGTTGATTCCAAGGGACCCAAAACATCATTATGGTCCTCCATTTGAAGTATGGGCTTATGGAGGTCAAGTAATTAATGTAGTTTTAGCTTGGGTTTGATTTGCGGTGGGTCCACTGGGTCCCCAGACAGCCTGTGGTCATTTCCCCAGTGCCAGAATGCATAATTGGCACAGACATATTAGCAGCTGGCAGCATCCCAGTATTGGCTCCCTGACCGGTAGGATGAGGGCTATTATGGTGGGAAATGCCAAATGGAAGCCATTAGTAAATCAAAAACAATATTGCATCCCTGGAGGGATTGCAGAGATCAGTATCACCATCAAGGACTTGAAAGAGGCGGGGGTGGTGATTTCCATTGCATTACCATTCAACTCTCCTATTTGGCCTGTGCAGAAGAGAGATGGATCTTGGAGAATGACAGTGGATTACTGTAAGTTTAAACAAGTGGTGACTCCAATTGCAGCTGCTGGACCAGATTTTGTTTCATTGCTTAAGCAACTTAACACATCTGGTACTTGGTATGCAGTGACTGATTTGGCAAATGCCTTTTTCTCCATTCCTGTCCGTAAGGTCCACCAGAAGCAATTTGCCTTCAGCTGGCAAGGCCAGCAGTATACCTTTACTGTCCTACCAGGGGTATATCAACTCTCCGTCTTTGTGTCATAACTCTTGTTTGGAAAGAACTTGATCCTTCACCTTAGAAGGACTATCTCGTCAGGCCCCACACCACTGGACCCCTAGAAATTTTACTGAGGTAGAAGTTTACTGAATTTTAGTCTAATTTATTTCCCATCCTCTGGCATGCAAATGTCTCACTAATAAGTCCAGTATGTTTTCTGCTTCTCACTCACTGGATCCAATCAGCATAATGTCATCAATGTAAAGTGAAGGGGGCCTGCCTCTCCACACCTGTGGGTATTTTTCGCAAGGTGGAGACAAGAGACTGAGAAAAGAAATAAGACACAGAGACAAAGTATAGAGGAAGAAAAGTGGGCCCAGGGGACCGGTGCTCGGCATACAGAGGACCCACACCGGCACTGGTCTCTGAGTTATCTCGTTATTTATTGACCACTATCTCTATTATCTCGGAGAGGGGGATGTGGCAGGACTATAGGGTAATGGTGGGGAGAGGGACAGCAGGAAAACATGTGAACAAAGGACTCTGTGTCATAAACAAGTTTAAGGAAAGGTGCTGCACCTGGATGTGCACATAGGCCAGATTTATGTTTGACTTTATACAAACATCTCAGTGCAGTAAAGAGCAGTATTGCTGCCAGCATGTCTCACCTCTAGCCATAAGGCTGTTTTTTCCTATCTCAGTAAATAGAATGTACGATTGGGTTTTACACCGAGACATTCCATTCCCAGGGATGAGCAGGAGACAGATGCTTTCCTCTTATCTCAACTGCAAAGAGGTCTTCCTCTTTCACTAATCCTCCTCATCACAGACCTTTTATGGGTGTTGGGCTGGGGGACGGTCAGGTCTTTCCCTTCTCACAAGGCCATATCTCAGGCTATCTCAGTGGGGAGAAACTTTGGATAATACCCAGGCTTTCTTGGGCAGAGGTCCCTGTGTCCTTCCGTAGTGCATTTTGTCCCTGGATACTCAAAACTGGAGAATGGCGATGACTTGTACCAAGCATACTGCTTGCAAACACATTTTTAACAAAGCATATCCTGCACAGCCCTAAATCCATTAAACCTTGAGTCAACACAGCACATGTTTCTGTGAGCACAGGGTTGGGGCTAGGGTTACAGATTAATAGCATCTCAAGGCAGAAGAATTTTTCTTAGTACAGATCAAAATGGAGTTTCTTATGTCTTCCTTTTTCTACATAGACACAGTAAAATCTGATCTCTCTTTCCTGCACATAATGGATCAGTGTGATATCTTGTGGAGGGGAAAATTGATCAAGTTCTCTTGTTTAAGCTTACAGTAAGCAGCCTTTGACTGCTCTCAGTAACCTCCACTGTGGTGGACCTACCATTCTGGGGTCTGGAGGGTCTGGAGGATGGTGGCCCTCTTCTCACAGCTCCACTAGGTAGTGACCCAGTGGGGACTCTGTGTGGGGGCTTTGACCCCACATTTCCCTTTTGCATTGCCCTAGCAGAGGTTCTCCATGAGGGTTCCAGCCTTGCAAAGCACTTCTGCCTATACATGCAGACATTTCCATACATCCTCTGAAATCTAGGCAGAGGTTCCCAAACCTCAGTTCTTGACATCTGTGCACCTGCAGGCCCAACACCATGTGGAAGCTGTCAAGGCTTGCAACTTGCACCCTCTGAAGCCATGGCCTGAGCTGTACCTTGGCCCCTTTTAGCCATGGCTGGAGTGGCTGGGACACAGAGCACCAAGTCCCTAGGCTGCACAAAACACAGAGGCCCTGGACCATCTTAGGCCTCTGGGCCTGTGATGAGAGATGCTGCCAGGAAGATCTCTGACATGCCCTGAAGACATTTTCCCCATTTGTCTTGGCAATTAGCATTTGGCTTCTCATTACTTATGCAAATTTCTACTGTGGGCTTGATTTTCTCCCCAGAAGAAATTGCATCATCAGTCTGCAAATTCTTCAAACTTTTATGCTCGGCTTCCTCTTGAACACTTTGTCCCTTAGAAACTTTTTCCACCAGATACCCTAAATCATCTCTCTCAAGTTCAAAGTTCAACAGATCTCCAGGGCAGGGGAAAAATGCCACCAGTCTCTTTGCATAGCAAGAGTGACAGTTACTCCATTCCCAACAAGTTCCTCAACTCCATCTGAGACCACCTCAGCCTGGACTTTATTGTTCATATCACCATCAGCATTTTGGTGAAAGCCATTCAACAAGTCTTTAGGAAGTTTCAAACTTTCCCACATTTTCTTATATTCTTCTGAGCCCTCCAAACTCTTCCAAACTCTACCTGTTAGCCAGTTCCAAAGTTTCTTCCATATTTTTGAATATCTTTACGGCAGCACCCCACTCTGCCAGTACCAATTTACTCTATTGATCCATTCTCATGCTGCTAATGAAGAAAAACCTGAGACTGGTTAATTCATAAAGGAAAGAGGTTTAATGGACTCCCAGTTTCACATGGCTGGGGAGGCCTTATGATCACAGTGAAAGATGAAGGAAGAGCAGAAGAATGTCTTACATGGTGGCTGGCAAAGACAGCGTGTGCAGGGGAACTCTCATTTATAAAATCATCAAATCACCTAAGATTGTTCAGTATCATGAGAATAGCATGGGAAAGACTCACCCCCATGATTCAATTACCTCCCGCTGGACCCCTACCATGACACATGGGAATTATGGGAGCTACAAGTCAAGATGAGATTTGGGTGGGGACACAGCCAAACCATATCAAATTATAACAATAATTTCAGCAAGTTTTTTTTTTTTATTCTACCAAGGACAACAACCAAATAATCATCGAGATAAAGTTTCTTCACATTTTAGTAGTTTTGAGAGAAAAAATAGGATTTTAAAGAAACAAAAGAAATGTGTGATTTTATATCTCAGGTTGGAGAGAAAAGTTCATACCCACTACAAGTGGAAATCCCTAAATATAAAAGTGATGTTTTGTTGAAATAAATCTGGTTTCCGTATTTAAAATGAATTTTATTAGAATAAATTAGGCTTATCAATGTAAAGGAACACAGCATTTACACATTAAAGTGTTTGTCAAGAAAAATTAGATTTTTTACATATACGTCAAAACGTAGATCCAGCCTAGAAGATAATAAAAAAATGTAATACAATTGATTGGGCTATTTTTGGCTTGTAGACCATGGAGAAAAATTCTGTTTCACAAGGATAAGAAGTTGTATTTTAGTGGCTCATGTTTGGACTCTTCAATTAAACTGATAAATCAGCTTGAAAGAGAAATAATAAGACATGTGGTTTTAAGTCAGGTCACTAAGAGCATCACAGAACTGTTTACTTTCTGTGATAAAAATAAAAATTCAGACACAAAGGCTTAACATTTAAAACTACTGAAGAATTTCTAAAATATAGATTTATCTTACCATGGTATGTTATACATTTATTTGTCATTGCACAATTGACTATTAGTCTGTGACCAGAATATGCACCCAGCAGATGTGCTGGAATTGTGCTTGCCTTTTAATTGAGCATGGCACTCAGGTTCCGTAGAAGGATATTACTTCTACATTTTTACATGAGCAGACATGTGTTGTTCTGAATATTAATAAGCCTTATTGCAGAGCTATGATTGTCCTTTATCAATGGCATGTTGACAAAGTTCAAATATACGCGCAGAAGTGCAGGGAGTGCTATGTTCAGACATGTGTCTCCAAAATGAGGCAGGTTTGCAATATAAGGTAAGGATCTGGCCCACAATGTAAAAAAACTGGTAAATGGTCAATAATTTAAATGCAAATATTTACTAGCTCAGTATAAATTTAAATAAAATTATTAGTAATTATTCATAGAAACTTTGATGGAGCACTGCCAAAATGTAGTATTTCTTAACATGTAAAAATAACTTATTTATTCACCTGCCTCCCGAGGTTGTTACAAGTGAGAAGAAACTAACTCCACTGAGGATTCCTCAATGCTATTTCCATTATATTTCAATATTTTAATCAGAGTATGAGTATTTCTTTCTTGCCATCATCTCCATGAAATTTGACTTCTGCTCTTTGCGCTTTAAAAATGCAACTATTAAGGAATATTTATTATACACATTCATCCATTGTTTAGCTCTCTGATATTGTACGCACTACTCCCTGTTGCTTTTAAGTTAATTATAATTAAATAAAACTTAAAAATCAGTTTCTCATTCTCACTAGCCACATCTCAAATGCTCACTAGGCACATGGACCTTGTAGCTATGATGCATACATAGAATGCTTTTATCACTGCAGCAAGTTCTATAGGGCTGCATTCCTCTAATGTTTTTCTGAGAGTATATATAAATTTCATGCTTAATTTAAAATAAATAAATAAATTTTTTAAAACTGTAAACAATACTACTCTCCTTATGATTGTACTTACGATAAGAATCATTATAGAAATGAACACGTTTCTTAGTAGCCTTTTTAATCTTTTATTGTTAAAAAGTATATTTAAGATTTTTGTATTTAACTATTGTCACCAATTAACTAATAGTTATTACCTTCTAATTATTCCGTACCTCCTGTTTGACTTTAGGATATTCTGATTAAGATGACAGGCATGATCTCTGCCTTTATGGAGTTGACATTTCAGCGGGATAAAATGAACATTAAACATACTGTTAATCATAACAAAGTAGGATCTAGTGAATATTGGGAATGGAGGTGGTTAACACATTCTGAGAGGGTTGGAGAAGTTTTCCTTGAGTGTCTGACTCTACTTGATGCTTTGATAATCGAAGAAGAAAACAATTTACACTGGTAAAGTTGTATTTATTGGGCACTGACAAAAGGCAGCAGTGGTAGGTCACTGAAAGGGTGATTAAGTGGAATGAATAACCTATGTGAGGGTCTTGAGACAGAGAGACTGAATATCAGCTAATGTTGCTGTGACCAGTGTGGCTTGTTTCTAGGAACAATTTTTAAAGGCTGAATAAAGAAATTTAGGGTATGATCATGCAAGCTCTTATTTCTGCAGTGAAGATGTTTGATTTTGTTTTAGAAATGATGGCAAACCATGGGATAGTTGGAATCATAAGAATTCATGGTCAAGTTTGCAAAACGATTTTGTCAGGAAATGATAAATATGACATGGAAACATTAGAAATATTCAATTAACCTACAGGGATGCTTTCTGTTCTTTTGTTTTTAGACCATCAGTGGAAGAAACAGTGGCATTGATTCATGGTCCTGGTGCTCTTTCATGGATTTGCCTGTGCCCTCTTTCCCTATTCTTCCTTCCTCAATTTTTCCTCCAAGTCCTGTTACTAGTCTTTTTATATCATGATTTCAAAGACATTTTGGTGGTCACTCCCAGATAGAAGACCTTATGCATAACCATAGGCACATCTCTTAGTCTCAGGTAGGAACGTAATATCAATGGCTTCTATCAACACAGATGTTCTTGTTCCTTTACTTCAGGGTGATCTAGGAGAGAATCAATCACTCTTCTTCTCAGTATTATCTTGGATTATTCCAGAAATTCCAATATTTTCATGTAATTTCACATCTTTTAAAAAACAATTTATATATCATGTTATGAGACACAGAAAACTCTGCTGTCTAAGAAGCCTACTTGTGTGTTCATAGACCATGTTGATTCCTAAAAAGGCCCCACATTCTACTAGAGAAACTTTCCTAACTCACTACTGGATTAAAGAAGAGAAAGACACGTTTCTATTCAGTATCTGCTATCAGTTTTTTTTTTTTTTTCAGAAGTTGCAATTTCTCCTATGTAATAATGCTGGCAGCAAATCATGTGCTAAGTATATGGCCTGAAAATTTCTGACTCAGATCTTGGCCTGAGACCCAATTCAGAACTTCTTGAATCCTTCTGGGTTTAAATATTCCATTCAGTAAACAAGAAAGGATTAGAGGATTATGTGATTGCAATTTTCCTAGCAGGTTTTGCTGATAAAACATGAGATCCAACATCCTGCAAAGTGTAAAGATTCCTGTTTGTAATTTGTCTTATAGATTTTCATTTAAAGCATGTGTGCTCAAAAATCATTGTTTGAAAGAAAAAAAGGCAATTGTTTCAGTGGTGGTTTTATTACATCTTTTTTCTTTTGATCGGTTGTTTTTAGTTTATATTTTATCTCCTGCCTTGTTTTCTTCTGGATAGAGGCAGCTGTTGAGTCAGCAATGTGTAGGCAACTCAAGTAGGACATGATTACTGAGATACCTTTTATGTTCCCCTCCAGGGCAGCCACCTGCTTTGTCATTGGAAAAAAATGACTCATGTGGCAGCCTGACAAACACCTCGTTGCTCAGCATAACCCTCTGTGAGACTCACTTGTAGCTCTGCTTTAAAAAAGGGTAAAAATGAATATTAAAAATTCATTGAGATATCCCTGTAGAGCCCAGCTAAAAGGCAAGGAAAAGGCCTTGATACCATAAATAAAACATTAGTGGAGTCAGTACAGGGCAATGGGCCTGTTTTATGATTATTATACCTAAACGATGCAAGAAAACAAGACAACAAGATACAAATATATGTCAAAGCAATATCTGAGTCCCTAATGTGTTCTTTGATCCAACAGTCAAACTCTTTTGGTCATAAGTTTCTTTGTAGTTTAGCCTTTAAATCAGAATATCCTGTTAAATATGTGCCAAAATTCCAGTATAGTTGGCATATGTTGCATAATTTAATGTGAAATAAATTCTCCCTCTCTTCTGAGTGGTATTAAAAATGGTTTCACTTATTTATTTTGGTGTAACATACTGCCCCAACATTTTGAGGCTCAAAACACCTATTTTTGAAAAACAATTTTTCTTATGATATGTGCATCAGGAATTCTGTAAAATCTTGACTGAGTGGCTTGTTTCTGATCCATGGTGGTATCAGCTGAACACGTGGAGCTGGAGACACCAAATCCAAAATGATCATTTCATTCAAATATCTAGTGCCTCAATTCTCTTTGACTTTTCTTTCTTTCCACACAGTGTCTTAATATTCCTGGTTTGTCCTATAGCTTGTATGTCTCATCACATGGCAGTTTCAGGGTAGTTGGACTTCTTATACATTAATTTGCTTTTCCTAGAGAAAATACTCCAGTAGGTCCAGGAGAAAGATGAAAGGATTCTTCTAATCCAGCCTTAGGAGTACCAGGATGTCACTTTCACCCATTCCATTTGTCCATCAAGTTACATCCCAGATGCGAGGTGGAGAGGAATAGACTCCAATTCTGGATGCAGGATGGGAGATGGATCATGGACATATTGAAAACAAACTGCCACGGAAACATTTCAAGCATTTCCCTTACATGCTATTTTCTCTGTAGTTTGTGGGCCTCCAGTTATTTTTGGCTCTAGCCCTTGGCTATATGGTTTAAAGTCCTTGCATTTTAAAGTTGTTTGCGATCATGAGTTAATTACCATATTGTTTTCTCTAGCAAACTTTTCTCAGTAGAGCCTCCACTCACTCAATAATAATTTATTACACATTTAGTATGCATCACTTTTCTAGACACTGTGCAATAAATATATTCTTCTCTTAGAAATGTTATTCTAGTGGCTATGATAAACAAATACAAATGTATACTATGTCAGGGGGTGATAAGTGCTAAGGAGAAAATATATCAATTATCAAGAAATTCCAGGAAGTATATGTCGAATTTTCTTTCCTCAGGGCCAAGCTATTAACTTATGTAAGCCTCTTATCTCCTTCTTCCACTTTGTTCAGTAGTTAACTAAGCCACATTGCTGATGTAATAAAAGTAATAAGATTATATGGCTTGAAAAGTGGTACTTAATTTTAATATTACACAGACATATTTGAAAACTTTATGGGTACTTCTGTCTATAAAAATTTATTATTCACAATAGCAGACTTGGAACCAACCTAAATGTCCAACAACGATAGATGGATTAAGAAAATGTGGCACATATACACCATGGAATACTATGCAGCCATAAAAAATGATGAGTTCGTGTCCTTTGTAGAGACATGGATGAAACTAGAAACCATCATTCTCAGCAAACTATCGCAAGGACAAAAAACCAAACACTGCATGTTCTCACTCATAGGTGGGAATTGAACAATGAGAACACATGGACACAGGAAGGGGAACATCACACTCCGGGGACTGTTGTGGGGTGGGGGGAGGGGGGAGGGATAGCATTAGGAGATATACCTAATGTTAAATGACGAGTTAATGGGTGCAGCACAGCAACATGGCACATGCATACATATGTAACAAACCTGCGCATTGTGCACATGTACCCTAAAACTTAAAGTATAATAATAATAAAATTTAAAAAATGTATTATACATTTTTTGGTGTACAATTTAGTATTCATATAGTCCTTGAAACTCTTCCAGGGTTTTCAGGCCAGATAAAGAATAAAGAATCTGAGCTTTTACACCCTTATTGTAGAAATAATCCTTAATTAACAAAGGGATATTGTTTTTTTACCAGATTCTACCAGTGGGATCACATGGATAAACTTTGCACAAGATTATACATACACACACATACACACCTGAACACATGCACATATGTGTGTGTCTGTGTGGTGTGTGTGTGTTCATGTATCTTAGAGCTCAAAAATAGTCCATTTGCTTAGTATCCTTATGCACTTTATTGTGTAAGATTACATTGAGGTAAAACCTCAAAAAAGGAAATAATATTATAAGTTATGGGATGGACTTCTACATATATCCTTCATGAGAAGACATAAAATGTCAATAATGCAGAATTTGTTTGACTGAGAATTGTGTTGAAATATGGTCCTGTTCTATTTTCAATTATCCACATGTATTTCTTCTAGTGGGCTATATTTGTAATATCTACAATGAGTAGATGAAGTTGTTCATAGTTCCTGTATGTAGTCAGGGCACTTTGAAAAAAAACTTTTTGGCCCATTTTGTTTCATAAGCAATATATAATCATTATAGATTTATGGAATTTCATTTAAAAAAATTCAATATGAATTACCTAAAGTGATAATTTACAGATACATTTCTGTTAATATATGAGACATTTTCTTGTAATCATTTTTATAAATCAATATTTTATTATATAATTACATTTTAAATACTCTATTTGTGTTACTTTTAAAAGTAATCCATTGGGAGCACATTTTTCTCATAAGAAAATGATTATTCTAAATTTTAAAGTGATTCTCCTGATGCTACTCTTATTAAACTATAGATATCCATAAGAGAATATTTCTTGTTTTTATCATACTTGAGAATTTGGGCAAAGTATATTTTGTGTGTTCTACAACCTGTAGTTATTTCATGTAACTAAAACATTATAGATTTATATTTTTAGGATAAAATGCTGACTGATTTTACCAGTGAGTTTGTGAAAATTAATAATATCATAAATACATATTTTCAGATGAAGAAAGATGACAGTGAAAAATAGCTGTTGGCATGTCATGGGACATTCTTCAAAATTCTTCAGAGGTAAAGATTTGGTGCTTAAAATGATTACATAACTACACTGTATGCTACATAGAATTGATTGTGATACTGTTAGAGTCCTCTGTTAAACAATTATACACTACAGAGGGACTTATTCTGCTCTTTAAAGCAGGCTTATAATACCTTTTTGGGCAGGGCAGTTAATGAGGAGATTCTATGTCATACCTTGAATGACTTATTGCCAAATTTGTTTTGTAATAATAGGCATTCACTGCCATAATAGACCAATGGCTTAAAAATATCTTAAAACATAAGATTATTCACATAATTAAGTCACAACCTAACTAGATTCCAAATATGGTCACTTAAATAACTCAATTAATTTTGGACTTATGGGCTCTAATAATGAAAGTCAGCCTCTGATCTTCAGGGAATTCTCATGGAAGTTTTCTGGCAAATAATAGCACCAGTGCTGACTCATATGGTTTGGCTGTGTCCCCACCCAAATCACATCTTGAAATGTAGCTCCCATAATTCTCACGTGTTGTGGGAGAGACCCAGTGGCAGATAATTGAATCATGTGGGCAGTTCCCCCCATGCTTTTCTCATGGTAGTGAATAACTCTCAAGAGATTTGATGATTTTATAAGGGGTTTCCCTTTTCACTTGGCTCTCATTCTCTCTTGAACACCACCATGTAAGATGTGCCTTTCACTTTCCACCATGATTGTGAGGCCTCCCCAGCCACATGGAACTGTAAGTCCATGAAACCTCTTTTTCTTTATAAATTACTCAGTCCTGGATATGTCTTTATCAGCAGCATGAGAAAGGACTAATACTAATAATATTATTATTGCTGCTTCTACTATGACTATTAGTAAATTACTACCATAGAAACAATAACGATTGTTTTGCAGAAAATTACAAACTATAGACGTCAATGTTAAATATTTATCACAGCAGCATTTTTTATATTTTCAGCTAAGGACTTTTTAAAGTTTAATTTCACCAATTTCTAACTTAGATAATTTGCCAATAATTTAAAATTCTCTTTCAAAAAATTTTGATGTGAATTTTCATATATAATCATTATTTTCATGAAGAAGCTATAAAATAGAAATTTAAAATTCAAGAAAAAGCTTGTTTGTTCAGCAATATACTTTGAAATTAGTATAAAGGTAGAAAAAGCATTGCACATTTGGAAATCACTCTTCTTACTCTTGCATTGTGCCTGTAGGCACCACAACATCCAATTTTTATCATCTGCCATTATTTGATTTATGACATCCCATTAATTGTACCACATAACGTATTGTCTTATTTTATTGACTTAAACAACATCAGTTGTGGAATTATGTCAATATAGCTATAGAGAACTATACAAAGGAACAAATAAAATAAGGATTGCTTTTATTTATTAATTGTACTTTTCCATTATGAATATCAACTCATCCTTCAAGTGATAGCTTACACAAAATTGAACAAAATTTACAGCTTTGAAACATTAGGATAATAATACATGATTTAGTAAACATGGAGAAATAGTTGCATTGATTAATTTGAGTACAAAATTTTTACCAATATCATTCATAAAATCTCCTAGATTCAAGATTACAGATTTTACATATCTCCTACCCAGCTATACAATATTCCAATTAAAAGGTTTTTGTTCTTTCTGTCATATGTTAGTGCCTATGTAAATTTTCTTAAGAATCGGAATTAGAAAGTAGGGAAAACGTTAAACATGCCATTTTTTATCTGGTATTTTATATTGCACTAATAGTGTTTTATATGGAGAAACAAAAATCTACTGTTCTATTTTTAAACTGTGATTCTGGAAAATTATGCAGTATACATTCAGAGATTGGATACAAAAATCTACTAATTATTAGTACATTTGACCTTCTGAAAGACTTTATTTGTTCTATTATTCTATTATTTTTTGGGTTCTTTATAAAACACTGATTAAAAACAATACAATATAATTAATGTCTAGTTTTCAAGGCTGAAGACAATTGGAAATAGATACAAACTATGTCTCATTGAAATGTACTTTTTCTATATATATTCCAATATACTTTGTGTCAAAATATAATTGCTTTATGTATTATGAATGTCCAATATGATTAGATAATAATGTTATAATCCCCTTAACAATATTTAATGAGATGCCAGTATTTGTTGCCACCAGAAAAAGGAACGGGTAATGATTGTTATATAAGGGCAGAAATGAAAATATCACTGTCTTTCAATGTATCTAGCAAATATTGCCCTACTTTCACTAAGGCTAACACCTTTAGCCTCTTTAGCCATATCCATACATAGTATTCTAGAAAAGCTTAAACATTTAGAGCCAGAGAACCTCCATGTCATTGGATAAAACAACTTGATGTACCAGTACAAATCCAAGCTGTTAAATAGTACAAAAAGGTGAGTGAGTGTATTTGACAGTTAATGGTACTCATTTTCTTTCTTTCTTTCTTTTTTTATTATACTTTAAGTTCTGGGTTACATGTGCAGAATGTGCAGGTTTATTACATAGGTATGCATGTGCCACGGTGGTTTGCTGCACCCATCAACCCGTCATCTACATTAGGTATTTCTCCTAATGTTATCCCTCCCCTAGTCCCCCACCCCCGACGGGCCCAGGTGTGTGATGTTCCCCTCCCTGTGCCCATGTGTTCTCATTGTTCAACTTCCACTTATGAGTGAGAACATGCAGTGTTTGGTTTTCTGTTCCTCTGTTAGCTTGCTGAGAATGATGGTTTCCCACTTAATCCATGTCCCTACAAAGGACATGAATGGTGCTCATTTTCTAAGAACTAACAAAACAATTTAAAAACCTAGGAGAGAAAATGCATAAGAACCAAATTAAATGCTTCTTACTAAATATAAATTTACACACTAGAAGCTCACAAAATCTTGCAAAATGCAAAACAGGGCTGAGAATGGTGTAGTGCCATTGGTTATGTGGTCAAATAGACTTTGGGAATGATGAATACCACATATCCTACTTTTTCAAAACTGTGAAGGATCTTGTAAAATACTTAATAAAAGAAATTTGTTTGTTAAACGATTTTTATACCTAAATCTCCCCAATATATCTAACCTTCTTTTATCTCTTTGCTTAACACTTTTAACAAAAAAAAATGCAGTTTTCTAAAAAAAGATAGACAATAATGTAAATTCCAAATTATTTTGCATAGTTTAATTGTACAGGGTAAAGTTAAAAGAAATGCATCAGTATTTAGAAATTCAGATTCTTTGACAACATTAGTTTGAACTTCACTATATTTTAAAAATAATTAGTTGAATGTGTTTTAATTTAATGTTTGATATTCATTGTGTATATGTAAGCATAGAGCAGATGTTATTTATACACGTAATCATACATTTTTCTTTCATTTTCTACAATGAAGTTTTTATTTTATATTATCTGACACTTCTGCTCTAATCACTTCAATGAAACAAGTTAACTTATATCCTGGAAATCTTGGTTTGGAAGGCTTCTAGAGATTTAGTCATTTATTCACAGTGATCTGGTTTCTTATCTGACTTACTGCTTGTTTGTATTTCAAAGACAGCATAAATCATAAAAGATCTTTCTGTTTAAAATATTAATGAGTTTTGATTTTGATAATATCACCTCTACTATTACCCGAGAATAATTTCAGAGAGCATATTGGAATTCTGTTTTGTTTCGCTATGCTTGATCACAAATACACACAAACTGGCAGGCACCAGCGAGAGAGAGACAGAGCTACTTATGTATGCAGCAGAATAACATCACATTGAATTGAGGAACTAGTCTCTCGGGACCAATTTTATGCCTTCCTCTACAGCTGTATGGAGCCACTTTGGAACATAATATATTCTTTTGAAGTCAATGATCCCTGAGGGTTCAAAGCAAGATAAGAATTTGGCTCTTGATAGAGTGGATGCATTGTGTAGAATAGAGTCTTTAATTCTAAGCCTCACTGAGCACACACACATGCCCACACACATATAAGATGAAGAGAAAGCAGGAGCAAATCACAGGAGAATTCTTAAAATGATTAGGACCCCAAATATTGATTTGACATGCAAGAAATAAAACAGAAGTTTATCCATCCTTTGTATTGGGGGTGAAGTTGTAGCGGTATGTTTCATTTGTCTTTAATTAAATGGAGTAGAAATACTAAGAGGGAAATAAAAGAAAAATGATCAGATGGCCTGAAGGGGTATGTCTACAGAAAAAAATGATCAAGCTTAAAAAGGAAACTAGTTTTTCCTGGTAGAAAAATTACCAGATTTTTTGAAATTTGGTTTTACAATATTCAACCTGGAACCAATTTCTAAGAATGACTCAAATTTCCAAAGAGATCAAGTTGCTCACAGTCTTAATTCAAATTTAGGACAATTCATTCAACAAGAGTGTGTGTGTGTGTGTGTGTGTGTGTGTGTGTGTGTGTTCAGCATCTTTAGTAGAATTTCTGCTGGTTGAATTATTTATATACAAAAAACAAGGAAAATTAGTTTTTCTATTCATAATGCATGCAGATAAACAGTAAAAGCTGTCAGTTCATAAACCACAGTGATTAGTTCTCTTAGTGTTTATTTACCTGTTTTTGGTTACATTTCATGTCATATAGGATGTTTTCTCCAAAAGCAGTTTAATTGTACCTGATTTCAGGTAACTTTGCTTTGGAATTCATAGCTGAAGCTCCTGCTTAACATTACTAACACATATTTTAGAGCCTAATCACATGCTAATAAGGAGGGGCTCTAGGGCTCTTATTCAAAGCGGTTTATAATTGGAACATAGTTGAAATTCCATAAAAACTGTTAACAGAAATAAAACTTGTAAAACAGAAACTGCTGGGCAAATACCTAAGACAAAAAAAAAAAAAAAAAAAAAAAAAAAAAGACTTGCTTTTGTCAGTAATTCTCCTTGAATTAGAAAGAGAAAATACAAGGAGACATTTGCTCAAGGAAAGGGATTCATACACATAGTTATTCAATGGGTTATAGATGACTAAAAACGTAAAGCTTAAATTGAGAATAATGTTCAAACAACATGTAACAGTGTACAGCCTATGCTCTTTTGTTGCAAGGTTAAGTTTTTTTTGTGTGTAGAATTGTGCAAGTTTGAGGACTCCTTTGATGGAAAAGGAAGCAGATATGACTGCACAGTAAAGGATACCCTGGACCAATTCAACATTTTGATTATTGCTGGATTCCTCCACATAATCAAAGAGTTTGATTGTACTTCAGCTAGAATCTCCTGACTTTTTCACTGCAGTCCGTAAGCTACAAGTTGGAGGCTTCGATCCTCTACTTGTAGCTATCAGAGATAAGTTAGATAGGTTACAGTCTCAGATAAATTACAGACTGGTCAAATCTTCTAGGTCATCTGTAGCTATTTCTTGCCCTTCTTGTCCAATTGCTTCTAAGAAATCCCTCTACACTTTCGAGTTTGCGCAGTTAACTTTGGCATTTCTCCATTGATTTATTGCACTTATTTAACTTAGTAAACTGCTTCTTGAACCCTAAAGCATATTTATTTAGCAAGGACATGAGATTGTCTTTTTAACTCTTTCTATATGTATAGGCTCCTGGGACAAACCAGGAGCAGACCCGTATAGGATTTGTTTAATGTTTGATAAATCTTTAATGCCCTGTCACATTTTGAAACAACTTATGATACCAGTTTCTAATGAACACCAGCAATACAGAGTGTCAGTACTGAGGCACAACTTAAAATTATTTTATCTTAAAACAAACAGGGGGACATTGCCCATAGGCGAACAAACCATATTGAACATATTGATACAAAGAGAGTTCTATTACCCTGTCATTCTAATTGATTTAGCAGAAGGAATGATGAAAAGAGACAGAGGCATTAGGGTATATCACATATCTAGCACAGCTAGCAGCCACCCTCCATATGCAAAAGTGCAAAATGAGAACATTTCCTTGCCAACAAAGGAAGGGGGAAGAAAGTATGCATTATGACTTAAAAGGTGGAGATTTTGTGAAAACAGAAGTCAGAAAACAGCAGGATGACATCAAAGGATGGAAAGTGATATAAACCCTTCACATTGAATTCATTTTCACAACGCTTCTAGATTAACAATTCAAAAATGCAAATCATATTATTTCAAATTAAAATTCTTTTATGAGACCACATCTTTGTGAATAAAATTTTAATTTGATCATAAATGGAAGCTCTTCATGATCATGCCACCACTAGGTATGCTTAAATTCACCAAGCCAACTCCTGCATGTCTGCTTATGGTTAGACATCTTTTCCCTCAAGTTGCCTTCTTTGCCTGGATAATTCCTTTTTCAATCACAACTCAAGTTTGATATATCACTGACCTATTGATGTCCCCAAGGCTGGACTACATAACCATTCTTTATATTCCTATAGTATCCTGTGCTTGACTCCATTACACCACTTTAAAAACATGTTTTCATTCTTTTATCTACCATGAAGTAATTCATTGCTATGTGGGCAGAGCCTATCACAGAGCTTCCTACATAGCATCAACTCACTTAATATTTTCTGACCAAGTGGGAATGAAATAGTTGGTTTAGAGGGTCATTAGAAAGTACTTCAGAGAATTCTGGTATGCCTTTTACAGAAACTTGAATTTTATGGAGGACTATCCCTGTAGACCTGTAATTACTATATAGTAATATAATAATAGCTTTTATTAATCAATGCTCCTGGTAAAGCATTTGGCTTTTCTTTTTATCCTTTTTGCTAATTTTAATATCTGAGTTGTTATATAAATTACAGCCAAAAAATGGTGCTCCAAAATATTTTCTACTCTTTTTTTTGTTTGTTTCATTTGTAATGTTATGTGCAGTTTGATGAATTTGCCTTAGGACAAAAGAACAAAGTTCAAATCCTTCATGAAACAAAGATATAAATTCCTAGCAGCAGAAATTAGTAACACAGTATGATGCCATTTGCAAAATTTTTCTCTTTGCAGCCCACACCAACAAAAAAAAAAGATTAAGTATTTTCTCAGTGCCTGGCAAATTGGCAAAAAGTATCATATTTATAATAGCTGGGAGAAAATACTGTTTCTGGAAACCCAGAAACAATTCTGTTTTGTTATTCTTAAGCATTTCTGTGCAGTGAATATCTAAAGGAATAAGTTGAAATTAGGAAGCAGTAAGTAAACACATGGTCATAAACTGAAAAACTTACATTTTGTTTTCTTCATGCAAGAAGTGTTGGATACTTTCTGCTTTCCCTTCCAGATCTACCGTGTACACATGTACTGTTTTTTCCTCGTGTCTCACAGCAGCAGACTCCAAGAAAACTTGGGTTTTCACCAAGTGGGTTCTTTATGCAGGTGTGGCAAATGTCAATCTTCCTCAGGACTGGCAGAGGAGAGAAGGACAGAGAGTAAATGAAGAGAAACCTGTAGGCTTTTGTAAATACAATCATTTAATTTTTTCAAACTCTTAAATATAGGGTAGTTTCATGCACTTCCATGTGAAGAGACCACCAAACAGGCTTTGTGAGAGCAATAAAGCTTTTAATCACCTGGGTGCAGGGTGGCTGAATCCAAAAAGAGAGTCAGTGAAGGGAGAAAGGGGTGGGGCCATTTTATAGGATTTGGGTAGGTAAAGGAAAATTACAGTCAAAGGGGGGTTGTTCTCTGGCGGGCAGGTGTGGGGGTCACAAGGTGCTCAGTAGGGGAGCTTTTGAGCCAGGATGATCCAGGAGAAGGAATTTCACAAGACAAAGTCATCAGTTAAGGCAGGAACAGGCCATTTTCACTTCTTTTGTGGTGGAATGTCATCAGTTAAGGCAGGAACCGGCCATCTGGATGTGTACGTGCAGGTCACAGGGGATATGATGGCTTAGCTTGGGCTCAGAGGCCTGACATTCCTGTCTTCTTATATTAATAAGAAAAATAAAACAAAATAGTGGTAAAGTGTTGGGACGGTGAAAATTTTTGGGGGTGGTATGGAGAGATAATGGGCAATGTTTCTCAGGGCTGCTTCGAGTGGGATTAGGGGCGGCGTGGGAACCTAGAGTGGGAGAGATTAAGCTGAAGGAAGATTTTGTGGTAAGGGGTGATATTGTGGGGTTGTTAGAAGAAACATTTGTCGTATAGAATTATTGGTGGTGGACTGGATATGGTTTTGTGTGAATTGAAAAACTAAACGGAATAAGAGAAGGAGAAAAGCAGGTATTAAAGGTCTAAGAATTGGGAGGACCCAGGACATCTAATTAGAGAGTGCTTAAGGAGATTCAGCATAGTCCTGCCAGCAAAGATTATTTATTTACTTTAACAGTTAAGAGTGGCAGTTTGGGGATAGCACCAGGAGGTATCAGCTGTGATGGCTTGGAAAAACAGTGTAAACCGGCAGTGTAAACAAGAGCAGCGCATGTATAAGTAGTTGAGAATGGTGAATAGGAGTATGACTAGACAGAAGATAGTAGGGATGACAAGTTTTTTGGGGCACAGTCTAAGTTGGTATGGTGTCTGGAATGAGACTGGGGCCTAATAAAAAGGAGCATCTAAACAGGAGCTCAAATGGACTGTACCTTGTAGCATTCTGAGGACAGGCCTGAATTCTGAGAAGGGAAAGTGGTAAAAGTATTGTCTAGTCCTTTTTAAATTGGTGGCTGAGCTTGGTGAGGTGTGTTTTTAAAGGACCATTAGTCCGTTCTACCTTTCCTGAAGACTGAGGACTGTAAGGGATATGAAGGTTCCACTGAATACCAAGAGCCTGAGAAACTGCTTGCGTGATTTGACTAGTAAAGGCTGGTCCATTATCAGACTGTATAGAGGTGGGAAGGCTAAACCGAGGAATTATGTCTGACAGAAGGGAAGAAATTACCATGGTGTCCTTCTCAGACCCTGTGGGAAAGGCCTCTACCCATCCAGTGAAAGTGTCTACCCAGACTAAGAGATATTTTAGTTTTCTGACTCAGGGCATGTGAGTAAAGTCAATCTGCCAGTCCCGGGCAGGGACAAATCCCCGAGCTTAATGTGTAGGGAAGGGAGGGGGCCTGAACAATCCCTGAGGAGTAGTAGAATAGCAGATGGAACACTGAGAAGTGATCTCCTTGAGGATAGACTTTCATGATGGAAAGGAAATGAGAGGTTCTAAGAGACGGGCTAGCGGCTTGTAACCTACATGGAAGAGGTTATGAAATGATGACAGAATAGAATGGGCCCGTGAGGCTGGAAGGAGATATTTTCCTTGGTCTAAGAACCATTTGCCTTGTGTGGGAAGAGATTGATAGGTGGAAGTTCCAGCGGGAGAGTAGGTGGGAGTAACCGATGTGAAGGAGAAAAACTGGCCGTGAGGGACAGAAGTTGGAGAGCTAGCTTCTTGTCTAGCCACCTTATCAGCATAAGCCTTGCTGTGAGAGACAGAAGTTGGAAAGCTAGCTGCTTGTCTAGCCACCTTATCATCAAAAGCATTGCCTAGAGCAATGGGATCTGATGCCTTTTGATGCCTTTTGCAGTGAATGACCCCAGCTTCCTTTGGAAGTAAAGCGGCCTTGAGCAGACTTTTTATTAAAGAGGCATTAATGATGGAGGACCCTTGTGTAGTGAGGAAACTTCTTTCAGCCTATACGACCACATGGTGGTGCAGAATATGGAAGGCATATTTAGAGTCAGTATAAATATTGACGCATTGTCCTTTCGCAAGAGTGAGGGCTTGAGTTAAGGCAACTAGTTCGGCTTGCTGAGAGGTAGTGGAGGGGGGCAGAGTGGTAGCCTCAATAACAGATGTGGAAGATACTATTGCATAGCCTGCCTTTGCTGGTGAGTGGCGATTAGGCCTGGTGGAACTGCCATCAATAAACCAAGTGTGATCAGGGTGAGAAACAGGGAAGAAGGAAATGTGGGGAAATAGGGTGAACGTCAGGTGGATCAGAGACATGCAGTCATGAGGGTCAGGTGTGGTATCCGGAATAATGTAGGAGGCCGGATTTAAGTCCAGGCCAGGAACAATGGTAATTGTGGGAGACTCAACAAAGAGTGAGTACAGTTGAAGGAGCCAGGGAGCAGAAAGTATATGCATCAGGTGTGAGGAAGAAAATAGATTTTGGAAATTATGAGAGCTGTAAAGAGTGAGTTGAGCATAGTTTGTGATTTTGAGGGCCTCTAAAAATATTAGGGTGGCAGCAGCCGCTGCACAGAGACATGATGGCCAGCCTAAAACAGTAAGGTCAAGTTGTTTGGACAAAAAGGCTACAGGACACGATCCCGGTCCTTGTGTAAGAATTCCGACTGCACAGCCCTGCACTTTGGCTGTGTGTAATGAAAAGGGTTGGGATGAGTCAGGGAGAGCTAGCGTCGGGGCAGTCTCTAAAGCTGTCCTCAAGGAATGGAAAGAGGAGTGGGGAAAGGATTTAAGATCTGTGGGGTCAGCTAGGTTTCCTTTTGTGAGTTTATATAATGGTTTTGTTAGGATGGCAAAACCAGGTATCCAAAGGTGAAAGTTTCTAACCATGCCTAGGAAGGAAAGGAGTTGTTGTTTTGTAGAAGGGGTTGGGGTTTGGGAGATTAGTCAGACATGATCAGCAGGGAGAGCACGTGTGTTTTTATGAGAATTATGCCGAGATAGGTAACAGATGAGGATGAAATTTGGGCTTGATTGAAGTAATGGGGGCTGTCTGTGAAGCCTTGTGGCAGTACAGCCTAGGTAATTTGCTGAGCCAAATGGGTGTCAGGGTCAGTCCAAGTGAAAGCGGAGAGGCTGGGATGAAGGGTGCAAAGGAATAGTAAAGAAAGCATGTTTGAGATCCAGAACAGAATAATGGGTTGTAGAGGGAGGTATTGAGGATAGGAGAGTATATGGGTTTGGCACCACAGGGTGGATAGGCAAAACAATTTGGTTGATAAGGTGCAGATCCTGAACTAACCTGTAAGTCTTGTCTGGTTTTAGGACAGGTAAAATGGGGGAATTGTAAGGAGAGTTTATAGGCTTTAAAAGGCCATGCTGTAGCAGGCGAGTGATAACAGGCTTTAATCTTTTTAAAGCGTGCTGTGGGATGGGATATTGGCATTGAGTGGGGTAAGAGTGATTAGGTTTTAATGAGATTGTAAGGGGTGCATGATCAGTCACCAAGGAGTGAGTAGAGGTATCTTATACTTGTGGGATAAAGTGGGAGGATACGAGGGGGGGGATACGAGAGGAGGATGCAAAGGAGGCTTTGAACTGGGGAAAAGGGCAGCAATGAGGTGTGGCTGTAGCTAATAAGGGAACTGGGCAGGTGGGGATAACTAAAAAAGATTGCATAAAAGAATGTTGTCTAAGTTGGCACCAGAGTTGGGGAGTTTTAAGAGATTTAGAAGCCTGGCCGTCAATACCTACAACAGTTATGGAGGCAAGGGAAATAGGCCCTTGAAAAGAAGGTAATGTGGAGTGGGTAGACTCCATATTGACTAAGAAGGGGATGGACTTACCTTCCACTGTGAGAGTTACCCAGAGCATCTGTGATGGTCCTGTAGGTTTCGGAGGCAATCGGCCAGTGTCAGTCTTCAGCTGCTAAGCCGAGAAGATCTGAGAAGGAATCAGAGAGCCTTGGGCCAGAGTTCCAAGGGCTCTGGGAGTGGCTGCCAGGTGAGTTGAACAGTCTGATTTTCAGTGGGGTCCCACACAGATGGGACTTGGCTTAGGAGGAATCCGGGGCTGTGGGCATTCCTTGGCCCAGTGGCCAGATTTCTGGCACTTGTAGCAAGCTCTTGGGGGAGGAGGTTCTGGAGGAACCCCTTGCAGCTGTGGTTCAGGCATTTGGAGTTCTTGTGTGCTGGAGATGTGGCTGGGGTTTGTCTCACAGTGGAGGCAAGGAATTGCAACTTAGAAATACATTGCTACTTGGCTGCCTCTACTCTATTATTGTGCACCTTGAAGGTGAGGTTAATTAAGTCCTGTTGTGGGGTTTGAGGGCCAGAATTTAATTTTTGGAGTTTTATTTAATGTCAGGAGCAGATTGGATAATAAAATGTATATTGAGAATAAGACGGCCTTTTGACCTTTTAGGGTCTAGGGCTGTAAGGCGTCTCAGGGCTGCTGCCAAATGAACCATGAACTGGGCTGTGTTTTTATATTTGATGAAAAAGAGCCTAAACACTATCTAATTTGGGAAAGGTTGGATAAAGAAAAAGGACCATTAACCTTGACTATGCCTTTAGCTCTAGCCACCTTTTTAAGAGGAAATTGCTGGGCAGGTGGGGGAGGGCTAGTCACGGAAGGAAACTGTAAGCTGGACCAGGTGTGAGGAGGGGAGGTGATAAAAGGATTATAGGGTGGAGGAGCAGAGGATGAGGAAGAATTGGGACCTAGCTTGGCCTGGCGAGGAGGGGAGAGGTCCCATGGGTCTCTAGAAAAGGAAGATTAGAAAGACTCAGCGACACTTGGGGTTGGGACTGAGGGGACCGGTGGGAGGGAAAGAAGGAAGATTGGGACGAGTTGCATTGGGCACAGACTAGGAAGGGACTGATGTGTAAAAGAATGCCTGGATGTCAGGCACCTCAGACTGTTTGCCCATTTTATGACAAGAATTATTTAGATCTTGCAGGATGGAAAAATTGAGAGTGCCATTTTCTGGCTATTTGGAACCACTGTCGAGTTTGTGTTGGGGTCAAGCAGCATTGCAGAAGAAAATAAGGCATTTAGGTTTTAGGTCAGGTGTGAGTTGAAGAGGTTTTAGGTTTTTAAGAACACAGGCTAAGGGAGAAGAAGGAAGAATGGAGGGTGGAAAGTTGCCTATAGTGAAGGAGGCAAGCCCAGAGAAAAGAGAGTAGAGACACGGAGTGAAGGGGTTCGGGGGTTCTTACCTTCCAGAAAAGCAGGAAAGGGGTCAGGGTGCAGAAATAAGGGGTTGGGGCACAGAGATAAGAGGTCGGGGTGTGGAAATAAGGGGTTGGGGCACAGATATAAGAGGTCGGGGCATAGAAATAAGGGATCGGGGTGCAGAGTCAAGAGGTCGGGGTGTGGAAATAAGGGATTGGGGTGCAGAGATAAAAGGTCAGGGTTCCTGCCTCTCCCCTAGAAAAGTGGGACTTGCTGCTAAGGGTGAAGGGGCAGGGGTTGAGGGGTTCTTACCCCTCCCCCAGAAAAGCAGAGAAGGGGTAGAGACATGGAGAGAAGGGGTTGGGGTTCTTGCCTCTTCCTTAGAAAAGCAGGACTTGCCACTAAGGGTGAAGGAGCAAGGCAGGTGTCCCTGTGTGGTCTGACACCTCTGAAACCTGGGCGAATAATCAGAGAGGTGTCCCTGCAATGATTAAACACCAAGGGAAGGCTGCCTTCCCAGTCCGTGACCAGCGCCGGAGTTTTGGGTCCAAGGATAAAACGTGTCTCTTTTGTCTCTACCAGAAAATGAAAGGAATTGAAATTAACAGAAGGGAGAGATTGAAGTGTGGCACCAAGATTGAAAGGATAAAGAGGTTGAGGGATAGTGAGGGAGGTTGGAGAACAGAGTAAGAAGAGGCCGCTTACCGGATTTGAAATTGGTGAGATGTTCCTTGGGCTGGTGGGTCTGAGGACCAGAGGTCATAGGTGGATCTTTCTCATGGAGCAAAGAGCAGGAGGAAGGATAAGGGATTGATCTCCTAAGGGAGGTCCCCCAATCCCCGGTTTTGGCACCAAATTTCATGAGCGTCGATGTGAAGAGACCACCAAACAGGCTTTGTGTGAGCAATAAGGCTTTCAATCACCTGGGTGCAGGCTGGCTAAATCCAAAAAGAGAGTCAGCAAAGGGAGATGGGGTGGGGCCATTTTATAGGATTTGGGTAGGTAAAGGAAAATTACAGTCAAAGGGGGGTTGTTCTCTGGCGGGCAGGTGTGGGGGTCACAAGGTGCTCAGTAGGGGAGCTTTTGAGCCAGCATGAGCCAGGAGAAGGAATTTCACAAGACATTGTCATCAGTTAAGGCAGGAACAGGCCATTTTCACTTCTTTTGTGGTGGAATGTCATCAGTTAAGGCAGGAACCGGCCATCTGGATGTGTACGTGCAGGTCACAGGGGATATGATGGCTTAGCTTGGGCTCAGAGGCCTGGCAGGTAGTATGTGAATAAGTAAAATGAAAGTTTGACAAGTATATATGGCCATGATTTTTTTTTTTTTTGAGACGGAGTCTCACTCTGTCGCCCAGGCTAGAGTGCAAGTGGCGTGATCTTGGCTCTCTGCAACCTCCTCCCAGGTTCAAGCAATTCTCCTGCCTCAGCTTCCTGAGTAGCTGGGACTACAGGAGCCCACCACCATGCCTGGCTAATTTTTATATTTTTAGTAGAGATGGAGTTTCACCATATTGGCCAGGCTGATCTTGAACTCCTGACCTTGAGATCCACCCACCTTGGCCTCTCAAAATGCTAGGATTACAGGTGTGAGCCACTGTGCTCAGCCTGGCCATGACTTTAAAATTAAAACATATACTACAGTTTTTGGAAAAAAAATTATTTACAGTTAGGAATACATTCTTTAAAAAACCTTTTAGAAACTGGAAATATAAATCACCATGGCCTGTTTTAGGTGTCCGTTATGTGTATTAACACACTTCTATATTATAATACATGCAAGGATTTATGGCTTTCATTTATATTCACCTTTCTCCTACTGAAAAGCTTTTGAGAGAAGAAATTATGTCATATCTACTTTTTGTTGTAGCATTTCTCCCTTTAACCATTTCTGGCATATGGTATGTACTAACAAGCTTTTGCTGAATAAACAGATGAACAGTTAATTAAAAGCAAAGTTTGTGGATAATCATGAAATTAATATAGTTTCTACCCAGTTACTTTTGTATTCAGATAATTCAGTGTAATCATTGGGTTACAACCACAGCAGCAGAAACAATGAAGTGAATCTTCAAATCAGTATGCAACCCTGAATAAAGCAACTTAATTCAAAATTGACTGTGTTTCACAATGTGGAAGCAAATTGTGTGTTTCTTTTTTCTTTTTTATAAGTATACCAGCACTTCTGGGTGCAAACTCATGCCTCAAGATGCTTACAATAATCAGATAGATCTGTGTATTGGGGGCAGTTAAATGCATTAATGGCATGATCCATAACCATCATCCAAAGCATGGAGATGGTAAAAGACATATACCTGCTAATCTAAATCAGTAAAAGAAAATAACCTGTATATTTTCCCTGCTTTCAAAAGGAATGCAAAAAACCATCATCTCTCAGCAAATCAAAACCCTCATATGCCTCCATCTTTTCCTTTCAAATATTAGTATTAAATGTTTAAGGAGAAAAAAGGTCATTTGTCACTATTATAAATCAATTTGATTTAAATTTTCCTCTTGCTTTTCTGGAAGAAGTCTCAAATTTGATGGGTAATGAAGTGAAATAGTCAATGCCAAAGGCTCAGTTACTCTGCATGGTTTTTATTGTAATAGCATCCACAAATGTGTATGTCTAGCTTTAAAACGAATCACTAAAGCACATCTTTTAAAATGCTTTAGTGCAGAGACAGCAATGAAAAGGAGAGATCTCAAATTACTCCGAGTAGAAGTAATTCAGAATATTTTTCTTGAAATTGGGCATATTTTAGTGAAATATATACAGCTCTAGGGCTCTAGGAAATGCTTTTAATGGGAATAATACACTTAAAAAACAAAAAATCTTATTTTTTCCCTGTGATTGTTTATACAATTTTGACTCAGTAATATTATCAGGACTATAAAATAATTAGTAAAATAAAACATATATGATTAATTGAAGTGATAGCCTTCAAATGTGGACACACATGAGCAGCTATAATCATCACCACTTCATGATCATAGCTCACTGTAATCTCAAACTCCTGGTCTCAAGGGATCCTCCCACCTTAGCCTTCTAAGTAGCTAGGACTACAGGTAAACACCACTTTCATGCGCTTCCCTGTGAAGAGACCACCAAACAGGCTTTGTGTGAGCAATAAAGCTTTTAATCACCTGGGTGCAGGTGGGCTGAGTCCAAAAAGAGAGTCAAGGAAGGGAGATAAGGGTGGGGCCGTTTTATAGGATTTGGGTAGGTAAAGGAAAATTACAGTCAAAGGGGTGTTGTTCTCTGGCTGGCAGGAGTGGGGGTCGCAGGGTGCTCAGCAGGGGTGATTTTTGAGCCAGGATGAGCCAGGAAAAAGACTTTCACAAGGTAATGTCATCACTTAAGGCAAGGACCGGCCATTTACACTTCTTTTGTGGTGGAATGTCATCAGTTAAGGTGGGGCAAGGCATATTCACTTCTTTTGTGATTCTTCAGTTACTTCAGGCCATCTGGGCATATACGTGCAAGTCACAGGGGATGCGATGGCTTGGCTTGGGCTCAGAGGACTGACATTCCTGCCTTCTTATATTAATAAGAAAAATAAAACAAAATAGTGTTGAAGTGTTGGGGCAGTGAAAATTTTTGGGGGGTGGTATGGAGACAGAATGGGTGATATTTCTCAGGGCTGCTTCAAGCGGGATGAGGGGCGGCGTGGGAACCTAGAGTGGGAGAGATTTAGCTGAAGGGAGGTCTTGTGGTAAGGGGTGATATTGTGGGGATGTTAGAAGAAACATTTGTCATATAGAATGATTGGCGATGGCCTGGATATGGTTTTGGATGAATTGAGAAACTAAATGGAATAACAGAAGGAGAAAAACAGATATAAAAGGTCTAAGAATTGGGACAACTCAGGATATCTGATTAGAGAGTGCCTAAGGAGATTCAGCATAGTCCTGCCAGCAAAGATTATTTATCTACTTCAAGAGTTAAGAGTGGCAGTTTGGGGATAGCACCAGGAGGTATCAGCTGTGATGGCTTGGAAAAACAGTGTAAACCGGCAGTGTAAACAAGAGCAGGGCATGTATGAGTAGTTGAGAACGGTGAATAGGAGTATGACTAGACAGAAGATAGTGGGGATGACAAGTTTTTTGGGGCACAGTCTAAGTTGGTCTGGTGTCTGGAATGAGACTGGGGCCTAATAAAAAGGATCGTCTATACAGGAGCTTAAATGGGCTGTACCCTGTAGCATTCTGAGGACAGGCCTGAATTCTGAGAAGGGAAAGTGGTAAAAGTATTGTCCAGTGCTTTTTAAGTTGTTGGCTGAGCTTGGTGAGGTGTGTTTTTAAAAGACCTTTAGTCCATTCTACTTTTCTTGAAGATGGAGGACTGTAAGGGATATAAAGGTTTCACTGAATACTAAGAGCCTGAAACACTGCTTGGCTGATTTGACTAATAAAGGCTGGTCTGTTATCAGACTGTATTGAGGTGGGAAGGCTAAACTGAGGAATTATGTCTGACAGAATGGAAGAAATGACTGTGGTGGCCTTCTCAGACCCTGTAGGAAAGGCCTCTACCTATCCAGTGAAAGTATCTACCTAGACTAAGAGGTATTTCAGTTATCTGACTCAGGGTATGTTGAGTAAAGCTAATTTGCCAGTCCTGGGTGGGGCAAATCCTCGAGCTTGATGTGTAGGGAAGGGAGGGGGCCTGAATAATCCCTGAGGAGTAGTAGAATAGCAGATGGAACACTGAGAAGTTATTTCCTTGAGGATAGATTTCCACAATGGAAAGGAAATGAGAGGTTCTAAGAGGCGGGCTAGTGGCTTGTACTATAGTATAACCTGCCTTTGCTGGTGTGTGGCGATTAGGCCTGGTGGAACCGCCATCAATAAATCAAGCATGATCAGGGTGAGGAACAGGAAAGAAGGAAATTTGGGGAAATGGGGTGAATGTCAGGTGGATCAGAGAGATACAGTCATGGGGGTCAGGTATGGCATTAGGAATAATGTGGGAAGCCAGATTGAAGTCTGTGCCAGGAACAATGGTAATTGTGGGAGACTCAACAAAGAGTGAGTACAGCTGAAGGAGCCGGGGAGCAGACAGTATATGTATCAGGTATGAGGAAGAAAATAGATTTTGGAAGTTATGAGAACTGTAGAGAGTGAGTTGAGCATAGTTTGTGATTTTGAGGGCCTCTAAAAGTATTAAAGCAGTGGCAGCCACTGCACACGGACATGAGGGCTAGGCTAAAACAGTAAGGTCAAGTTGTTTGGACAGAAAGGCTACAGGGTGTGGTCCTGGCTCTTGTGTAAGAATTCTGACAGTGCTAATCAAGCCTAGCAAGGAAAGGAGTTGTTGTTTTGTAGAAGGTGCTTGGGTTTGAGAGAGCAGTCGGACACGATTGGCAGGGAGAGCACCTGTGTTTTTATGAGAATTATGCCAAGATAGGTAACAGATGAGGATGAAATTTGGGCTTGATTGAAGTAATGGGGGCTGTCTGTGAAGCTTTGCGGCAGTACAGCCTAGGTAATTTGCTGAGCTTGATGGATGTCAGGGTCAGTCCAAGTGAAAGCGAAGAGAGTCTGGGATTAAGGGTGCAAAGGAATAGTAAAGAAAGCATGTTTGAGATCTAGAACAGAATAATGGGTTATAGAGGCAGGTATTGAGGATAGGAGAGTATATGGGTTTGGCACCACAGGGTGGATAGGCAAAACAATTTGGTTGATAAGGTGCAGATCCTGAACTAACTTGTAAGCCTTGTCTGGTTTTAGGACAGGTAAAATGGGGGAATTGTAAGGAGAGTTTATAGGCTTTAAAAGGCCATGCTGTAGCAGGTGAGTGATAACAGGCTTTAATCTTTTTAAAGCATGCTGCAGGATGGGATACTGGCCTTGAGTGGGGTAAGGGTGATTAGGTTTTAATGACATGGTAAGGGGTGCATGATCGGTCACCAAGGAGGGAGTAGAGGTATCTTACACTTGTGGGTTAAGGTGGGGGGATACAAGAGGAGGACGCAAAGGAGGCTTTGGATTGGGAAGAAGGGAGGCAATAAGATATAGCTGTAGTCCAGGAATAGTCAGAGAAGCAGATAATTTAGTTAAAGTGTCTCAGCCTAATAAGGGAACTGGGCAGGCGGGAATAACTAAAAAGGAGTGCTTAAAAGAGTACTGTCTAAGTTGGCACCAGAGTTGGGGAGTTTTAAGAGGTTTAGAAGCCTGGCCATCAATACCAACAACAGTTATGGAGGCAAGGGAAACAGGCCCTTGAAAAGAAGGTAATATGGAGTGGGTAGCCTCCGTATTGATTAAGAAGGGGATGGGCTTACCTTCCACTGTGAGAGTTACCCGAAGCTCGGCATCCGTGATGGTCTAGGGGGCTTCCGAGGCGATCGGGAAGCATCAGTCTTCAGCTGCTAAGCCGAGAAGATCTGGGAAGGAGTCAGTCAGAGAGCCTTGGGCCAGAGTTTCAAGGGCTCTGGGAGTGGCTGCCAGGTGAGTTGAACAGTCTGATTTTCAGTGGGGTCCCACACAGATGGGACACGGCTTAGGAGGAATCCTGGGCCGCGGGCATTCCTTGGCCCAGTGGTCAGATTTCCGGCACATGTAGCAAGTTCCTGTGGGAGGAGGTTCTGGAGGAATGCCTGGCCGCTGCGGTTCAGGCGTTTGGAAGTTCTTGTGTGCTGGAGATGTGGCTGGGGTTTGTCTCACAGTGGAGGCAAGGAATTGCAACTTTTTTCTATTATTGTACACCTTGAAGTCGAGTTTAATTAAATCCTGTTGTGGGGTTTGAGGGCCGGAATTTAATTTTTGGAGTTTTATTTAATGTCGGGAGCAGATTGGGTAATAAAATGTATCTTGAGAATAAGACGGCCTTTTGACATTTTAGGGTCTAGGGCTGTAAAGTGTCTCAGGGTTGCTTCCAAACAAGTAATGAACTGGGCTGGATTTTTATATTTGATGAAAAAGAGCCTAAAGGCTATCTGATTTGGGATAAAGAAAAAGGAGAATTAACTTTGACTATGCCTTTAGCTCCAGCCACCTGTTTAAGAGTAAATTGCTGGGCAGGAGGGGGAGGGCTAGTCACGGAACAAAACTGTAAGCCGGACCAGGTGTGAGGAGAGGAGGTGATAAAAAGATTATAGGATGGAGGAGCAGAGGCTGAGGAAGAATTGGGACCTAGCTCGGCCTGGCGAGGAGCAGCCTGGGGAGGAAGGGAGAGGTCAGATGGGTCTGTAGAAAAGGAAGATTAGAAAGACTCAGCGATGCTTTGGGTTGGTACTGAGGGGACAGGCGGGAGGGAAAGAAGGAAGATTTGGGATGAATTGCACTGGGCACAGAGACTAGGAAGGGACTGATGTGTAAAAGAATTCCTGGACGTCAGGCACCTCAGACCGTTTGCCTATTTTACGACAATAATTATTTAGATCTTGCAGGATGGAAAAATTCAAAGTGCCATTTTCTGGCTATTTGGAACTACTGTCGAGTTTGTATTGGGGTCAAGTGGCATTGCAGAAGAAAATAAGGCATTTAGGTTTTAGGTCAGGTATGAGTTGAAGAGGCTTTAAGTTTTTGAGAACACAGGCTAAGGGAGTAGAAGGAGGAATGGAGGGTGGAAGGTTGCCTATAGTGAAGGAAGCAAGCCTAGAGAAAAGAGAGAGTAGAGAAATGGAGGGAAGGGGTTCGGGAGTTCTTACCTTCGAGAAAAGTGGGAAAAGGGGTTGGGGTGCAGAGAAAAGATGTCAGGGCACAGAAATAAGGGATGGGGCACAGAAATAAGGGGTCAAGGCATGGAAATAAGGGGTCAGGGCACGGAAATAAGGGGTCGGGGCACAGAAATAAGGGATTGGGGTGCAGAGATATAAGAGGTTGGGGCGTGGAAATAAGGGATTGGGGGGCAGAGATACAAGGTTGGGGTGCTTGCCCCTCCTCTAGAAAAGCGGGACTTGCCACTAAGAGTGAAGGAGAAGGGGTTGGGGTACTTGCCCCTCCCCCAGAAAAGTGGGACTTGCCACTAAGGGTGAAGGACCAAGGCAGGCGTCCCTGCGTGGTCTGACACCTTTGAAACGTGGGTGAATAATCAGAGAGGCGTCCCTGCAGTGATTAAACACCAAGGGAAGGCTGCCTTCCCAGTCCGTGACCGGCGCTGGAGTTTTGGGGCCACGGATAAAACGTGTCTCCTTTGTCTCTCCCATAAAATGAAAGGAATTGAAATTAAGAGAAGGGAGAGATTGAAGAGTGGAAAGGAGAAAGTGGTTGAGGGACAGTGGGAGAGGTTGGAGAAGAGAGTAAGAAGAGGCCGCTTACCTGATTAAAATTGGTGAGATGTTCCTTGGGCTGGTCGGTCTGAGGACCTGAGGTCGTAGGTGGATCTTTCTCATGGAGCAAAGAACAGGAGGACAGGGGATTGATCTCCCAAGGGAGGTCCCCCGATCGAGTCACGGCACCAAATTTCATGCACGTCCCTGTGAAGAGACCACCAAACAGGCTTTGTGTGAGCAATAAAGCTTTTAATCACCTGGGTGCAGGTGGACTGAGTCCAAAAAGAGAGTCAGCGAAGGGAGATAGGGGTGGGGCCGTTTTATAGGATTTGGGTAGATAAAGGAATATTACAGTCAAAGGGGGGTTGTTCTCTGGCGGGCAGGAGTGGGGGTCACAAGGTGCTCAGTGGGGGTGCTTTTTGAGCCAGGATGAGCCAGGAAAAGGACTTTCACAAGGTAATGTCAACAGTTAAGGCAAGGACCGGCCATTTACACTTCTTTTGTGGTGGAATGTCATCAGTTAAGGTGGGGCAGGGCATATTCACTTCTTTTGTGATTCTTCAGTTACTTCAGGCCATCTGGGCATATATGTGCAAGTCACAGGGGATGTGATGGCTTGGCTTGGGCTCAGAGGCCTGACAACCACCATGCTTAGGTCAATGCTAAACAATGTCTTTCAGTGATACTGGAAATGGAAAATCTAATATAACACTTTTTCTAAGCATGTGGCTTACAGTTTTTTTGTTGATTATGGTATGTTTTCTGTTGATATTAATGATATCATATTCATTAGATATAATACATGTGAAATTCTGTTTTTTTATTTACTAATTTGTCCTACAAGTTGAAATCTTGCAGTGCTATATTCTAACTCTACACAGCAACCTACTTTATGACTCTAAGATTGCCACTTTTCACTTTTAGCTAAGAGCTCTAAATAGATGTAAGAATTTTCAAGTTGTTACAAAATGGCAAAATATTTGGGAGCTCACAAATAATACATGTGAATAATTTAAAAAAATATAATTCAGTAAATTTATGACTCACAAGTTATAGATAATCAATTTGAAACAATGAATAGTCAAAGATATAACTACCATAAATTTTAACTGACTAATATAAACCTCAGGCACTAGCTAGAGTCACAAATTCTTACATGATTTTATAAAACAAATAGAAATTTAAATGAGCAAGCAAAATAATTGAATCAAGATGTTGACTATTAAGGTTCTCTATTCAATAAGCTTAATTGTTCCTTTACCACTTTTCAAAGTAAGTAAATAGATTTATTTACTACTGTGAAATTATACTCCTTAGTATTTCTAATGAATATGTTTATAACAATTAGTATTATAACTAATATTAAAATTCATAATTAAAATACAGAAGGAAACTTGAAAACTTAGACAATTCCATGAAGCTGTTATCAGAAAAGAGTCCTGATGTAGACCCCAGGAGAGGATTCTTGGATCCCGTTCAAGAAAGGATTTGGGGCGAGACCATAGAATAAAATGAAAGCAAGTTTATTGAGAAAGTAAAGGAATAAAAGAATCGCTAGTCCATAGGCAGAGCAGAAGCATGGTTGGCCATTTTTATGGTTATTTCTTGGTTATATGCTAAACAAGGGGTAGATTACTCATAAGTTCTCTTGGCAAAGGGTGGGCATTTCCTGGAACTAAGGGTTCCTCCCCTTTTTAGACCATATATGGTAACTTCCTGAAATTGCCAAGGTATTTGTAAACTGTCATGGCGCTGGTAGGAGTGTGTTTTGTTTTGTTTTGTTTTTTAGCATGCTAATGTATTTTAACTAGCATATAATGAGCCATGTGGACCACCTGTGGTCACTCCAATTGTCATCTTGGCTTTGGTGGGTTTTGTTCAACTTCTTTACTACAACCAGTTTTATCAGCAAAGTCGTTATGACCTGTATTATTTTGCCAAACTTGACCTCCTATCTCTTCCTGTGACTTAAAATGACAAACCTTCTGGAAATGCAGCCCAGTAGGTCTCAGCCTCATTTTACCCAGCCCCTATTCAAGATGAAGTTGCTCCAGTTCAAATACCTCTGAAAAAGCCAATGATTAATGAATAATCTTTGAATAATGCTACTTATAGTAACATGGAGTTTTTATTAATATTGATTTTAAAAAATTTAAAATAACTCCATTTTAAAACACCTTAAAACAACTGTGTGTGTATGTGTATTTGTGTGTGTGTGTTTTAATTATTTGTTATCTATTTGTGTATTTTACTATAGTAGGCATGATGCCAGCCTATTTGAGCTGGCACAATTTTACCATCTAAGAATTTAAAATTTAAGTTAGAAAACACAGATGTGAAGACACACAAAACTTAAAAACGAACAAAACCCCTAAATTATTGTTGAATGAAAGTAGTGTCTTTAAGTATCTCACACATCTCTTTTTGTACCTGTCTGTACCTTTTCTCATTATTCATCTACTACTGTTACTACTATTCATTTATTTTTCTTATAAATTTGTTTAAGTTACTTATAGATGCTGGATATTAGACCTTTGTCATATGCATAGTCTGCAAAACTTTTCTCCCATTCTGTAGGTTGTCTGTTTACTCTGTTGATATTTTATTTTGCTGTGCAGAAGCTCTTTAATTAGATCTTATTTGTTAACTTTTGCTTGTATTGCAATTTTGCTTGTATTGTAATTGCTTTTGGTGTCTTCATCATGAAATCTTGGCCTGTGCCTATGTCCTGAAGGGTTTTGCCTGGGTTGTCTTCCAGGATTTTTATAGTTTTAGTTTTACTTTTAAGTCTTTAACCATCTTGAGTTAATTTTTGTATACGATGTAAGGAAAGGGTTGAGTTTTAATCTTCTGCATATCGCTAGCCAGTTTTTCCAGCATCATTTATTGAGTAGGGAGTCATTTCCCCATTGGTTGTTTTTTCTAATACCTGGGTGATGAAATATCTGTACAACAAATTCCCATGACACAAGTCTATCTATATAATACACCTGCGCATGTACCTCTGAACTTAAAATAAAAGTTAAGAATTTTTCATTTATATTTTAAGCTTCTCAAAGTGAAAATCTGCGTTTGATTTACTTAGCAGAGTGTATTGATCACAGTAATCATGTATTAAGAGCTCAGCAAATATTTGCCTAATGAGTGAATGATTTATAAGTAAAATAAACCATACCTCTGGTGGAAAATAAGTGACAGAAATATTAGGAATATAAGATCTGTGCACAAAGATACTCAAGGAATTTTTTTTTCCTGTTTTGTAAAAGCTTGGGAGTAAAACTTTAACCCAACTTTATTGGATTCAATGTGAGAAAAGACATGGGTAATTAGATGAGGGCAGCATGGTATGCACTGAGGACAAACAGTGAAGGAAGAGGTTGGTGGGTAAAAAACCATCTTGGATTACCCTAGTGGAGGACTGACACATATAGTGTGAAGACTTGTAAATAAAAGAAAGATGTAATTTTGGCCAGGCACAATGGCCCACACCTGCAGTCCCAGAACTTTGGGAGGCTGAAGTGGGTGGATCACCTGAGTTTAGGAGTTCAAGACCAGCCTGGCCAACATGGTGAAACCCAATCTCTACTAGAAATACAAAAAATTAGCCAGGTGTGGTGGCTGGTGCCTGTAATCCCAGCTACTCAGTAGGCTGAGGCAGGAGAATTGCTTGAACCTGGGAGGCGGAGGTTGCAGTGAGCCGAGATTGTACCATTGCACTCCAGCCTGGGCAACAAGAGAGAAACTCCATATTAAAAAAAAAAAGATACAATTTAAAAATTTTAATATAATGATTAGAGATGGCTTTTTGTGCAATAATATTAATAGTTAAGGTGCTGTGTTTGGTCTCTCAGACTAACCTCAATCTCTAGCCATTGGAAGAACTCACAAGACTCAGAAATTGTTATACACATAGTTATAGTTTATTTCAGAAAAAAGATACAGATTAAAATCAGCAAAGGGAAGGGTGCATGAGGTGAAGTCCAAGAGTAACCATGTACAAGCTTCTACCTGTCCTTTCCCGTTGGAGTTACACAAATGCACTTAATTTTCCCAGCAATGGTATATGACAACATATGTGAAGTGTTACCAACCATAAAAGCTCACCTGAGCTTTGGTGTTCACAGTTTTTACTGCGGGTCAGTCATGTAAGCATGCAATATTTTTGTACTCCAAACACCCAGAGCAAAAACAGGTGTTTAGCACAAATTACATTGTTATGTTGTTAACATGAACTATCTGATCAAACTGGTACTACTTGGCCCATGGCCTGAGGCATACAAACACAGGAGTTCACCATAGATTACATGGTTAGCATAAATTATCTGATGAAGTTGAATAACAGGGGCTAAGCCCTCAGGCATACGAAGACATTCTTATCAGGGAGAATATCCCATGGGCTCAGAACTCATCCCCTTAGAGCTTGCCTAAAGCCAGTCCTAAAGACAGGTATTTCTTGGAAATGTTCCAGGTTTTAGGAATGCAGAATTTTCATTTGTGGATGCCACAAAGACTATCATGAATAAGAAAAGATATAGTGGTATAGTATGTAATAGTTTTACAAATTTGTTCATTTATATTGTTTAAATTCACAGATAAAATTGTCATGTATGATATGATTTTAATAAAATAACTGTTATTTCAGATATTTAATTTTGAAATGCAAAGCACTGAATACAAACTGAACCATGAAAAGGAAAAATGCTAAATTTGAAGGTAATAAAGACAAATAAACAAAAGAAAAAGTTAAATAGAAAATATAAAATAGTAGCCAGATGCCATTCTAGCAAAAAGACACATGTACTCATGTTCATCGCCACACTATTCACAATTACAATGACATGTAATCAACCTAGGTGCCTATCAATGGTGGAGTGGATAAGGAGAATGTGGTACATATATATCATGGATTACCACACAGCCATAAAAAGGAACTAAATAATGTCCTTTGCAGCAACATGAATATAGCTAGAGTCCATTATCCTAAACAAATTAACATATGAACAGCAAACTAAATACCACATGTCTCACTTATAAGTGAGAGTTAAACATTGAGTACACATGAACTTTAAAATGAGATCAATAGACATTGGAGACTACTAGAGGAAAGAGAGAGAGAAGCAAGCAAGTGCTGAAAAACTACTTATTGGGTACTGTGCTCACTATCTGGGTAATGGGATCATTTCTACCCCAAGCCTCAGCTTCATGAAATACAGTCATGTAACAAACCTGCACATGTACCCCCGGAATCTAAAATAAAAGCTGAGGAAGTGGAAGTGGAGCATGAGGGCCAAATAGAAGTCTCTACCAATCATCCTCTCTGTAGGAACACCAAATTGAACAATTATCCACACAAAAAAGCACTTTCATAAGAATCTAAAATCAACTGAGTGATCACAGTATCTGGTTTTAACTTCATATCACTGAAAGTGGCACTGAGGAGGACAGAAAAGACAGTCCTGAATTGCCAATGCCTCCCCTCCCCTATCCCACAGCAGTGGCCACCACAGTGCAGAAAGATAATCTGTGCACTTGGAGGATTGAGAACACAGTAATTGTTCTGACTTTGAAGTCAGAGAATGTTGGAACTTCAATATAACTGTTAAGTGAAGAAAGAAAGAAAAAAAATCACTGAATCCCTTCAAGTGATTCCCATGTTCCTGCTCTGTTGCAGGACTTTGCTGAGAAAAAAAAAATAGGCTGACAAAAAAATGTAGCATGAATAAAAGGAAAAAGCTAATAAGAACCTATACTCATCTTGTGTTATTAAGACAAAGAATGGAAAATAGCTAAGAGTTGAAAATGGGTACACTTCCTTTTTATGATATCTCCTCAAACTTTGCTTTTTTAAAAAATTGAAATTATTTTATCTATTCATTTGCATTCCTAATGTATTATTTGTACAAAGATAGAGCTGGACATTAATTATTTTTGAATTTTTCCCTTACTCTGAATGCATAGTCACTACTTGCTATCACCAAGGAATATTATTTCAAAAATGGTGATTTACATGCTCATTTAAGGTATAAGATTATACATTATTTTTACTATGTAGTTTTTCACTATTTTTCTAATTGTAGACCAAGAATGAGCAAGTTGCTGATTCACATGCTCCCCTAATGCACACTGCATCCTGACAGTGTCTAGCACGAAGTTCAACATAAATATTTGCTTTAAAATGGCTAAGTCTGGAGTTTTTACGTATTGATCTTTCTAAACTTGGATCACTTTTAAAGCTAGTAATGGTAAAGCAGCTGATTCATCACAATCTAATAGTAACAGAATTTTCAACAAAAGCTTTGATTCTCTAGGCTTAAGCCTACATTTCCTCAAAAGTGTGAAGAATATCATTCCTTTGAAAGATGATTTTCAGATATATTTTAATCAAAGTTAGCATATTTTGCTGTCTTCATCCAAATATACAAAGTAGGACAAGGCTTCCTTTTATATACTTTGAATTGTTTATTAAATTTTATTGACATGAATGCTAGTGGGTTAAAATATTTAATGAACTACCGACAAGGCCCTGTATTTGTAAGGCTTCTGGCCACTGACATTACTGCTTTAGCCTGAATGTCAGCCTTATCCTCATTAGGGCTCTGCTCCATCTTTCCTTTTCATGCCCAGAGTCTCTCAGGACCACTTCCATGCCATTATTAATCATTACACTAGGCATCTGATTACCCAAGCCTCTATTTACACAAAAAGGACACTGATGACCAGGATCTTTGTCAGAATGGCAAGGTAGCAAGCATTTGACCACAGGCTCACTGATTCAGAGTCCCTGATTCCTACAAACTTACATCCATCAGGAGACATCTAAAGGCACTTTTTAAAAAATCTGATGGATGCTTAAACCCCAGGACCTTCATAACCTTGGTCATAGAGTACTAAGTAAAGCCCTCTCCTTATACTTCCTCAGAAGTTTTTCACTATATGATTGACAGTGTGTTGTCTCCTAAACTTCTCTTTGAGAAGACAGCTCCCTGCCTTCTCAAAACTTTCAGCTTTGTATTTTGGAACTTTCAGTCCATGATACAGAGATCTCTTATATCCTCATTTTTTTTTTTTCCTTAAAAGTTTCTCTATTTTCTTGATTTATTTGCAACCTAAGGCTCTCTCGAGGGCATTGCTTCCTACGCATCCATATAAAATGCAGTTTCTTCCATAACCATAAACCTCAGGGTTTAGAGGTAATAGTAACATTCTCAACACTCTTTAATGCTATTTCCTATTTATCCTGTATTCAAGCAGAAAAATAAGATTCAATCCACACCAATAATTCCTTCCGTCATACAATACCCATTGATTGTAAGCAACTAATTCATGATCTTGCTCTCTATCTGAGGTGTTGCCATCATTCCACATGGCCTCAAAAGTCTTGAATAATCCATCCCATGTTTCCTCCTTTATCTCTTCCTTGATATGTAGTAGAATTCCATTCCATTTAAGGTCCACTGTGTTAGAGGTTGTCATGATCCTGCACTGACTCAATTAAAAAGCACTCACTTTGAAGAAAACTAGTTGTTTTCATTAAGTTAATGCCCTTACAGCATTATTATTATTATTATTGCCTTTTGTTAGTCTTACAGTGCCTTAGCCTCTTTCACTTCTCCCCTGTAGCTAGCTATTTCTATGTTCATTTCACGTTCAGTTTAAACTCCATCATTTCAGTGATTTTCTTACATTTATTCTTGAACTTTTTCAGTTGTCCTTCTGTTGCCACTCCCTGGTAAAACATCTCTGGATCAATCTACTGTCCTAACTTCAGTTGCTTAATACTCCTGGAGCCATTAGGAATTCATGATCTCAAATCTCCAAAAGGTCTTCAATAGTTATTCTCACCATGTCTTTATTTCCTTAATGAGTTTTCTCCTATTTTCCACTTTCTTCCCTTTACTGGCCCCAAAACGCTTATTATGTCAGGTTCCACCTAATTTTTAGCACACGATCTAAGTCATCATGTAAGTCCCAAGCAGTAGAAGTCCATTGATCTACTAACAGTTATGCCACACTTAGTGCCTTAAAACTGCCATTTTACTATGCTCATGATTTTCTGGGTCAGGAATATGGAACTAACTTGGCTGATTTGCTCCCATCCATGTGAGATCTTTTGGAATGGTTAAGGTTGGAGAACCCATTTTCAAATAACTTCTTCCCACAGTATTCCTTGGCTCCTCTCTCATCACCTGGCCCTCAATTCTCCTAGGCATCTACACCTGGCTTGGGTGTGATTGTCTCAAGAAAGTCAGTCTTCCCAGGTGAAGACTGGCTTCTAAGTACCAGCATTCCAATAGGGGGAAGCAGAGGTTACCATATTAGAATAATTGACCTAGGACTGACACATGACCATTTCTACCATACTTACATGTTCAAAGAAACTATTAGGCCTGATCAAAGGTGGGGGTATGTAGACTAGACTTCTTAATGGGGCTGTGGCTAATTCACTTTAAAGAAGAATATGTGGGATGGAATCTATTGTTGCAGCCAAAATACAATCTAACACAAAGACAAAGGACCCTCTTGACTTCTTGCCATTAAATTAATAAATATACTCACATCAACACCTACCCTTCTTTACTTCTCTTCTGTTGTATTAAAATAACTGTGCTATTCATGGTTTAAATCTCATTCTGTCTTTGCTTTTTTAAGAAATGATTTTGATAATAGTTCTTTTGTCTTTTGTATCTTCCAAATTTATTTCCTATTATTATTTAAAATAATTTGAGAACTTATTCATAAAATGTCCCTTTCTTAAGATGTCTGTGTAAGTCTTCTGAGATTCAGACCCAAAGAGGAGAGTAAACGTGGAGATTTTATTAGACAAAAGCCTATGTGAAAAGAAACAGGAAAATATCTTGGTAACGATGAGAGGACCAATCAGATAGTTATATAATTTAATCCTCAGTGATAGAGAAAGAGAAAGTTGTGTGGAAACTGCAAACTTTATCAAACGTTCAACATTAACCACTTGCAGGTACATGGTTTGCAATTTTTTTTCCCCATTCTGTAGGTTGCCTTTGCACTTTGTTGTTTCCTTTGCTGTGCAGAAACTGTTTTTTTGATTTGTTTTGTTTTTTTTTAGATGGAGTCTTGCTCTGTCACCAGGCTGGAGTGCAGTGGCATGATCTCGGCTCACTGCAACCTCTGCCTCCCAGGTTCAAGCAACTCCCCTGCCTCAGCCTCCTGAGTAGCTGAGACTACAGGCATGCGCCACCACACCTAACTAATTTTTTGTATTTTAGTAGAGATGGGGTTTCACCATATTGGCCAGGATGGTCTCGATCTCCTGACCTAGTGATCTGCCCACCTCAGCCTCCCGAAGTGCTGGGATTACAGGTGTGAGCCACCATGCCTGGCCATTAAACTTTTTTAATGTTATCCCACTTGTCTACTTTTGCTTTTGTTCCTGGTGCTTTTGGTGTCATAGCCAAGAATTGTTGCCAAGACCGATGTAAAGCTTTCCTCCTGTTTTCTTTGAGAAGTTTTATAGTATCAGGTCTTATATTTAGATTTCTAATCCATTTTGAGTTGATCTTTATGTATGCAATAAGATAGGGGTTAAATTTCATTCTTTGGCATGTGGATATCTAGTTTTCCCAGCACGTTTTGTTGAAAAGACAAACTTCCATTGCGCATTCTTGGAATCCTTGACAAAGTCAGTAACTATGTAGTTCATAAAATTCACTTGGGGTCTTCTGTTCTGTTCTATTATTCTGTCTATAAGTCTGTCTTTATGCCAGCTGCATACTGTCTTAATTACTGAAGCTGCATAGTATATTTTGAAGTCAGAAAGTATGAGGCCTCCAAATTTGTTTTTTTTTTTTCCTCAAGATTCTGGGTCTTTTGCAGTTGTAAATGCATTTTAGGATTGCTTTTTTCTATTTCTCTAAAAAAAAATCCCATTGGAATTTTGTGTGTGTGTGTGTGTGTGTGTGTGTGTGTATGTGTGTGTGTCAAGGTCTCTCTCTTTTGCTCAGGATGGAGTGCGTTGGCTCAATTTCAGCTCACTGCAACCTCCATCTCCCCAGTTCAAGTGAGTCTCATGTCTCAGTCTTCCAAGTAGCTGAAACTACAGGTGCATGCCACCATGCCCAGCTAATTTTTGTATTTTTAGTAGAGATGGAGTTTCACCATGTTGGCCAGGCTGGTCCCCAGCTCCTGACCTAAAGTGATCTGCCCACCTCGGCCTCCCAAAGTGCTGGGATTACAGGCGTGAGCCACTGTGCCTGGCTCCATTGGAATTTTGATAGGAATTGTATTGAATCTGTAGATTGCTTTAGGTAGCAAGGATTATTTTAATAACATTAATATTTTTAATCCATGAACACAGGTTATCTTTCCATTTATTTATGTCTTTAATTTCTTTTGTCAATGTCTTGTAGTTTTCAGTGTATGGGTTAAGTTTTTTTCCAAGTACTTTATTTGTTTTAATATTGTTGTAAAAGGGATTATTTCTTACTTTTCTTTTCAATAGTCTACTGTTAGTTTAGTGAAACATAATTTTTGCATGTTGATTTTGTTTCCTACAACTTTACTAAATTGGTTTATTAGTTCTAACAGTTGTCTTGTTTTGTTTTATTCTTTGCAGTCTTTAGGGGTTTTATATAAGATCATGCCATCTACAAGCATGAACAATTTAACTTCTTCCCTTCCAATTTGGATGCCTTTTATTTATTTTTTTAATCTATTTGCTCTGGCTAGAATTTCCAGTACTATGTTAAATAGATGTAGCAAGAGTTGGCCTCCTTGCCTTTTTCCTGATCTTAGAGGAAACACTTTCAGGTTTTCACCACTAGTTGTGATGTTGTCTCTGGGCTTTTCGTATTATAGCTCTTAACATGTTGAAGTATATTCCTTCCATACTTTGTTGATAATTCTTATTGTAAAAGAGTGTTGAATTTTGTCAAATTTTTTTCTGCTTCTATTGAGATGTAATTTTTATCTTTCATTCTGTTAATGAGATATATCACATTAATTAATTTGCATATGTTGACCCATCCTTGCATCCCAGGGATAAATCCCACTTGTCATGGTGTATGATGCTTTTAATGTATTGTTGAATTCAGCTTGCTAGTATTTTGTTGAGGATTTTTCATGTATGTTCATTGGGGATGCTGGCTTGTATTTTTTTTTTTTTTGTGGTGTCTTTTTCTGACATTGGTATCAGGGTAAATGGGATATTATTCAGCCCTAAAAAAAGATGAAAACCTTGTCATTGGCAACAACATGGATAAACCCGAAGGGCAATATGCTCAGTGAAATAAGCCAGTCACAGAATAACAAATTCTGTATTATTTTATTTATATGAAGTACTTAAAATAGTCAAACTCATAGAAGCAGAGAATAGAACAGTGATTACCGGGGGTCAGGGGAAGAGGGAAATGGGAAATCATTGTCAATTGGTATAAAGTTTCAGTTATGCTAGATGAATTAGCTCTAGGGATCTACTGTATCACTTAGTGCCTATATCAACAATACTGCATTGTGCACTTAAAAATTTGTAATGAGGTAGTTCTCATTATAAGTGCTTATACCATAAAAACAGAGAGGAACACAGGGGAACTTTCGGAAGTGATAAATACATCTTTCATCTTGACTGTGGTGATGGTTTCACAGGTTTATGCATACGTCCAAACTCACAAAAATGTGAACATTTAATATGTGCAGTTTAAGAAAATGTGTATATCAATTATTCCTCAATAAAGTCACTTACAAAAAAGTTTGACAAAGTCATCAAGGAGTGCTTGAGCCAATGTCAACCTCTGTAGGCCAGAAATGGTCTACTTGAGATCCATCCCTGCCACACTTAGTTATTGGTGAGATAACCCTGTAGAAGGTGTGGCCTTGATGCAGATGCTGCAATGAATTTTAAAGATCAGCTGCTGGGGGTCTTTGTCACTTGTGCTCCTGGTAGTAGGAGGTACACTAGTTGCATTCTCAGGGCTGCCACATTTGTCTCTATGTGAGTAGTCAGCTACTACCTTCTTTATGTCTTCATCTTCAGGGTCCCATTCCTTGAACACAGTTTCTCCCATCATTTTTCTACTTCTTCACCTCACATTCGTACATTAATCAAGTTCATCAGTCTAATTCAGAAGTTTATGACTTCTTCTTAACCACTTCATGAGAAATATTGTTTTAAATTCACCCATATGTTTTTGCTGCTATCACCAATACATACTTTTCAATTTTACTCTTAGTCTCTGAGGTACATTCTATCTGTGAAAATAATCTTCTTTTGAAACACTTTCACAAAAATATCATTGTTTTGTTTCTTTTTGATTTTTAAATCTTGTGTTCTTTTTCCTTGACATCTGCTTCTCACTCAAATTGGTAGTTGACATGTTTCACAGGATCATAATATCATTCTACCAATCTCTGTGCTCAAATACAATTTATATACCACTTAAATGTTAAGTTAAATCTCAGGCCCAGATGTCTCTCTTTGAGCTTTAGACCCAGCTATCCAACTGCTCTTAGATACCCCACATATGTTCCTCAAATGCAAGTACAAAATGAATAATCTCCCACCAATCTTATTCTCATGTTCAATGTATAAAATAATCACGTTGGTGTTTTCTCAACTGTCCAGGTCAGGAACTAGAGCAGTATATGGTCCCCTTATCTTCATAACTGCTGTTCACATGCAATTTATTGAGCACTGTTGAATCTTGGAATCAAACACCCACTACTACTGCCCTGTGTTAAGCCACTATCATGTTTATCTTTGGATTAGTAATTTAACAAAATGTCTTAGGTTCTTTGTATCTTTATTCTTAAACTCATTAATGTATTCTAAACTATAGCCTAATCTTATATTGCTTAGCTTACAACATGTTTATATTATTCAACATGTTATACATATTCAATTTACAGAATAAATAAATGAAATAACATGTGAATAGAAATTTGGAAAATAAATATTCCAACTCAAATTCTACCATTAACTAACTACGTAGTTTTGTCATTCTAAATTTTATTTTCATTTTTCTTCATGTAAAATAGATTGTAATAGATTAATATATTTTGAATACTAGGTTCTGTATTCCTTGAAGAGCATATACGTTTTTCAAATATTATTCAAAACTAATTGTGTTTATGTATTACCTTCATAAGGAATACTAAAATCTTAGCTACTACAATTGAATAGCCTCTTTTATTTGGCTCTTTTAAGAAAGAATTTATATTAGGAAAGTGGTATGGCCCTCTGATCAGATTATCCTATTCTGTCACTCTAGTCCTTTCTTCTGCATTCACTGTCTTTAACATAAAGTAACATTTAATAAACTCCCATCTGCTATCAAGATGCTGAGCTTCCAGATCTTAGAACTCTATGATATGGGAATTTTACTGTCTAGTTCTATTGGGAAATTTTTCTTATACCAAAAACTAAATATGTATATATATATATATATATATGCAAATTAGGATTTAGTCTTTTTTAGCCTGTACATTTTATGATATGACATCATACCCACAACAGAACATAGGTGTAGAAATTTTATGTAAGGTAAAAAATAATTCCGGAAAGGATCAAGAAGGATAAAATACTGGTTTTTGTTTTACAATTTAGTGATAGATCTGAGGAACCTAGACTAACCTGGCATCCAGCACACAGCAGGTTTTGAAAGTGTTTGTTGTTGTCATACTTACCATGTTTCCTTTATCGTTTAGTTTAAACATTATTAAAGGTTTTCACCAACACCTGAGAACTGAGTCATACTTACATTTGAACTAACTCATGAGACATTGAGTACATTATGAGAACTAAAACTCAAAGCTTTTGCTGATACTTCAGAAGAGAGAAGACTAGAACACCTAAAGAAATATTGTTCTGGCTGTTCAGCCCAGCCCTCAAGTCAGTAATCATACCTGGTACATTGAAGAGTTTTCAGTAAATATGTTTCTTCATATGATTTCTTATAATAGATCATGGTTTTTTAAAATACCAAAGGGTCTGGCAAACAGTCACTTGTGATCTAGTGTGGTCAAATTCTCCTTTTTCTCTTTTCGATATTAAAAAAATAAAAAAGCTCGATGAGGCACTGAGATTCCTAATAGATTAATCTTAACACAACCATATTGGTACTTTGTACTACTTTCTTTCATAGGAAGATATTAGGGCTACATGTCAGTATGGCAAGATGATTTGTTTTATAATGAAATGAAATCTGGCCAGATGCAGTGCCTCATGCCTTTAATCCCAGCACTTTGGGAGGCCAAGACAGGAGGACTGCTTGAGTCAAAGAGCTCGAGATCAGCCTGGGCAACATAGAAAGACCCTGTCTCTACAAAAAATTAGAAGGGCATGCTGGCACACGCCTACAGTCCCAGCTACTCTGGGTGCTGAGGTGAGAGATTGTTTGAGCCCAGGAGGTCGAGGCTGCAGTGGGTCATGACTGTGACACTGTATTCCTGTGGATGACAGAGCAGTAGCCTGTCTCAAGAAAAGAAAGAAAAGAAAAAAAAAAGAAAAAAAGGAAAAAAGAAAAAGGAGTTAAATCCTATTCATATCAAATTCTGCCTTATATAATTTTCTGACCACTATTATTTGATACAAAAACAATATTAATGAAGGAAACTACTTTTCAGTATTCAGCACTTCTTTACATCATTTGTGACATAATATGAATAACATTTTTTTTAGAGAACAGGGTCTCCTTCTGCATCCTAGGCTGGAATGTAGGAGTGGTGCAGCCTCAAACTTCAACCTCCAACTTCTGGGTTTAAGGGATTCCCCTGCCTCAGTCTCCTGAGTAGCTGGGACTACAGGTGTGCCGTGATATAATTTTTTTTATTTTGTAGAGATGAGGTATTGCTGCATTGCCTAGGCTGATCCCAAACTCCTGGCCTCAATCAATCCTCCCTTCTTTACCTCCCAAAGTGCTGAGATTATAGGCATGAGCCACTGCACCAGGTCAATTTGAATAATAAAATGTTTCTGACAGAGGGTATACGCAAGCTGTAGAAAAGTAGGCATAATTAAAGGAAAATGCTACATTGCTTTTTCTGACTAGACCTAAGAACTATTGCTGTACAGCGTATCCTGAAGACTGTATTTTTTATCATTGATGAAATATTTTATCTTAGTGCCAGTATAATTTCCTGAAGTTACTCAGGTACACATTTCATTCCTGGTTTATTGCATCTTACAGATGTGATTTTTCATTTAGGTTGAATACAATAAATAGATGAGACTCTATTATCAATGTAATATGCCCATGTCAAAAATACTCTTCCCCCACCAAATCCTGTTCCAGGTTAAAAGCATTTGATATTATGAGGCATGTGTTAAATAATATATACATCATAAGGAAAAGAGAAAAAGGAAATAAAACAGCTGTGAACAGAAGCACTTAGTATAGAAACATGTATCAATATAATACTTGGGAGGAAAAGACGAATACTTAATATGTAAATGTAATCAAAAGTAGATGAATACAATATAGATTTTTTGTATTGCTAAAAAAAAAAACCATGAATTCAGAACACGTAGCTTGAATTTGGTTTTCATTACCTAATGTACAAGACCTTTAACATATCACTTAACATCACTATTGGTGTGCTCCTTTGTAGACAGTGGATGAAAATGTACAACTCAAAGAACTTTGGTAGGGATTAAATAAGGGACCTTCTCCAAGAACCTAGCATATGCTAAGTACACACTGATTCCACTAAATTAACACAATCCAATTATTTCTGCTTCTACTCTGTAAAAGAAATCAATTTACTTGCTTAACAGTAGCTAAGTTCATAGATGAGACCTCTATAGCAAAATACAGATTAACAAGATAGAAGCATACAAATGTATTTAATATAAGTTTTACATGGCATGGGAGCATTCAGAAATGAAGACCCAAAGAAACAGGAAAAATTGTATCTTATGCTCAGTTTTGATGAAATGTGGACAGTCATGTCCACATATGATGAACAAAAGGAGGTATGATTGGTAATAAACTTGGAAAACCCTAGGAGCCCTTTTTTTTTATTTTCAGATTTTTCTTTGTGTCTCTGTGTCTTCATTCCTTTTCTCCAGGTACAGGGAGGACTCTTCTGAAATGAGGGTCTTAGGACTTATGTTAGAGAAAGGTCAGATAATTCTTTTATGTCCTGCTTCAGGGGAGAATGGCAGGAGAAGTTCAGACAGACCTTCCTGTCTCTGCTGTTTTCTCAATGCCAAGGTGCCATACTTTGAAGTAGTATGTCCTAAACCTCATCAGCTCCAACTTTTCACCTCCCTTCCAACAATTCCTAAATGTATTATTTTATCCAAATCCTTACAGTAGGCAAATAGGCACATATTGTAAACAATTATTAGATATTGAAAGCAATTGACAGTTTAATAAAACTAAATTTGTGTATCTATAAAAGGGTATTTTATCATATTTTATTTCTTCAAAGCAGGACTAAGAAATTGTTTTCCATGCATATTTCCAAATATTTTAATTCTTCAGTAGTTCTTTTGTTTTCCTTTCTGGTTTTCTGAGTAACAGTCTGGTTCTTTTTTTGGTAGAGGCCACAAGAGAGTGAATTAGACTGTTTTATCTTGGAGGACATCCACACTCAATTTCCAATAGGCTTCCTGCTCATTTCTTGCTAGAATGGCAGAGATCTTATCAGGCTATTATGATACCACCAGTACCTATATTGTATTTATCTACTTTTGATTACATTTATGTATTAAGTATTGGCCTTTTCCTCCCAAGTATTATATTGATACATGTTCCTATACCAAGTGCTTCTGTTCACAGCTGTTTTATTTCCTTTTTCTCTTTTCCTTACAATATATGTATTATTCAGGTCATGCTTTGCAGCGACTGCAAAGCATGATCTGTTTTTCCTGCTCTCAGAAATTAAATGTTTCTCCCATTTTATATATCATTATATACATTTTATATGCCACCTGTATATCTGCATGAAATAATACCATGCCTAACCAAAAAGCAATAGCACAATTTGTACTTAAGTATGCATCTTACAGAATGGAGCAATTTTTAGCAGGCATTTTTGAATTCCACATTAAGGAATCTTCCTTGTCAAGAATGTTTCATTAGTCAATATTCCTTTACTGAAACATGAACTGTTTCACAGTTTGTTTATATATATCAACTCTCTATTATGTGTTAATTAAAAGAAAAACACTAGCTCTTTACAAAGATGAAAATTAACCAGTGGCAGCATTGGATGTAACAACAGCTTAAAAAAATCCTGTTAATGTCTATGAGATGGTTTGATATGGGGCAAATACAAGATTACTCTTTAATGTTTGCATCAATGTAATCAACTGGCTTCTGAAAAACATAGGCAAACAAAACAAGAATCAAGAAGAAAATGCTTGATTTTTCTCTGAGTTTGCGAAAACAACTGCTTGATTTTTCTCTGAATTTGTCTCTTCCAAGATACTTTTTCCTCTCTCAGACACATCTGTTATGGTCAACTCATAAAGAGGCTTAGGATAAACTGGAAGTCGCTGTAGAAAAATAACAAAAGAAGCATGTTACCATGTCAGAATCACTGTCTATCAAGACTAATTTTCTTACAGTTAGTATTTTAAATGATTTATGAGTTTTTCATTTTGTTGTACTTAATGGTGGTTTTAAAAGCTTAGAAATGCTTTCCTGTCTGCTAATTTTATTTTATTCATCCACTGTTTCACTTATCCATGTATTATTTCCAGTGTTACAAATAGGGAAATGCAGTAATGAACAAAGTAATATATTCTGTGGGCTCATGGAGTTTGCATTTTTGTGGTGGGAGATAGTCAATAAACAAATAAATAAAATCATAAATATCAGATGGTACTTAGCACTGTGGAAAAAAAAGGAGTAGGGGAATATAATGGATGGATTGTGGAAGGAGGATTGCTATTTTTCTATTAGGTGCTCAGGGAAAGCCTTATTCCTATACAGTACATTCGAGCAAACACCTAAAGGAAGTGAGGAGTCAAGCCATGGTGGTAACTGGTGAAAGAACACCAGAGGTACAGAAACAAAAAGTGAAAGACCCTGAAGCCTTGGTGATTTTTGAAGAAGAGTAGGGAGTGGATTTATTATTTAAAACTTCATACATAAAATTTAGGGCATGCAATAAGTTTACAAAAAAAAAAAAAGAAAACAAAAACAAGAGTGTTTATAAGATTTAAAATTTTGGACCTGAGATGAAGAATATTACAATAAAAACAAGTGGAAAGGAGTAGGGGAATTGAAGTTTCTATTTAGAGCATGGTATGAAGGAGGTACTTATAAGCAGAAGCGTCAAGGAGGCAGGTGGGTATCAATGTCAAGCTCATGGGAAAGACTGAGGCTGATAATGTAGATATGAGACTGGTAATTACGTAGGTGGTAATTGAAGCTGTGTTATGGGTGAGTATAGACAGAGTAATTGTGAGGAGCTTTTGATCCCAAGCTCAACTACTTAAAGGTTGAGGTCATGAGGAAGAACAAGAAAAGGAGAGTGGGAAGTGGCCTCTTAGTTTCGAGGAAAACTGAGGGTAAGATTTCAGAAATAAAGACTGACCATAAAAAAAGTCATTTCAGTAAAGTTACAAAAATGAAAACTTCTTGTTTTGTTTTGCTTTTTTGAGACCGATTCTCGCTGTCGCCCAGGCTGGAGTGCAGTGGCGGGATCTCGGCTCACTGCAAGCTCCGCCTCCCGGGTTCACGCCATTCTGCCTCAGCCTCCGAGTAGCTAATTTTTTTTTTTTTTTTTTTTTTTGTATTTTTAGTAGAGACGGTGTTTCACCCTGTTAGCCGGGATGGTCTCGATCTCCTGACCTCGTGATGCTCCCGCCTTGGCCACTCAAAGTGCTGGAATTACAGGCGTGAGCCCCCGCGCCCAGCCCAAAAATGAAAACTTCTTAAGAGTGAATTCAAAATAAAATGAAGACATCTGAGGCTGACTAGCTTATATACGATCAGCCCTTCTGAAGATAACACCTGGAAAAATAGATCAAATGGGAGGTTGAAAATCATGATTTGCAGGAATCGTGAGTCGAGTCTCAGAGGAGTTGACAGTCCAAGGACCAAAGTCTTTACAAAAAGAAAGTACAGAGGATGAGCCTGACATTGTGTTGCTTTTCCCTTGATTCATCATCTATTTCATAAGACGCATCAGAAAATCCAAAAAGTGGGACAGGCATGCATTTTTCACCAACTAGGGCCTGGAAAAAGGGAAGAAATTATGGTAAACTCAAAGCTTTCAGATAGTAATCCTCAAAGGATAAATTCTGTGAGCAAATACACCTGGCCTCATAAAACCAGGCTTAAATCAGCTCAATCCCTAATTAGATTAAGTTGTAGGAGATCTAATGAAGAATGACATCAATATAAAATAAAATAACCCAGGAAATAGAAAAACTGGAAATGCTCTCAATTTTCTTTAAAAAATCAACACAATGGTGATACCAAAATATGATCAGAAAATTAAAATTAAAAAATTACAGACCAATTTATATCATGAAGAGAAATGACAAAATCATTTTAAAATGTAGAAAAATAAATGTACTAATATGTATAAAAGTATGACATAAAAATCGAGTTTCAAATGTGAGTTAGTTTAAAATAAAATTGAAAACAATGTGATTCTCCAAAATAACAAAAAACGAAGAAAAATCACTTGCCTGTCTTAGAAATAAAATAACTAATATTTAATACTTATTTCTGAAAAAAACTCTGGAAATTAAAAAACATTTTATTTGATAAGAAATATCTGTAAAAAGAAAGCACTGGAAGATTCATGGTTAAGGGCAAAATATTAAAAGTATTCTCTCTTTGAATAGGAACATGACAAGGATGCCCATTAAGATTGCCTTGAAAATATATTAAGAGAAATAAGGCAAGAAAAAAAAACGTAAGCCTCAGAAAGGAAAAAAAAATGATGCTCTGGTTATTTGAGATATTGAGCATATAGAAAATGCAATAGAATTTGCAAATAACAAGTAAATTTAGCAATGCCATTACATATCATAAACTATATTAAAAATTTACTTTCATTTACTAGCTGTATTAGTCTGTTCTCACACTGCCATAAATAAATACCCAAGACTGGATAACTTATAAAGGAAAGAGGTTTAATTGATTCGCAGTTCTGCATGGCTGGGGAAGCCTCAGGAAACTTGCAATCATGGCAGAAGCCCAAGGAGAAGTAGGCAACTTCTTCACAAGGTGGCAGGAGACAGAGAGTGTGTGTGTGAAGGAGGAATGGTCAAACACTTATAAAACCATCAGATCTCATGAGAACTCACTGGCTATCATGAGAACAGCATGGGGGGAAACCACCTCCATGATCCAATCACCACCTACCAGGTCCCACCCTCAGCATGTGGGAATTATGGGAATTATAATTCTAGAAGAGATTTGGGTGGAGACACAGAGCCAAACCATATCACTAGCAACAAAAAATTAGAAAATTTATTTAAAAGAAAACTATACGAAAAAACCCATAAATTTCGCCGAAAGACATATAGTGATACAATATAACAATACAATATAATTTCTATTAAGAAAATGAAATAACAATATTGAGAAAAATTTAAGAAGATCTAAATAGTTAATGTTCATGTATTGAAGACTCAGTTGTGGAAGGTTAACAATTCCCCTTGAAGTGACCTATTGATTAATGGAATTGTCACAATTACAGATTTATTTAAAGAAACTGAATATGAGTCGTGGTTCATTCTATTTGCATAAAATATATATGCATATAAAATATATATGCAAATGGAATGAGCCAAGGCACATATTCAGGAAAATACTACAAAAATAATAACAAACTTAGACAACATTTACTGCCAGATATCAAGATTTCTTTTACAGTTTAGTCATTAAAGCACTGTAGTAATGTCAAAAGACTATACAAATAATCACTGACTAGAATGGTGAATTCCAAAACAGGCCCACACACATATGGACCCTGGATTTCTGACAGAGTTGGTTCCACAGAGCAGTGGGAAAAGCAATAAATGAAACCAAAGTAGCAGGTTGTTTTCCAGCTTGGCCAACATGGTGAAACCCCTTCTCTATTAAAATTATAAAAAAAAAATTATCTGAGTGTGGTGATGGGCACCTGTAATCCCAGCTAGTTGGGAGGCTGAGGCAGGAGAATTGTATGAACCTGGGAGGTGGAGGTTGCAGTGAGCCGAGATCACATCACTGCACTCCAGTCTGCTGGGTGGGTGACCGAGTGAGACTCTGTCTCAAAAAAAAAAAATACATATATATATAAATAAATATATATATATACACATATATATGTATGTATATAAATATATATTTTTAGATATAACATTTTGTGGCTACTTTGTTTTATATAAATATAAATATATTTTTATATATATTTTTGGCTACTTTGTTTTATATAAATATATATATTATATATAATATTATATATTATATATATATATATAACAAAGTAAGTAGCCAAAAAAAATATTGAGCCCCTTCATCTACAGTCCATACAAATATCAATTCCAGGTAGATTATAGATTAATAAGTGACAAGTAAAATAATTCTGGAAAATAACATAGGCAAAAATCTTTATAATCACTGGGAAGTAATTTTTTTTTTTTGTAAAGAGGACTCTAAATATTTGGTAAATAGGCCTAATTAAAGATCTTTATTTATCCATATATTCTATTAGGAGAGTTAAAGGGCAAGTCACAAATTAGAGAAGGTATTTGCAATCATATAATTGATAAAACCTTATATCTAGAATAATAGAAATCCATATAAATTAATCAAAATAAAAAATATGTAATTACAAATGAGTAAAAAACATATACAGTAACTGGGTACTTCATAAAAGAAGATATTCAAATGGCCAAAAAGATAATGAAAAGTTGCTAGAGTCCTCATTTAGCCATATAGATATAGATTACCTCATTAATTATATGAAGCTATCAATGAGATATCACCACACACCTCTAAAATGGTGAAGTTAAAAAAAGAACCTAATTGCAGTAATATTACCTTCCATGTATGTGATGTTTGAAAAATTGGAAGCTTATCAGTGGAATAAGAACTTATTTAAGAAAAGAAAAGATGGATTGTGACTAGGTGCAAAAATGGTTGGGAGTGGAGATAGAGTTTTATTGTTTTGCATTTTTAAATCTGTTCATATTTACACTAGGATTTTATTTTGTGAAAATGCATTGAATGGAACACTCACGATTTTATGCAGTTTTTTTATATGTATGTAAAGTGTTTATTTTAAAAATCGAGGTGATAAAAGAAGAGAAATAACGGCAGTGAATTTAGATAATTCTTTCCAGAAATATTCTAAGGGGTATAGAAAATGGAATAATGGCCTAAAGAAAGTAATGCTTTTTACAGAAAACATTTTAAAAGTATACAAAATAATAACTGGCTGCACATTGATGGAAATGAAATACATGGGAAAAAATGATATGGGAGAGAGAAAGGGGAAATGTTGGATTGACCCTCCTGACCTTGAGGGAATGAGGAAATGGGATCTGGGACAGTAGAAAACACGGTTTTACATAGAAATCAGGGTATTTCCTCTATGTTATCTGTGTAGTTCACACTGCAAATCTTTCACACTCAAATGTATCTAAATCATTCTTGTAATTAAAACTTCAGTGTATATCATTCTCCAAGTAAATGGTTTTCTTGAATTTAATATCTGTTCTAAAATATACTGTTTCCAATTTGTAGTCTTAAATTAGCATCTTCCATGTTTTATGATCCTGTCTCTTAATTCTTATATTTTATATGTTTCCTTTACATTTCTACAGAGCTCTCTTTCAGACTCAATCTTTTCAACCTGTCCTCATTGAGCAGTCATTTCCTTTGCATTGATCTATGCTTTACGTAACTTTAGTTTACCCTCCCTATATACTTTGCAGCTCCAAGCTATCTACTTTGACTGATGAGATCCGAACAGAATTCCAGGTGGAGCTGCATCTTGGTATTTTAAAAAGTTAAAAATAAAATATAAAATAAAAATATATTTTTTATTTTTTCATTTATGTAAAAAGTTATGTACTTTTTACATGTTTTATTATGTAAAAACATATGTAATAACTGTTTTTTATTACGTAAAAAGTTAAAATATAAAATAAAAAAATTTTATATTATAAAATATAAAAATAATATAAAAGCATTTTGTTTATTTTCATAAAACTTTTTAAGGGTGTTCAACATTTTGTGGACCTACTTTTTCTTTTAGCATACAGTAGCACATTGAATTAGATGTGTTCAACCTAACTCAATGTGTTATTATATTGGCTTATATTATGTTCATCTTCACCCTCTTTATTTGGCCAAAAAATATTTATAGATCACTGCTCAATAAACACGCCACCATGATGTAGGGCAGTGTTTTTAAAACCTGACTATCATCTGGCAATGTATGAAGAGAGTGTTCTTGAAACTTCCCTCTCTTTTCTCAAATCCAGACAGTTGGCAGCCTCTCCATTTCCATTTTACAGGTCAGCTACTACCCCCCGTCATTGACTGCCCCATGTTTACACTTCACATTGTTTAAGATTTATCCTCTAAAACACTAATTATACTATTCAAAATGTTTACAATTTTCAAGGACTCATCAATAATAAAATCAGACAACGACAGCAGCAATGTACTTGACATTAAGAACTTCAACTTCTGATTCCTATAGATTCCATTTTGAGAGTCTCCCATCTTACAGAACTTTTTCTAGACTCTATATACTTTGTGTCTCTGCTTTTACTGCCTGTTCACCTTCTTTTTCCTGTGTAAAGAATGACACCCCTCTTTCCATTGGAGATTAGGTTTCAAAATACGAATTCTGGAGGGACATAAAGATTCAGTTGATAGCAATGCCCAAGCCCCATTTTTTTCTCTTCGCAATACTACCATTTCCATGAAGCTATTTATTCCTTTTCTACATTATTAACTACAACCACTTCTATTTCCCCTTAGCACTTTGTATATATCACAATTGTAGCGTTAGACATACTGTATAATTCATTTATTTATTTTACTAACTGTGAGTTTGTTGAGGTTAAGAATTTAAGCTCTATTTGTATGTTCTTTGTCTACCACAGTGCCAAGGAGATAGCAGCATGCTCAATAAACATTGATTGAATAAATTCATACCATGTATTTCTTGGATCTAAAACTATCTCTGGAAAAAGGAAATTAATTAATTACTCCTTACTTTTTAAATTAAACTTTGTGCTAAAAATCTTCTATTTATTTTAATTGTAGAAAGCAGAGCTATGTTGACTAGTTGCTCCTTTAATTCCATATACCACAATCCTCATACAATGACAGTAATCACAGATGATTTCTCCTCCAATTCTTAACTCTTACCCTCAAACTCCTGCAGTCATGGAATCTATATTTTATCATAAGTTATACCAATTTTCTAAGTATGGAAGGACAATTTTAGTCTGATGGTTCCTTCTACCTAATATTTCAGTAGAAATCATAAAGGCAATCAGTTTAACAGATATGATGTACTGACACAATTTACTAACATCTGCACAGTTTTTCTTGGCATTCTTTCAACTATCTTAGGCAAGTGCCACATTTACATCTATCTACAGGTAATTTGTCAAGTAGGTATATAAAAACAACTTTTCTAGAGGTCTTGATATTGGTCACAAATCTGATATAGTTAATTATTTCTATATAGGAATCATTAATGTGTTTTAATAATTTTGAAGTAGAATTGTTTTAATATTTCCCCATTAGAGAGCAAGGAAAATAATTGTTTGTTCACTGCTTTAATGCTCATCTTGGTTTGTTCAAGCTGTTATAATAGAACACTACAGACTGAGTGTCTTATAAACAACAGAAATTTATTTCCCACAGTTTTGAAGGCTGGAAAGTCCAAGATGAAGTCACTGGCAGATTTGGTGTCTGGTGTGGGCCTACTTCCTTATTCAGAGACAGCTGTCTTTTCACTGTCTTCACATAGTTGAAGAAGTGAAGGAGCTTTCTGTGTCTCTTTTTTTTTTTTTTGAGACGGAGTCTCGCTCTGTCACCCAGGCTGGAGTGCAGTGGCGTGATCTCAGCTCACTACAACCTCTGCCTCCCAGGTTCAAGCGATTCTCCTGCCTCAGCCTCCCGAGTATCTGGGACTACAGGTGCCTGCCACCACGCCCAGCTAATTTTTCTATTTTTAGTAGAAATGGTGTTTCACCATATTGGCCAGGCTGGGCTCTGTGTTTCTTTTATAAGGGCACTAATGTCATTCATGAAGGCTCTTCCCTTATTCCCTAATCACCTCCCACAGGCCTCACTTCCAAATATCATCACATTGGATAGATTGAAATATATGAATTTGGGAAAGACATAAAGATTCAGTCAATAGCAATACCCAAGCCCCATTTTTCACTGTGGTTATTGATGAATTTAATTGACTCTTGGTTATGAGAGTGTTTAAAGAGCACCTTTGTTGGGCAGATTTAAAAAGATATGTCCATTAACAGAATTAGGGTAAACTGTCCCACTGGCCTAGACTAACTGGAAAATATATACACAGGACTTATTATTTTGGTGTATATTTCCTTCTTATTTTTCTTGGTATAATGGGCTTTATATGATTATTTTATCACATCTAATATTTCATTAGTTATGACTATGGCTTACCTAAGCTGAATTCTGTTTTTCCTAAGAATTTTCATTTTTGGGCATGACTTTGGTAAGTTAAATTGTACAATTTTACCTTCTGAATATTTGCTACATAGAATTTTTCAACTTGGTATTTAATTCACCTTTGAAGTTATGATGCTTAGTAGAATATATTTCCCCCAGCCTCACGGGGCACTTTCTTTTTTTTTTTTTTTTATACTTTAAGTTATAGGGTACATGTGCACAACGTGCAGGTTAGTCACATATGTATACATGTGCCATGCTGGTGCACTGCACCCACTAACTCGTCATCTAGCATTAGGTATATCTCCCAGTGCTATCCCTCCCCCCTCCCCCCACCCCACAACAGTCCCCAGAGTCTGATATTCCCCTTCCTGTGTCCATGTGATCTCATTGTTCAATTCCCAACTATGAGTGAGAATATGCGGTGTTTGGTTTTTTGTTCTTGCGATAGTTTACTGAGAATGATGATTTCCAATTTCATCCATGTCCCTACAAAGGACATGAACTCATCATTTTTTATGGCTGCATAGTATTCCATGGTATATATGTGCCACACTTTCTTAATCCAGTCTATCATTGTTGGACATTTGGGTTGGTTCCAAGTCTTTGCTATTGTGAATAATGCCGCAAGAAACATACGTGTGCATGTGTCTTTATAGCAGCATGATTTATAGTCCTTTGGGTATATACCCAGTAATGGGATGGCTGGGTCAAGTGGTATTTCTAGTTCTAGATCCCTGAGGAATGGCCACACTGATTTCCACAATGGTTGAACTAGTTTACAGTCCCACCAACAGTGTAAAAGTGTTCCTATTTCTCCACATCCTCTCCAGCACCTGTTGTTTCCTGACTTTTTAATGATTGCCATTCTAACTGGTGTGAGATGGTATCTCATTGTGGTTTTGATTTGCATTTCTCTGATGGCCAGTGATGATGAGCATTTTTTCATGTGTTTTTTGGCTGCATTAATGTCTTCTTTTGAGAAGTGTCTGTTCATGTCCTTTGCCCACTTTTTGATGGGGTTGTTTGTTTTTTTCTTGTAAATTTGTTTGAGTTCATTGTAGATTCTGGATATTAGCCCTTAGTCAGATGAGTAGGTTGTGAAAATTTTCTCCCATTTTGTAGGTTGCCTGTTCACTCTGATGGTAGTTTCTTTTGCTGTGCAGAAGCTCTTTAGTTTAATTAGATCCCATTTGTCAATTTTGTCTTTTGTTGCCATTGCTTTTGGTGTTTTAGACATGAAGTCCTTGCCCATGTCTACTGGTACCAAAACAGAGATATAGATCAATGGAACAGAACAGAGCCCTCAGAAATAACGCCGCATATCTACAACGATCTGATCTTTGACAAACCTGAGAAAAACAAGCAATGGGGAAAGGATTCCCTATTTAATAAATGGTGCTGGGAAAACTGGCTAGCCATATGTAGAAAGCTGAAACTGGATCCCTTCCTTACACCTTATACAAAAATCAATTCAAGATGGATTAAAGACTTAAACCTTAGACCTAAAACCATAAAAACCCTAGAAGAAAACCTAGGCATTACCATTCGGGGCACTTTCTTAGGTATGCTAACTGGGTACATGATCTACAGAGGGTAACTGGATCTACATATGACACCTCTGACAACAAACATAAATGCAGGCTCTTTTCTAGTATCATCTGCTTTTCAGAGTTGCTGGAAAAGGGAAAACTTAAGTATAAATTATATTAAAGTATAAAAGGACATTTGGTTTTATATAAACTTTTGGGAAAGACAATTTCCAAGGTTGGCTTTATGAGATTACAGTATATATACTTCTATGCTACTAGCAGGCACCATGGTGTCAAAATACCATCTAAGGCTTAGTTAGTCCAGTTAAACTCTTCATTACCTAATTGCAGTTGTGATACTGAAGGGGGTCAAAATTTCTCAAAAACTCATAGTGTTTAACACTTGTCTAGACTGTTTTTATTTTGCCTCAGTTGTAGATTGCATCCATCTGACTGTATTTTGTAGTACTATTTTGAAAATTCCTTTACAATGGTCTTTTTCTTTGGCTCTTGTCCACTGTATGTTCTATATTATGATTTGTGAAAGGAAAGCATCATTCAAAATTTAGGAAATTGTTTTTTAAAAACTTGCATTTGTTCAAAATTAACATGATAGTCGACAGAAATACTTTAAGATAAACCTACTCATCTCTCTTTTTTTTGACTTTTCTTAGGCACAAATACTATTAAATAGCTCTTGAAGTTTATTTCCTGATTAAAAATCTATGTCAGGCTTTTCTGATATCTTTGTGTAGAGTCCAAAATGTTGTGCCTTTGAAAAATATTCTCTAATGTCCTTCCCATAAGCAAATATAACTCATTTTTTAAAAACACTAAAATCTGGTACTTTTTTAATTCTCAAAATAACCATCAGAATTCTCATGAGACTCTTCTTTTTTGTCTTCCGTAGACTTATCTGGGATAGACAACACATCATCTTACATGAATAAAACAAAAATTGAGCAATCTCATTATTTTACTATATTTTTTAAAAGGAGATCTCTTTCTTTTTTGATTCTTACACAATGGGTAATTGTTAATAGTTCCAGGATAATAATTACGATTTTGAAAACAAAACGCTGTCAAACTAATAAAAAATTTACCTTAGAGATCTCTTTCCAAAGGAAATTACTATTTTATAATATTTGACAAGTAACGTTATCTTGTGTAGAAACTAGTTAGTAGTACATTTCTTGTTCTTGCATTTCACATTTCCATTATAGAAGTACAGCACACATTTTATTGTTAATAGCTTTCCTAATACTTACTGTTTTATATTTATTCTAAAACATAGCTTTTGAAACTTATTAATATCAAAATAAAGCTGCACTGCATTCATCTACATAACAAAAGCAACTGGAATTATGGCTGAAGCTATTTATAATCACACAAGTTATTTATCATTTATAGCATGAAATGCTCTCTAACAATTCATTGAATTAAGATCTAGAGGTAATTTTTTTTTTCTTCATTTACTCAAATGCTCCTCTTCCTTTTCTCTTATTTCAGGGGAAGGAAATAGAGAGATAAAAGTGAAATGAGACAAAATAGTAGACATGTAGGATGAACAAGTTTAGAGATTAATATACAGCATGAAGACTAAAGTTAATAAAATTGCACTGTTTTAGGGATCTTTGTAAACAAGTAGATTTTAACTATTCTTGTCACACAAATAGGTAAATATGTGAGATGATAGATACATTAATCTTCTTTACTGTAGTAACCATTTTACTATCTATATGTATCCCATAACATCAAGTAGTAAGTCTCAAATATACACAAAATTTATTTTAAAGAAAGAGGGCCCTGAGGCCGGGCGCAGTGGCTCATGCCTGTAATCCCAGCACTTTGGGAGGCCGAGGTGGGCAGATCACCTGAGGTCGGGAGGACGAGACCAGCCTGGCCAACATGGTGAAACTCCGTCTCTACTAAAAATACAAAATTTAGCTGGGCGTGGTGGCAGGCGCCTGTAATCCCAGCTACTCGGGAGGCTGAGGCATGAGAATCGCCTGAATCTGGGAGGCAGAGGTTGCAGCGAGCTAAGATCTTGCCACTGCACTCCAGCCTGGGTGACAGAGCCAGGCTCCATCTCAAAAAAAATAAAAAATAAAGAGGACCGTGAATTTTAGCAAAATAGTACAAGAAGTCATGGGACTCTGAAAATTATGTAGGAATTTTTCATTTTTGTTTAATCCATTTTTCTCATGTGATAAAAATTATGGAATGTAGGAAATACTATAAACAAATGGCAAACCAAATAAATGAATAAATGAGAAGCCCTGTTTTTCTATATGTTATATGTGAAAAGATGAATAGTTTTTCAAAATTTTGTCCTAAGAAGGCACCCACCACTGTATCTAATGAAATTTGCTACTGCAAAAAACAAACCAAAAAAATAATTACTTGTAGAATATTAAAATTTAGTAGAATGCCTATCACCACTTTACTCATTTATCGAAATCAGTTCTAATGCTAATGCAGTATTGTGTTTCTTTAAATGGGCTTAAAACTAAATTGACAACATAAAATAATAATTTATAATATAAATAATACATAATATATAAACATCAATAGATATTGCTTATCAAATCCTTGGCATGTTCCACATAATGTGCTATGCATTTTAAATGAATTAGGTAATTTGATTCTCACAAAAACCCTTTTAAGTTTGATTTCAAAGATAAAAAAAACTGAAACTCAGAGAATTTAAGCAATATGCCCAAATTCATGCAGTAAGGAATTAAATTCTGGCCTATCAAATCAAATGTAAAACTCTGTGCTCTCAAACACTATGCTATGATGTTTTCTAACACAGATAAAGTAAGGTCCCCATCATATAACATCTATTCTAAATGAGAAAATATTTTAGTTACTTTATGTTGAAGAATGAAGGCTTTTAAATGAATGTACTTCTTGGATAATTGTTTAAACTATTCAGTCTATTACAATGAAAATATTTTTATTTTTATTTATTTTTATTTTTTATTATTATACTTTAAGTTCTATGGTACATGTGCACAACATGCAGGTTTGTTACATATGTATACATGTGCCATGTTGGCGTGCTGCACCCGTTAACTCATCATTTACATTAGGTATATCTCCTAATGCTATCCCTCCCCGCTCCCCCCACCCCACGACAGGCCCCTGTGTGTGATGTTCCCACTCTGTGTCCAAGTGTTCTCTACAACGAAAATATTTTTAAAGTGTTTCACTTAGTTTTCAGTTTGAGTGAAGTCATATAGTAAACACAACGGAACATTCTTTGTGAGTCTGGTTGCCATTGCAATCAGTTATTTTACCCTACTAAATACATGGGTGGTAGAAACTAGAAGGGATACTCAAAAATGTCCACATTAATTACTGGCACAAGAAGTCTGGCCATTTGCCTATTTCATAAAATTGATGTGCAGAATGCAAAAACATGGCCATGTAATAATAATACTCTTTTAGATAAAATGAGTTACTAAAGGAAATTACAAGTGACTTTTTGGTTCCCATAAAATTATTATCTGAAGTTGATATTTTAGCAACACTATTGTTTAACCTCTTAATGTCTCATTGGAATATTTATTTCATTTACCCGGAATAATAGTATTTAGTAAATATTTATAGAATTTAAAAATTATGTGGATATTTCCCCCTGAAAGTCAAAAGGTTTGTATATTTTGACAAAATTTTCATAATAAGCCCACAACATGCAGCTCCTTTCATAGGTGCCAGGTTTGTAAGGCTTCTTTTACTACATGATTCTTTTCTGTGTTAGACAAAGTGTGCCAATTTTTGCCTATATTTATTTTATATTCAAAAATGTGTTCCATGTCTTTTCTTTCCCTAGAATGCTTTACAGATGTAGTTGCTACAAAATAATGAATTTAAGTGTAAACTCCAAATCACAGTGCGAGATGCAGGGGTGGCCAGGGGAAGACTATCCAAAATTAATTTTGTGCTAGACACTTGTAAGAGTTAAAGAAAGAGGAAAGATACATGAAAAGCAGCTCAACAGTCAAAGACAGGGTTTATTTTGGAGAATAAACCTGAGAGGGGCTTCTGTCCAATTTCTGTCAAGAGCACTCTCTCTTACAGATTAAGAATATGTAAGGGTTTTAGGGCGAGAGAGCTTATCACAGGCTTGGAATGTTTCTATATGGAGGAGAAGTTTATTGCGGGGCTGGAATGTCCGGTCAGAGCGGGGGTTATCTTGGGGCTGACATGACTCTGGCTGGAGGGGAGGTTGTCTCAGGCTGGCATGTCTCTAGTCAGGGAAGGGTTTATCTTAGAGTTGGAATGTTTCTGGTCAAAGGCGTCATTTGTGGTTTATGGTCATGCTGACCTTAGCTATTAGGCTGATGCCCTTTGGATTTAGAAAGTTTTTGATCAAAGGGAGCTTTAAAATGTCAGTGGTTGTCCAAGACGGCAATGCTCCTGCTCTGTTAACACATTGCCTGTTCTTTGTTTTTAAAATGCCAAAATTAATCTTCACAAAAATTTTCTATATTAAATCTTTTCTACATTATTTATTAAAATATATGAAACCTTAGAAAAAAATAAAACAGATTGAGTAACTTTCCTAAATCACATAACCCTGGAACCTGGGATTTGAAACACGATATGCCTGGCCTCACATTCTTAATGATTTAATTCTCCAATACATGAAAACAAACCATTCAAATGCAAAGGCCCCTGGCTTCCCAGAGCTTTCATATTAAGACAGTTACAGTGAATAAATAAGGATTCAGTAGTTTTAAGCATTGTTTTGTTTAGTGGTTAAAGTTTCAGTCACCAGTGCTTTCAGTTTCAGAGATAAATACTTCCAGTTCTACTTTACCCTCAAACTAAAATGAGATGCTTGCCACAATTAAATAAAAACTTGATTGTATTTTCGCTGAAGAAATTACAGAAGTTTTATTAGTTTTACAGTTCAGAGACTTACCTGTCTGTCCTTAATATATTGTTCACATTTTGTTAAAGGCAGTCAACCAGGCCAAAAAGATAATGCAGTGAAAGAGTTCAGACCATGTTTTAAGGCAGTAAGTATGGCAGAAAGGCCACATTAACATATTGTCAGTTTTCCTGCTCACTTACCCATTAAGAGACTTAAAGGTGCACTTTATATATTAGAAATTGATAATTATGGTAGAAAACTTTGGTAACAACAGTAGAAAATATTTCTTTTTACAAAAATTAACTTTTATAAATCACAGGATTGGTGATAAAAGTATGAGTCTATTACAGCTACTGAGTAGACCAATTTTAACTACTTATGAATAAATACATCAGAAGTGTCCTATAATATAGCTCAGTGAGATATTATGAGTGAGTATATTTTGTACTGAACAACTTGAATAATGTAAATATTTACATGATTACATTCAAGATTTGTTTAATACCAAATGTAACAGTTGTAGTTACACTAGACAGACACAAAAGGGTTTAATTTAAGGGTTTTTGAAATAAGATATAATTGTGCATTAGATCCAGTTTTAACAAGGAGACTATTAGGAATGATTAACTTATATGTGGAAGGAATGTCAGTGTTTATAGTATTATCAATTATGAGTATGATAAAATATTCAAAAACTTTAAAAATAAGATAAATGGTTTTAAGTGTATTGTGAAAATATATGGTACTCTTTTTAACTTTAGTCGGTTACTTTAATACGTAATTGCAGAATGTCAACATTGATTTTTTTAACTAAATAAAATATAAAAAATTCCATAATATGATGATTATGTGTGCTTAAAAGTATTAATTTCATGATAAACATGTATGGCAGACATGGATATAGAACACTCAGATCTTCCTTCAAGAAGCTTCTTCATAGTCCAGTTTCTAAGAGTGTAGCTAGCAGGCATTATGTAGCTGTTTGCTGTTACACGGTCAGTCTCATCTCTTGAGCAAAGGCCACACTCTTTCCAGGATGGTCCCCAGATGATGCAAGATGGAGTGACAAAGACCTAGACATTTCCGCTTACAACAAGACTCATATAAATGGCAATCCTTGCTTTGGAACTCCCCCAGTGGGCTGGCAGAGATTTACTTCTTCAGGTCTGCAGGAATGTCTGATGACTCCTCCTGCCCAATCCTGCTTTCTTCTGTTTTCTTTCTGAGGTGTTACCACCCAATAAATCTTTCTAAAATTCCTAAAACAATTCTTAAGTCTGCTTCCCAGGGAATCCAACAGTGGCACAATATGAATACACTATTTTAAGTGCAGTAAATGGAAAAAAAAAATGTTTGTTTATAAGTTCTCCTCTTTGACTTTATAAATTTCCTATTTTGGGTCACTATATGTTCACATTCTTTCTGTATTGACTGTTTTTAAAATCTGAATGTGTCTTACAAGTGATGTGAATTAGGATTATAGGTTTTTTTTTTTAAAAAAATAACAGGCTTCTACATGTTGTTATTAAAATAATGGTAGATGACAACTTAGAATCAAGGAAATATGACACTATTCTGAGATGCATAGAGCAAATTATACAATATGGTCTATTTTATGGTTAAAAGACTTGAAGTTAGCAAATTTATGTTACAAAAAATCTTCTCCCTATATCTAATTCTGTTTATGGGTCAGCTAATTAACCTCCCTGCCAGTACCTCACCTAAAAATATAGATAATACCATCAATATCAAAGTTGCTACAAAAATAAAATTAGATAATGAATATAAGAAGCATTTGAAATTTTAAGAGAACCCTGTAATTTCTCCCAAATTTGTAGTGTGGAGCTTGAGTATAATTAATAAGTAGCAAATATAATACCACTTACTGTCTTTAGGCACAGAAATGACCTCTATGAATCATGGAATTACTCTACAAGGCCTCAGTGTGGTTTGAAATTCTCCTTGATTGCAACACAATAGGTCTCCACAAATGACTACCTATTGGCAAATGAGAATTACATGAATTATATTTCTGAACTTCTAATTTTTGCATTCAAGGCCTCTAAAATTAGGTCTCAGTGCACTTTTCTAATTTTATTTCAGGACCACAATAATGTGAATGATCAAGGGTAACCAAACTACTCCAAAAACAATCTTGGGATTTTCCATTTTATCTCTTGCATAGTAAGTTTTCTGCTTGTCAGAAACAACTTGAAGTTTATTGTGTGGTTGCCCTGATAAGGTGAGAAACCCAGATATTAGAAAACCTGGCAGGTCAGGCCAATAGGCAACTGGCTAGAAGGGATTAATAGTTTATTATGCCAACAATTACTTAATGAACAACAAAGTAATATTACTGAACAGCCTCACCTAATAAAATGCTCCATGATGATGAAAATAATATATATCCTCACTATTCAATAAGGTACCTTTCAGCCCTGTGTAGTTATTGAGTACTTAAAAAGTGATTAATATGACTGAGAAAGTAAAATGAAATTGGGTATAATATTAATATAAATTTAAATACAATTGAGTTACATTTAATTTATTAAATTAGATTCTGGAAATTTAAATTCTGAAAGTACTTTTAGAATGGCAAAGGAAACAAGCATGAAAATTTACCTCATAAAGCAACAAGAAAAATGTCAAAATTATTTTTTTCAGAACTCTGTAAATTAACCGAAGTTTGAAAAGTCAGATTAATGATTATTCAAGAAAAATGACTGAATTTTAGTAAGACTGACCAACATTGTTGTGCTTTAAATTGCAATGTTATCATCTGCCTTTCTCTAGCTCTGTGGTAGCCATGAAAACAAACAACATCAACATCAAAACTGTGAGAACTGTAAAAACAAGCAGTGTAGTTGCAACTCAAGGGGTCAGAACATGATTAGAAGTCCTGTAAGGCCCTATTTCCAGAAAATTCTTAGTAATTTGCCTCTCTGGAAGCTTCTTGAAAAAAGTGAATAACTAAGGTTTGCCTTGTTTGACTTAACTCAGAGCTCACACTGAGCAAAAAGCCATATCCACAGAAGGTTTGATACAAACAATTAGCAGCAATTGCTTAATACTGTGTTTGCCTAAGGTGGTGATACTAGGTAGCCCTAACAGTAGGTTACCAAAAAACTCAAAATAAAAACATGGAGAGTGAGATGTCGGTAGGAGCTTTAAAAAGTTTTGACATATTTCTGTGAATCTAGAAGCTTACATACATTTTCATAAATTTCCCATGTCTAGGATACATCTGAAAAAACTGTAATCTCTCATCTTAGGCTGACCTTGAACTTTGACAAGTAGTGAAGGCTAAAACAGAGTTATATACTATTTGATGAAACATTAAATTTTTAACTCAACACATGCACACAGAGTTCCTTGACAAATGCTCAAAAAATTATTAGTTAAAGCATTTTAAGAAAAGACCTTCAGATTATTAGTTGACCACTAACAAAACTGAGCAGAGATTTAAGTGGCTATGCATAATAAAAGATACCTACTTTTAAAAATGGGTATATATATATATATATATATATATATACACACATATATATTTATGAAAGAAGCTAAAGATTTGTACACTTGAAACTTCAAAAATTATTGAAGAAATTAAAAATCCTATGTGAATTAAAAGAAATCTCATGTTTATGAATATGAATATTTAATGATGTTAAAGTGGTTGGAATTCCAAAATTGATTTGTAGATTCAACCTAATCTCTATCAAAACCACATCTTCATTTTTTCATGAAAATTGGCAAGCTAGCAACTGCAATTCAAAAGGAAATGTAAGGTATCCAGAATAACCAAAACAATTTTGAAAAATAAGAATAGAGTTAGAAGAAGATTTTGGCACAAAGAAAGACATACAGATCAAACAAAAATGGAGAGTCCAGAAATAAATCTTTACATTTATAATCAATTTTGACTGGAGTGACAAGACAAATAAATAGGAAACAATTGTCTATTCAATAAATGATGCTGAAATAATTCAATATCTACATGCCAAAAAAATGAGGTTGGGTCCCTAATTTATGGCATATAGAAATATTAACTTAAGACAGATCATATGCTTACATGTTAGAACTAAAACTATAAATCTCTTAGAATAAAATATAGAGATAGATACATATAACTTTGCAATACAGTGATTGCTTAGATATGATACAAAAAGTAAAAGTGACAAGTATAGGCACAAAAAAAGTAGGTAAATTGGACTTCATCAAAAGTAAAATCTTTGTGTTTCAAAGGATACTATCAGGAAAGGAAAAGACAATCCTCATGGTAATGAAACATGTTTTCATATTATATATCTGATAATAATATATTAATAACACAACAATACAAAACCACATAACCCAATTAAAAAAATTAAATATTTCCATAAATGTTTTTTCAATGAAAATGTACAAGTGGCCAAAAAACACATGAAAAGGTGATGGTAAACATTATTAGTTATTAGTGTAATAAAAATAACACAACTAGATATGATTTCATACACACTAAGATGGCTAAAACTACAAAGACATTAACAAGTGTTGATGATGACATAAAGAAATTGTGAACTTCATGAACTTCTCATGCAATAAAAAATGATACAGCTATCCAGGCGCGGTGGCTCATGCCTGTAATCCTAGCATTTTGGGAGACCAAGGTGCGCAGATCACCTGAGGTCAGGAGTTCAAGACCAGCCTGGCCAACACGGTGCAACCCTGTCTCTACTAAAAATGCAAAAATTAGAGGGGGTGTGGTGGCGGACACCTGTAATCCCAGCTACTCACGAGTCTGAGGCAGGGGAATCACTTGATCCCGGGAGGCGGAGGTTGCAGTGAGCCGAGATCGCGCCACTGCACTCCAGCCTGGGAAACAGATTGAGACTTTGTCTCAAAAAAAAAAAAAAAAGGAAAAGATTCTTGAAATTTCTCAAATTGTATAACTTATTATCTAGCAGTTTTATTCCTAGGTAGATACTCATAAGTATTAAAAATTTATGTCCACACATAAAGTTGTAGAAGAATGTTTATAAAAGTTTACTCCTAATAGTAAAATAGTGGAAATAACCCACATGTCCACAGGTCCATGAACTGATAAAGAAGATATAAAGATTTTCCAAGATAAACAAAAGTTGAAGAAGTTATTCACCACCAGTCCTGTCTTACTAGAAATGATAAAGGAATTTCCTCAAGAAGAAGTAAAAGAATGCTAATTAGTAACAAAGGAAATATAAAAGTATAAAATTCACTGTTGAAAGTAAGTAGACAGTCAAGTTTAGAAAACTGAAATACTGCAATTGTGGAATATATATCACATATCTTTAGTATGAAAATAAAACTATTAAAATAATAACTACAATAATTTGTTAAGGGATACATTCTATAAAAATATGTATTTGAGACACCAAATATTTAAAATGAGAAGATGAAATTTAATCTCTGATCTGAGTGATGAATAAGAGCTAAATGTGTGAAGATCTGGGTAAAGAATGCCCAGAGTAGATAAAAGCAAGTGTGAAGGACTTGAGTAGAACTAACTTGGTATATTCAATGTCAAGAAGAAAACGGTATATCTAGACCAGAATGAAATTAGGGGCTATTAATATAAGATGATGTCTGATACATAGTTTGGTGCCAATTTTTGTGATACTTATATCCTTATGCTATATGATAAGTATTAGTATATGATCAATTAATTCAACAGTATTTATTAAGTACCATGTATAGTAGATAAAAAATATTTTTTCATTTGTTAAAATGATAAGAAAATAATTGGGACTACCACAATAGATGTCAAGACAATAACAACCGAGGAGAGAGACTGGGATCAATTCTAAATACAAGAACAAGTGGGGATGTATAGCCAAGAAGCAAGTTGGGTTGGTGGTGCAGGAGTGAATAGATGAAAATTTACTAAGAGGAGACATCAAGGGTAGAAGAAATTATTACTTCATTGACTTAACAGAACTCTTGCTGATGGCAAGCCAGTAATCAGATATCACCTGGGGGATGGTGGGGAAGGAGGAATTTGATCAGATATTGAGGGTGATCAGACATCGAAGGTAATCATATCAAGTTTAAGAGGATTCTCTCTAAACTGACTTAGTATGACTCCTCCTAAAACTGGACTCTGCAAGCATGGACATGGCAGTCTGAGGTCAAGGCCAAATCAAAAGAGGGCTGAGAGGAGCCTGATTGAAGTTTGGTCAAGGGGAAAGTATTTGTCAGTACCAGGTACCTGCATTCGATGTTTGGGATACATCATAAAACAGAATAGTGAAAAACTCTCTGCTTTAAGGAATTCATATTCCTATGGAGGGAGGGAGAAAAAATAGCTTTCATTGAAAAGATAAAATTTGAAAAAGACTAAAATGTTAGGAACTTAGAAATGCAGGAATCTGGAGAATGGTTTTTCTAAGTGTAAACAGAGTAGCCAGTGTGAGAACCACAAAGTTGAATCATGCGGGTCAAGATCTAGCAAAGATCTATAACATTTCTTCTCAAATATACATACACATTCACAGGGAATCTTTTAAAAATGCAGATTCTGATTTATTAAGTATAGGAAAGGGAGGGTTGATATTCTGCATTCTGACAAGCTCTCAGGTGAGGGGAAAGGGTACTGCTGTTCCACTGCCTAGACTTTGAATAAAAATAGTCTAAGGATAGATGGAATGCAATATTCATAAATCCCATTACAAGTTTACCATCCTGAAAATTTTGGAATCAAGGCAGAACTTCAGCCTTATGCTTCCAGAATTTTTTATCATCCCATGCTAATTCCACAAACACTTTTTAAAATTAGGACAAAAAAAACCTCAACCAAAATTGGTTTAAGTAGAAACAAGGAATACATTATTTCCTATAGCTGAGCTGCCTTTATCACCCTCTAGAACTTCAAAAATTCAAAGGCTGTCATCATTAGTCTCTTTTCACTCTGCTTTTCTTTGTATTGGGTTTCATTTTCAGGCAGATTTTCTCCACATGGTTTCCCCCTTAGCAACTGAGACATATCAACACAGCTTCTAGTTTATGGAAAGAGAGACTGTCTCCTCTCAATATGTCCAAAGAGCCCCAGAATAAAGTTGCATTTGATCAGCCTAGATCAAATGCCTATTCTGAACCAATCATTATTGCAGTTGCTTTGATGCTCTGTTTGGTTTTGACAGGATTACTTAAGTTCCTTGTGATCAGAATGGTTGTGAGTGCCCTTAAGCCATAAGTAATGATATGGGAGAAGGGATATTCCCCCAAGAAAATTTCTATTACTAGAAAAAAGAGGCAAGACAGTGGTAAGGCAAAAGACAGTAAATGTTGACTATAAACCAGGAATGTATAAAACACATTGGGCTCTCAACACCAGTGTGAGAGGAATAGTGACAAACTTCACTGAGCTTATATGAGTACATTCTTGATGTGAAATGGAAGCCAAACCTCACAAAAATGTTTGAATAAATGTCACATACTAAAAGAGAAGATGAAATGGAAACAAAACCAAAACCAAATTTAAAAAAGTCTCTAATATTTGCAAGGCAAATAGAAAAAAATTATATCATATATATATTTACAAATAGGAGAACTAACAGATCAAAGCCAATGCTTTAATATTATAAAAATGTGGCATTGATTAGGATATGTAAAACTTTTTTTGTTTTTTGTAGAGACAGGGTCTTGCTATGTTGTACAGGCTGGTCTCGCACTCCTGGCCTCCCAAAGTGCTGGGATTACAAGCATGAGCAACTGTGCCCTGCTGAAAACATTTTTTTTTTTTTTATGAAACAGCGTAGATCAGGTCACCTTCGGTGAAAATATCTTAGTTTTTTTTGTAGATACTAGAAATCTGATATCTATATAAAATGTTTAAATAGTGATTAAACTTTTTAAATTGCTGTGAATACATTTTTAACCTCAGATTTAAGTTACCACATGAAAATGGGGAGACTAAGAGGGTTCCTTTAATTAATGAAGTATTATAACAATGTAAATCAGATGTATGTTTACTTGCACATGTGCCAAAATGTATATGCACAGCTCAGCTTTTTCAACAGCTTCTATGAGAAGGCCAATTATAGTCGCTGCATCATGAAATGGTACCAAGGACAGGTCCAATTATGTTCCCATAAAATTTCACTGGAAACTCCTCAGTAGATGTAACTCTTTGTTCTTGTTCCTCCACCTGGCCCCAGACCATTGGGTCTCACCTCAGATTCATCTTCAGTTCTTCTTTTCCTCTTTTTTTGATCCTTTATTAATTTCCTTTTTGCGAACTGTGTTGGCTAGCCTGAGCTTCTATCAAGTCCTGTAAAGGTAGTCTCTAATATGATTTGGCTCTGTGTCCCCACCCAAATCTCATGCCATCCGTGTGTGTTGGAGGAGGAGCCTAGTGGGAGGTGATCAGATGATGAGGGTGGTTTCCCCCTTGCTGTTCTCGTGATAGTGAGTGAATTCTCATGAGATCTGATGGTTTAAAATTTTGTGGCAGCTCCCACCTCATGCTGTCTCTCTCTCCTGCCACCACGTGAAGAAGGTGCTTGCTTCCCCTTCACCGTCCACCATGATTTAAGTTTCCCAAGGCCTCCCAGCCATGCTTCCTGTACAGTCCATGGAACCGTAAATCAGTTAACCTCTTTTCTTCATAAATTACCCAGTCTCAGATAGTTTTTTATAGCAGTGTGAGAACAGACTAATACAGTCTCTTTACAAGAGATTTTTTTTCTCCCAGATCTAGAAACATAGCATTCTTTTCATACTAATGCTTTAGCATGGAAACATTTATTATTTTGTTAATTACCTTGGAAGGCCTAGAATAAAATGCTCCAGAAAATCCTTACCTATTTTTTGAAAGTATTCTTCACCATCAACCTTATTAAGCAATCTATATTTATTACATTCATTTCCTAGCTATACACATACACTCACAACTTCTTTTACTGCTGCCAAAGCCATTAATACAAGTTATTAAATTCTAAATCCTTTTTAAAATAACACTGGTACAGAAGACTAAGTTGCCAGTTCTCAGCACTTATTATTCCTGCATGCTTTATTATATTTAACGTTTGGACTATCTCATTTTCTTGAAAATCTCGTCCCTTATTTTTCATGACACCCTATTGCAGTGGTTTTCAAAGTGTACTTTCCAGAACACTATCTGGAATTATCTGGAAACTTTTGAATTACAGAGTGTCTGGCCTCATCCAAGATCTAATAAATTATAAACTTTGGTGGTGGGCTCAGCAATATATTGCCTAAGATACCCAGGCAATTCTGATCTAGTGTACCAATTATTGATATAAAAAATAAGTGATGCCCTTGAAGGACTCCTCTTCATTTTTCCCCTTGTTTCACTCCTCTTCCTAGTCCTTTTTTTTTTCTTTTTCCTGCTTAAATATAATTTTTCTCTAAGGAAAATTCCTCAGTCCTTTTCTTGCTTTTTCTCACTCTCTTTATTTATCTTATTCTAGATTATCCACAGCTAGTGTTTAATTCCTATGCCTACATAATTTTTATCTTCATTCTCAAACTCTCTCCCATACACTAATTTCAAAATATAAATTTTGGAGGTATTTTGGCTTAAAATATTTTTCCAACTGCATGTTCAAATTAAACTAATTCTCTTAAACTTCTCGATTATGTTTCTAACCTTACTACTTCCATTCATGACACAATTTTTTATGTAGTCTTCAAAGTTTACAGAGCCAAAGGCATAGTTAGCTCTTTACTTGAGATTACTCATGTTAGGCCAAGCTTATATGACCCTAATGTTTCTCATATGTATCTTCTACACCTTACTATTCTACAATAGCTCACCATGGTCTGTCTTCTAGAATATCATATTAGCCAGTAATTTCATGCTATATTTCCATTTTCCATAACTTTGCATCTACTGGCCATATTGAAGATTAATTTGTCTTCAGTTATAGCAAACAATTTATTCTGAAATTCTGCTATTCAAATCCCTTTATGGTTATACTGTTTAACAAGATTATTAAAAGGGTCATGAGATTCCATCTATTTTCCTTACATATCTCTCCCACTGGTTTTTAAAATCAAAACACTGGTGCTGCCTTACTAAACAAAGTAAAGCAATAACAAAACAGCTTTCAATACTCTCTGCATCTTCCATTGCTTGGATATTTCTCCCCAACCATTCCACCACCAACCTGACAAAGTCCTGTATACTTCTCAAGATTTATTAAGATTCTGCTATTATGATAGAACCTTCCATGAATTAGATGAGACCTCTTCTTCCATAATATCATTCTCAAATTTTCCCACTGTATATTTAAGCTTCATTTAATTATTCATATAAATAGTTTACTTTCCTGTGTAGATTGTAAGCTGCCTAAGGACAAAGACCATATCATGCAACATTCATGCACATTGATGCATATTGTTACCCTCCATATGATCTTTATTTTTAACTGGACTCTGGTGGGCTCTTTCATTAGCAAATGCAGGCAATATTCAATCTGTTAGAGTCTGGTGTTCAATGAAAATAATCACCAAGTAAGATAATGAAGTAAAACACTGCTTACATAATTCAGCCAGATAATATGTCACTATAGACTTAGAAATTAACTCTGTCCAAGAAATTAAATTCATCTATAGAAATTCTCTTTTTAAACACATTACAATCTATGTGAGAATGTATTTTATTTTTCAACTTATGTTCAGGCTTTACACTCCATCAAGAATAGTCTCTAACCAATTACTTTGAACTACTTTGAAAGAGGTTATTTTTCTTCTCTAAATTTCTGAAAACTTCTCTGGCAAACGGAGATAATGTCCAAAAGGAATTGCCCAGTGGAGCATTGTCTTTAAATCTTCCTTTTAAATGAGTGTCCTAAATTAAACCCATTCCATACTTAGGTGAGAAGAAAAAAATATATTTCTAAAATACAGAGACTGTGTTTAAAGTTCCAGCTTTTCCAATAAAAAATGTTTAGAAACTTCTAACTCCATGGATATGATTTCAAGGGCAATTGATGTATTCCAAGTAAGTTATAGAGTTCATAAAACTGTGATTTATTTTAATTTGATAAAATAATTTACGAACAAAGGACAAACATAAGCTGTATTTTGTCAAACTTCTATATTTATTTGCAAATTGGTCATAAAGGGAAATTGAGCTCGTTATTTTCATAGGTTTCTAAAAATAGAACAATTTGAATTCAGTGGAAAAATATACATTGACATATTAAAAGTCCTGTTAGTCCATTTTTATTAGTATAAATTTGGTTCTTTGGAGGAAATGACAAAGACAAATGAATGTTTTAGAAAACTTACCATTCGTTTTATAAAATATACCAACATTTACTCCACTTATTACTTTTTTTAGGTATTACACTGTGAAGTAGTTTACCTTCTATAATAATAATTCATCTTCTAAAATATGGCGTAAACCTTTGTGTAACTGATGGTTTAAAGGAGGGTAATATATGCTTATCTGAAGTGTTGTAAACTAGCCCTTATATAATCACCAATTGTTCTGGTCTCCATAATTTTGAGATGTTTTAATGTTTGAACTATGCCAGTAAAGTAAATGTCAATGTTCTGTCTTTCAAATAACAGTCCTCAGAACAGTCTTTATCCCTGGGATGAGGTTGAAGAGTAAGTGTTATTTGAATGATTCAAATATAAAACATGAAAGTAACAACCTTGTCTTTCTGATGAGGCATTATGGTTAACTATGAACAAGTTAAATCTAGACTCATTTCATTTCATGTTCAATACCTGTTTTGAATATAATTAATCAATAAAATTTTGTTGAATTAAAAATTAATAAAAGGCTTTACCAGGCATTAATTAGGTCAATGTGAAAGCAGAATGGTACAAAAATAGAACAAAGGGAAAATTAAGTTATTTAGGGAGTATATGTATAGATATAGATAGATAAATTTTTAAATTTTAAAATAATTTTTACAGTAGATAGTGTGTGTTTTATGTTGAATCTATAAAATAAGTTCAGGGAAATATTATAGTAGTGAGAAAATTAGTTATCACAGAATCATCAAAATAAACCTAGGTTGAGTTTCATGGGATAGATGATTTTAAGCTGAGCCATGGAAAATCTAAACAAATCTGGAATGGAGAACAAAATGATAATTATTAATTAAAATTATGCATAACTTACTCATAATATATATGTTAAGTTGGCACCATAGAGTAATAATTACCTCTCTTTATTATATCTTGTAAGTTTCTATAATAGATATTGCAAATAAAATCAATAGAAATATTAAATTTAAATTAATTTTAAAGTTACCATAATATGTCTTTAGGGTCAGAGGAAATATTAATTTTATGGAAAGGACAGAATTTGTCAAGGTATAAGTGTATTAGTTTGTTCTCATGCTGCTATAAGGACATATCTGAGACTGGGTAATGTATAAAGGAAAGAAGTTTAATTGACTCACATTTCTGCAGGGTTGTGGAAGCCCCAGGAAACTTAACAATCATGGCAGAAGGGGAAGCAAACACATTCTTCTTCAATGGCAGCAGGAAGGGGAAAAATGAGAGCTGAGCAAAGGGGAAAGCACCTTATAAAACCATCAGATCTTGTGAGAACTTATTCACTATCATGAGAATAGCATGGGGAAAACTGTCCACATGATTCAATTACCTCCCACAGGGTCCCTCTCATGACACTTGGGGATTATGGGAACTATTATGCAATTCAAGATGAGATTTGGATGGGAACAGAGCCAAACCATATCAATAAGCAAATGTAAAACATGCAAAATTTTACCTAATGTGAAAAACCTTACTTTTCTTACATTCACAGTTCATCAAGCAGACAATCATATAAATGTACATTTCATTGGTTTCTAAGGTAATATACATGGGAAAATGAAGATGAATAAGGGAAACCATCTTGGTTTTTTGAAAAAAAAAAAAGCACAAAACACATGTTCTATTGATGGAGTTCATTATGTATTAACTTTATAAAGAAAAGACAACACATACACTCAATCTATCAAATATTTTAATTAAATAAATATTGTTTCAGTAAAATATATTTTAATCCCAATGCTTTCTTGAGGTTAATTACATGTTTTAAATAATTATTGTTATTTTGTAAAGTGCAGTTCTCATTGTTTCTACAGCCTCAACTGTTCAGATATAAGGAATTTGGTGAAAAGTTATTTACCCGACATCCCCAAAATAAGAGAGTTACTTTAGATCTTAAATTATTTTTGCATCTACATCACACCTCTGAGAGGACTAGGCTTTATTTCACCAAAAAACCTACACTTTCACAGGTATTTGTTTGTTTGTTTGTTTTGGAGTTAGGGATTTCTACTTACAAGAGTTGAACTAAATTCATCGCAATTCACATATGACTCCAGAAAGTTCCATTAGGAGATCTGTGGATTTGGTTCACTTGCCAGGAAGAGAAAAAGAAATGAACCAATAAAATAAGACTTTGAAGTAAGATTCGGATTTATGAAAGAAACTAGTTTTGAGAAGGTAGCAAAAATCTCCTTGGTTTAGTATAAGGCTGAAAAATAATTGGAAAAAACAAATGATGTCATTCTGGTTAAAAAGTTTTGATGGCACTAATAATTGGCACTTTTCTCGGTTTTCTATGCCCTCATACATTTAAAATTGTTCCAACCTGATTCTCTATTTATAATAGTGTGTGTGTTTAGATCGCTATTTGAAATTTTTATATTATTTAAAATAGATTTATGAGTCTGCATCCAAGCATTTTAAGGGGCAGCAGCTTTAAATTATGGCTCAGCAACAAACCCTCTGGAGTCAAGAGTGGTAAATTTATTTTTTGAATACTTAATTGTGACAATTATTTTCCAAGTTTAAAATGTATGTAAACATTACATCAAAGTATAGCTAAGAAGACCGGATGCCATGGCTCACGTCTGTAATCCTAACACTTTAGGAGGCCAAGGTGGGCTGATCACTTCAGGTCAGGTGTTTGAGAGCAGCCTGGCCAACATGGTAAAACCCCGTCTCTACTAAAAATACAAAAATTTAGCTGGGCGTAGTGGCACATGCCTGTAGTCCCAGCTGCTTAGGAGACTGAGGCAGGAGAATTGCTTGAACCTGGGAGGCGGAGGTTGCAGTGAGCCGAGATCATACCACTGTACTCCAGCCTGGACAACACAGTGAGACTCCATGTCAAAAAAACCAAAAACCAAACAAACAAAATAAACAAAAAACAAAACATAGTTCAGAAAATTAAAATGTCCAAAATGCCCTGTTCATACAAGGATGCTGTCTAAAGAAAACACCTCAAAATCTTGCACATTTGTCTTTAACTTAGTGATTTACAGGCAATTTATAGACTTACTAGTTCACCTGTGGCCAAGAATAAGTAACTTTTCTGTCTCACAAAACCTGCTAATATAGATCATCTCCAAAGACAAATCAATATTTTTTGAAAAGTTATTTTATATTTTTGTTTGAAACTTATTAAAATTGATTATTGATGTAGACTTATTTTGACTCTATCTATAATTATAATACCCTCCTGTAATAAAAAAGAAAACCAATAACTAGTTTGATACTGAGTCTGGAACACAATGAATTGAAATTCAAAAGAAGAACCTATCCCCTTTACCTGTCTATCAGTGGGAGTCAAAACACTCTTAGCTTCAGGGCATTAAACATGCTTGCAGTGGCCTGGGGCAGGAGTTCCTTCAAGAGAAGAGTACAGCACTCCCCACTTACTCAGTTTCATCTTTTTCAGATTTCAGTTACCTAGGTAAACTGTAGTTTGAAAATATTAAATAGAAAATTTCAGAGAAAAACAGTTCATATGTTTCAAATTGCATGACATTCTGAATAGTGTGATGAAATCTTGTGCCATCATGCTGCCTCCCACTTGGGAAGTAAATCATTTATTTGTTTATGTATCAACACAGTGTAAGCTACACACTCATTAGGCACTTAGTAGTCCTCTGATTTATCAGATCAACTGTCATGGTATGACAATGACTGTGTACAAATAACCTTTATTTTATTTAATAATGGCTTGAAATATACAAGAGTAATGATGCTGGCAGTTCAGATATGCCAATGAAAAGCCATAAAGAGCTTTTTTTTCTTAAGTGATAGGAGGAAAGTTCTCGACTTAATATAGAAAGAAAAATATTGTATGCTGGAGTTGCTAAGAGCTAAGGTGAGAAATTGAAACATGAAAAGCCATACTAAGGATTGACCAAATTCAAGTGTTGGTCCTTTGAAAAAATTAATAAGATGAATAGACCACTAGCTAGACTAATAACGAAAAGAAAAAGAGATAAAGATCCAAATAAACACCATCAGAAATGACAAAAGGGACTGTATTACAACTGATCCTACAGAAATATTAAAAACCCTCAGAGACTACTACTAACACCTCTGTGCACATAAACTAGAAAACCTACAAGAAATGGATATATTCCTGGACATCTACAACCCCTCAAGTCTGAACTAGGAAGAAATTGAATCCCTGAACAGACCAATAATGAATTCTAAACTTGAATCAGTAATAAAATGCCTACCAACCAAAAAAGCCCAGTACTGGACAAATTTATAGCCAAATTCTTCCAGATATAAAAAGAAGAACTGATACCAATCCTACTGAAACTGTTCCAAAATGTTTAGGAGGAGGGACTCCTCCCTAACTTATTCTACAAGGCCATCACCAGGTTTCTGATACCAAAACCTGGCAGAGACAAACTAAAAAAAAAAAAATCTTCAGGTCAACATAACTTGATGAAAATAGATGCAAAAATCCACAGCAAAATATTAGCAAACCGAAACTAGCAGCACATCAAAAAGTTAAACCACCATAATTAAGTAGGCTTTATCCTTGGGAGATCCAGGATTGGTTCAACAGATGCAAATCAATAGATGTCATTTTTTACATAAACAGAATTAAAAACAAAAACAACATGACTATCTCAATAGATGCAGAAAAGCTCTTGATAAAATTCAATGTTGTTTCATGTTTAAAAAAACCTTCAATAAATGAGGCTTTTTTTTTTTTTTTTTTTTTTTTTCTGAGACAGAGCGTCACTCTGTCGCACAGGCTGGAGTGCGGTAGTGCGATCTTGGCTTACTGCAACATCCTCCTCCCGGATTCAAGCAATTCTCCTGCCTCAGCCTCCTGAGTAGCTGGGACTACAGGCATCTGCCACCATGCCCTGCTAATTTTTGTATTTTTAGTAGAGACAGGGTGTCATCATATTGGTCAGGCTGATCTCAAACTCCTGACCTCAGGTGACCCACATGCCTCAGCCTCCCAAAGTACTGGGATGACAGGCATGAGCTACTTTGCCTGGACTGAACTAGGCTTTGAAGGAACAGAATTCAAAATTATAAGAGCCACCTATTACAAACCCATAGCAGACATCATACTGAATGGGCAAAAGGTGGAAGCATTTTCCTTGAAAACTGGAATGAGACAAGGATACCCTCTCTCACCACTCCAATTCAACATAGTCTTGGAAATTCTGGCCAGAGCAATCAGGCATGAGAAATAAATAAAAGGCATCCAAATAGGAAGAGAGTAAGTAAAACTATCACTGTTTGCAGATGACATGATTCTATGCCTAGAAAACCCCATTGTCTCTGCCAGAAAGCTCCTTGATCTGATAAACAACTTCAGCAAAATTTCAGGATACAAAATAAATGCATAAAAATCAGTAGCATTCCTATATACCAATAGCATCCAAGCTGAGAGCCAAATCAGAAACAGAATCCCATTCACAATTGCCGCACAAAGAATAAAATACCTAGGCATACAGCTAATCAGGAAGGTGAAAGATTTCTAAAATGAGAATTACAAAACACTGCTTAAAGAAATCATACATGACACGAATAAATGGAAAAACATTCCATGATCATGAATTGGAAGAATCAGTATTGTTAAAATGGCCATACTGCCCAAAGCAATATAGAGATTCAATGTTATTTCTACAAAACTACCAATGACATTCTGCACAGAATTATAATTAGAAAAAAACTGTTTGAAAATTCATGTGAAACCAAAAAAGAACTGAAATAGCCAAGGCAATCCTAAGCAAAAGGAGCAAACCTGGAGACCTCATGTTACCTGACCTCAAATTATACTACAGGACTACGGTAACCAAAACAGCATGGTACTGATACGAAAACAGACATCTAGACTAATGGAACAGAATAGAGAGTCCAGAAATAATGCCACATACTTACAACCATCTGATCTTTGACAAAGCCAACAAAAACAAGCAATGAGGAAACGACTACCTATTCAATAAATGGTGCTAGGATAACAGGCTAGCCATATGCAGAAGACTGAAACTGGTCTCATTCCTTACACTGCACACAAAAATCAGCTCAAGATGGATTAAAAACTTAAATGTAAAACCCACAATTATAAAAACCCAGGAAGATAACCTAGGCAGTACCATTTATGACAAAGACAGTAAAAGCAATTTCAACAAAATAAAATTTGACAAATGTGACCTAATTAAGCTAAAGAGCTTCTGTATAGCAAAATAAACTATCAACAAAGTAAACAGATGAACTATAGAATGGGAGAAAATATTTACAAATACATATCCAACAGAGGTTTAATATCCAGAATCTGTAAGGAACTTAAACAAATTTACAAGAAAAAAACAACCCTATTAAAAAGGGGGCAAGGGGCATGAAAAGACAATTTTCAAAAGGCATACATGTGGCCAGCAAGCGTATGAAAAAAATGTTCAACGTTGCTAATTATTAGACAAATGCAAATGAAAACCACAATGAGATACCTTCTCACACCAGTCAGAAAGGCCATTAATAAATAATCAAAAAATAACAGATGCTGGCAAGGTTTTTTGGAGAAAAGGGAACACTTATATACTGCTGGTGGCAGTGTAAGTTAGTTAAGCCATTGTGGAAAGCAGTGTGGCAATTTCTCAAAGAACTTAAAGCAGAATTACCATTCTACCCAGAACTCACATTATTGGGTATATACCCAATGGAATATAAATCATTCTATCATAAAGGCACATGCACACATATGTTTATTACAGCACTATTCACAATAGCAAAGACATGGAATCAACATAAATGTCCATCAGGGTAGACTGAATAAAGAAAATATGGTATATATATACATCATGGAATACTACAGAGACATAAAAAAAGATTGAGATGATGTCCTTCACTGCAACATAGATGGATCTGAGACCATTATCCTAAGCAAACTAATGCAGGAACAGAAAACCAAATATCGTATGTTCTCACTTATAAACATGAGCTAAACAATGAGAAAACATGGACATAAAGAGAGGAACAACCGACACTGGGGCTTACTTGAGGGTGGAAAGTGAGAGGAGAGAGAGGATTAAAAAATAAAACCTATTGGGTACTATGCTTATTACCTGGGTGACTAAATAATCTGTACACTGAACCACTGTGACACACAGTTTACCTATATAACAATCCTGCATGTGTATCCCTAAACCTAAAATGAAAGTTAAAAAAAATTGTGCAAAAAGAGAGATTTACTCTAGTTTTGCTGTTACACGTCAAATTGCAAAAGCTACAGGCACAATGACTAACAAGTTACAGCTACAGTGAATAAGTGCTTAGTTAAGATGGAAAATGAATTCAATTTGTGGGTGAAAGACGCGAATATAGATGTGTTCCCATTGACAACAGTCAAGTTCCGCACTGTCTCCAGTTTCAGACATCCAATGCGGGTCTTTGGATATGTATTCCCCATGGATAGAGGGACTCCTGTAATGGGAAAAGGTTGCCAGGGTTGTTCTTTTTTATAAGAAAGATAACTCAAGAGGTCAAAGATCGAAGAGTTCCAAATGGTTAGAAGACAACCATATCCTGGACAGACTACAGGATACCCCCAGTTTCTCAAATTCACAATTCATGACTTCACATGTTTCCTACACATTGTGCCAAACCTTATTTTCATTCCAGCATGGCTGTCTTTGACATTTAAAAAATATTTAAGATGCACACTTCCCTGAAAATATGAGAAGCAGGGTGAAGAGAGCAATATGTGCTTCTATGCTACTAGAATGTTTGATTCAATAAACATTGAATCATTTTTATTATTTAGCAGTGAAGGTGATTTTAATATTAGAATTTTACGTATGAGTAGAAGTCTTCTCAAAGAAAACAGGAGATTCTTAATGAGGCAAGCATATTTGAAGCAAAGGAAAATAGTCATAACAAATGCATGTGAAATACAAGTATATGTGGAAGTGGAGGTTAAAGCAAGAACAAAGAAGCGTCTCATATTCCTCAACAGTATATATTTCTCTTCCACAAATAATCTTATTTTAAAAATTGTAATCTGAATAAGGAAGATACTTTGGTGTTTAGCTTTTATAAATCTCTGCGAGGATTTTTTATAATGTCCCAATAAGATGGCCTCTGTTAGGTGGGGATTATTTAAATAACAGTTTGATATTATGAGTATTCTGGGAACACAGATAGAATTGAGCAGATGAAAAAAAAATGAACGGTAGATGTGAGAGTCAAAGAGAAATGTAAAAGACATGAAATTACATGCTTTCCTATTTGAAAACATTCCTTGCACCTCACTGGCAGATTACAAGTCATTCTAACATTTCATGATGTCTGAATTAGAAGGCAGGAAGAAGTGTGGTAAGTAGCTGACTGTGTGAATCAGGACAAACAGTTGAAAAGTTTATGACAGCTTATTTTAATTGAACCTCATTTCATGAATTCATGCTATTCTAATGTTTCTAATACAGTATTCAATACAAGCAGTGTACCACTAGTTGGCTTTGCCTTTTTTTTCAATTACAAGAAGACTAGAAGACTAAAAAGTTATGTCAAAACCACAACATCCATTTATCTAACAAAGTAATATACATCAATCCTTTGAAAGGCACTGGGGAAATCAATGGATTCAAAGTCAGGCAGAATGCTTCCTCTTGAAGATATGACAGTTATTAATAAAATAATAAATAATATCATAATTACCATCATAAAAATGTTCATAAGCTATATTACGAGATTAGATTGAGGAAGGATATTTCTACTAAAATATCAAGGAAAGCTGAAAAATGAATAGAAGTTAAGTTTACAATGTATGAAGAGAAGGATATTTCTAAGAGGAAAAGCAAAATGCATGTAAAAGTTCTTTACCAAAATAAATATGGAAATAACTTTGAACTGAAATAATGTCCTTGTGGTAGGAAAACAAGCCAGTAAAGGTGACTCTGTGTGATACAATGTTAGTAAATAGGCAAGTATCAGACTGTGCAGATTCTTGAAGGGGTATAAAGAGTCTTGTTTTCATGCTATTAGGAAAAGGGTAATATAATTGGATCTGCATTGTGATGAACAGACTGGAGAAGAACCTAAACTGCTATATAAAGGTGGATGGAATACTCTTGTAATGGTCTGTGGTGCCTTGCTCCAGAGTGATGTCTGTAGAGGTGGAAAGAAGTAGATGAATTTGAAGTATATTTAGATGGTAAACTTGCCAGGATTTGAATTACAGATTGATTATAAGAATGAGAAGGAAAGAAAAGTATCAAGGTGACTGATAGAAGTCAGAAATTGTTTAATAAACTGAGTAATAATACAATTCATTAAGATAGGGAGCATTAGAATAAGAACAAGTTTGGAAGGCACGAAATCAGATTCTGAATTCTATTTGGGATATGTTAATATGAGGTATGTTTGAGATATCTCAGAGATGTTTAGTCGACTATAGTAGCCAGCCTCCCAGATGGACTCCAGTGATTCTTACAAATGGAATCCACATTGTACCAGAGCTGCTGTTCTGTGTGACTAATAACGTAGGGTAAATTTGATGGTATGTTCCTTCAAAGATTTGGTTATAAAGACTGCAGCTTCTGCACATTCTCTCTCTCTCACACACACACACATACACACACACACACACACACGCACACACACACACAAAATCACTCACACTGTCAAATCATGAGGACCACACTGTAAAGCACGAAGTTTCCATTTAATATCCATTGAGGGACTGAGGCTTGCCAACATGTGTGAACTTAGAAACAGGTATTTCCCCAGAAATGCACCCTCCTTCAATGATGCTTTCAGATGAGATTGCAGCCCCAGTTGGAAGCCTGACTGCAACCTCATGAGAGACTTTTTTTTTTTTTGACGGAGTCTCGCTCTATCGCTCAGGCTGGAGTGCAGTGGCGCTATCTCAGCTCACTGCAAGCTCCGCCTCACGGGTTCACGCCATTCTCCTGCCTCAGCCTCCTGAGTAGCTGGGACTACAGGCGCCCGCCACCACGCCTGGCTAAATTTTTTTGTATTTTTAGTAGAGACGGGGTTTCACCATGTTAGCCAGGATGGTCTCAATCTCCTGACCTCGTGATCCGCCCATCTCGGCCTCCCAAAGTGCAGGGATTACAGGCGTGAGCCACCGTGCCCGACCCATGAGAGACGTTTGAGTCAGACACATCTATCTAAGAGGATCCTGGATTTGCAACCCGCATGAGTTGTTGGATATTGGATCCTTGGGATCATCTGTTACACAATAATAGGAATATAATATATGGGCATTAATAGGCTGTTACTACTATGAGAAAAGGGAATTTGTTTTGTTCACGGTTATATTCCTAGAACCTTGAAGGAGGAGTGTGGATAAATCTTTATGAGCAATCTATATGTATGTAGTAACCTTATGGTTGTATGTGAATGACATTGTGTAGGGTTATAGAACAAGAAAAGAAGACAGCTAAAGAGCAAGACTTGAAGTATTCAGATATTTGATGGTCAAGTAAGGAAAGACAGGTCTGCAAACCAAACCAAGAAGAAACAGCTGGAAAGGTTGAGGGTAAATTAGGTTATTGTTGTGACATAAGATTAAAGGGGAACATATTTTTTAAATGAGTGAGTGGTAAACAGTATCAAGTAATTCACAGAAGTCAGTGAAAATGAGCATTAAAGTATGTCCATTAGATTTAAAAATATGGAGATACTTGTGATTTTGTGGGGCTGGAAGTTAGCCCAAAATAGATAAAGATGTGGTTGAGATTTAAGAAGAGGAATATATTATGTTACATTATACTACATGATATGATACTATGTTATGCTTCAAGTACAGGTATATGTTTCAAATTATTAGAAGGTGGAGAAGAGGGAGACACATACTGGACACATGATGGTACAATTTACTGAGACAGAAAATGCTAGGGTCATAGTAGATTTTAGAAAGTATGAGAAATCAAGAAGTATTTTTGATTGTTCAGTTTGAGATGTTGATGCATTATCCAAGTGTCATGCATTTTCCAAGTGTCAAGATCAAGTAGCAAGTTTGCTGGATAAATCTGAAACTCACAGTGAAGTTTAAACTAGAGATGTAATTGTAAGCAACTGAAGCAAATGAACAGTAATTGAAACCATGAAACTGGTGGAGGTATCCTGGAAAATAAGTTTCAGCAGAAAAATAATAATAAAGGTTGGTGGGTCAAATTCTGGGCCATGCCAATGTTTAGAGTAGAAGTTCTTAACAAAGGGATATGGGGAGAGAATTTAGGGTGTTAATGAATTTAGGCAGGTGAAACATTACCTCTTTATTTTTACAAATCATTAATTGTGATGTAGCAATTTTTTCAAATACAAGTATAAGCAAAGACTGTAGTAATGTTAGCAATTCTATGACTTCATCAATAGTAATCACAGATAACTTCATATCACATTGCTGTTCTTTATTATTATGATACTTAAGATACTTATGCTTATCACAAGTTCAAAATAGTTAGTAGACCCACTACTAGATCTTCTTATTTAATGCATTCATAAAGAAGCATATCTACTAGCACACCAAAGGTTTGAAAGTACATCTTTGGAAACTAGTATTGATATAAATTTTTCCTTGATAAACCTACGCATTTAAAAATATTCTAAAGAAATTCATAAATTTCATTAGATTTCCTGAAAGCACTATGGCATAAAATAAGAAAATAACCTCTGACTTTGATAGAAAGAGGCACTGTTAGTAAAGTAATAATAAAACCAGCTGAATGTAATGTTCTGGATGCCAAGTGAAGAAATTGTTTCCAAAAAGGAATGGTTGACTATATCAAATGCTTCTGAGAGTTAAGTGTTGGATGCAGTCTGAAATTGATTATTGGTTTTGGCAAGATACAATTTCTTTAAGACCTTGATAAGAACAGTTTCTGTGGCCTGGATGGGTCTAAAACCTATTTGGAATGAGTTCAAGTGAGAATGGTTACTGAAAAAGTACAGAGTGTGTATAGAAAGCCACTTCATAGCGTTCCATTTGGAAGAGGAGTGTATATATGGGACCACAGTAGGAAGAAAGTCAAGGAGTGAGACTCTTTTTTCAATGTGTTACTTTAGGATTAAAACTATTACAGGATTCTCTCTCTCTCCCTCTCTTTCTCTCTCTTTCTGTGAGTGTGTGTGTGTGTGCAGCAGGTTCGACAGAGACATGATATTCACAGGAGCAGAGTCCTTGAATAGGCAAGAATAAAAGTTGTTCTAAGGCGAATCACTGCCCTTAGGAATAAGCACATTTTATCCATTTTAATAGGAATACAAATCTCAGTTTTTATGTAATAATAGAGATATAGGTTGATATGGAATGAAGACAGCAGTACTTTTTGTTTCTCTTTACTCTCTGAAATAATCTAAGTACGGGGAGAGAGATGCTGTGAAGCAATATTCTTGGATAAATGGAGAATGAATGGCTAGGAAAATATTGTGAATGACTAGCAGTGCTAAAAGGCAACTTGAGTTTTACATTAAAAATTACAGTGATAACTAGCACCATGATTATATCATTTTCTACAGATAGGACCAGCTGTCTGGGTTTCAGCTGGGATTAAGTTGGGCTGAATTTTAACTAGGAAAGTAGCACTGAGGAAAAATTGGGCCAAGAAGTTCATACGGTGTACAATAAAATGACAATAATGAGTCGGGAATCTATGCTGGATTAAAAGGCCGATAAGCACATAAGGAAAGTAATAGATAATGCATATGTCAGTAATAGATAACTAAGCTAAATCAATAGGTTGATAATCCCACTGAGATAAAACTGGGTTGGCTTTGGGGTACTAGATGGAATGAGCCAGAAAGACTGGATGTCATGATAGTATGGTGGGATCCTTGAAGTCAAGACATTGGAGGGTTGCTGCTACTGGTAATGATGGAGTCTAGGCTATGGTCTAGGCTATGGTCAGTAGAATCGGTAGCTGAATTGGGGTAAAGATAATTACTATTGGAAGTGAGATGGTTAAACCCAGAGTGTTAGATTAATCACTTACGTGGGGATTAGAGTCACTAAAAATATCAAGAGAAGAGGGTTAGAATTTAGGGAGAATTATAAGTTCTAGAATTTGAATTCTAGAATTGCTAAAGAAAACTGAATCTCAGAGGTAGATTTTAAGAGCTTTGGAGTCAGATTGGTATGGCATGTTGTGACCATAATTAAATCAGTATAAAGGCTTAGGTAAAGAGTAATGATGTGGGATGCCAAGATTTCTGCTGGTGTTTGAAGGTCACAAGACTACAGAGATGTAAAGCACAAAGCAGTTACCCCTGCCAGTCTCTCAGGAGATGAGCCATTAGTTGTAGTTATTACCCGCCTCTTTGGATCATTTCCTGGCAATTTTAAGGTGTTGTTATGGCAAAGAGGTAATGGATGCTATAAGGTCCCATGGACCTCCCCTTATAATCCTGCTGTGAGCACTGTCAAGGCCACTGGGGAGGGGGGTCCGCCTTGAAATAGACATCACAACAGCCTCCTGAAGAAGAATTTTTTTTTTTTTTTTCAGTTTAGTCGCTTTTATCACTGAAGAAAGAACAATGAGTGAGGAGAGGATGTGCCTGTACAGGAAAGGTGTTAGACATTTGTTTAAAATGAGAGCAAACAGCTCCTAGAAATATTCCACTAATTGAGGTATATAAAGTTCAGAACTGCTCTTCCTTTTTTCTCTTTGCCAGTCTGCTGCTCTCATTGCCTCAGTATTATACATTACTTTTAAAAGTTTTTAACCCTACTGGGGGGACGGTACCAGGAAACAAAACTTGATATTACAGTGAAAATATTTAGGATCAAAATGTAAATTAAATGTAATTCAAAAATTGTATCTACAATTGTGGCTTCATAAAAATAGAGGCATGAGGGTGAGGTGGCATGTGCATGTAACCCCAGCTACTCAGGAGGCTGAGGCAGGAGAATCACCTGATCCTGGGAGGCAGAGGTTGCAGTGAGCCGAGACTGTGCCACTGCACTCCAACCCGGGTGACAGAGTGAGATTGTCTAAAAAAAAAAAAAAAAAAATAGGAGCATGATATTTGCAATATTTCAAAAATTATTAGAACCATGTTTTACTTAAATGAAAGACAATAAAAAATGAATATGCTGAAGTAATGGATAATTATACTGTTTATATATTTAAATAAAATTATTCATATTAAATGGTATAGTACTTAAATACATAGGACATGCTATTAAGCTAGCTTTGGTTTAATGTCCCACTACTTTGTTTTCCTGTTATACACATAATTGTTTTGATTTATTTATAATTTGTACTATGAAATTTTTGTTTTAATTTTGTTTGATTGGATGCTCAAAAACTTGAGTTTTTTAAATGACAGCAATATTTTATCTAGTTTCATTTCAACTATATTTTATGTGGATAATTTATATATTTATAAAATATCTCTATTAGGGAGAAAGTAAATTAAAAGTGTGAAATAGGGATGTGCTGTTTGGAAGCAGTATTTGCTCTAAACAAATTCTGAAAACAGCGAAAAAATTTTAGTAAGCCGAAAAAAACATATAACTTTTAAATTTCTGAGTTACCCGGTTCTAATATTATTATTCTTTATTAGAGGCTTTTTATTAGTATGTATTTTAAAGTTTCTTGACAGTATTATACATTTTTAGAATGACTATATGAGAGTATTACAATTATGTTACCTTAGGAGGTTTATGGTATAAATTTGTATTAGCGTTCTCCAAGAAAGACAGAACCACTAGGATATATAAGAGGGGATTTGTAAGGGGAAATTGATGTACACTGTCACAGAGATGAAGTCCCGTGATAGGCTGTCTGCAAGTTGGAGAACCAGAGAAGTCAATAGTGTGGCTCAGTCTGGAAGCCAGAGAACCAGGTAAGCCTCTGAGGCCAAAAGCCTGAGAGCTCCCGGGAGGCCTCTGGTGCAAGTCCCAGAGTCCAAAAACCAAAGAACCTGGAGTCTGATGTCCAAAGGCAGAGGAAAAACAGCATCCCACTTCAGAAGGAAGACAGTAAACGGAGAGAGAGAGAGAGAGAGAGGAGAGAGAGGAGAGACAGAAAATCCCTCTTCTGCTTGTTTGTCCCAGCCAGGCCCCCAGCAGATTGGATGGTGACTGCCCATCTTGAGGACAGGTCTTCCTCTCTGTGTCCACTGACTCATGTATCAGTATCCTCTGGAAACACCTGGTAAGACACACCCAGAAAAAGTGCTTCACCAGCCATGTAGGCATTCCTCAATCCAGTCAAATTGACACCTAACATTAACTACCATAGTATCTATAATAACCAACCTATTGCTTATGACATGCATGTAAAATAACAAATTTCCAGCTTTGTGACAAGTTATAATGTAGTTTACTATTGTCTTCCATGTATGTTGCATATCATTTAAAATATTTTTATTTGGGAAAGGATATAAATGCAAACCTCACAGTTTTAGTAACTAAAAATTTCCAATAAATTTTCCATCTTATATTAAGAGTTTTTTCTTGTCTCTTCTCTTTTTTTTTGAGACAGAGTCTCACTCTGTTGCCCAGGCTGGAGTACAGTAGTGCCATCTTGGCTCACTGCAACCTCGACCTCCCAGGTTCAAGCAATCCTTCCACCTCTGTCTCCCAAGTAGCTGGGACTACAGGTGCAACCATGTCTGGCTAATTTTTCAATTTTTTGTAGGGACAGGGTTTTGCTATGTTGCCCAGGCTGGTCTGGAACTCCAGAGCTCAAGAAATCCACTTGCCTTGACTATTGAAATGTTGGGATTACAGGCATGAGCCATCATGCCCTGCCCACCTGCCCACTTTTTCTTTTTCGAAGAGGCAGGGTCTTGTTCTGTCACCCAGGCTAAAATGCAGTGGTGCTATCTAGCTCACTGCAGCACCAAATTTCCTGGGCTCAGGCAATCGTCCTACCTTTGCCTCCCAAGTGGCTAAGACTACAGGCCTGCGCCACCATGCCTTGCAATTTTGTTTTATTTTTTTAGTGATGGCATCTCCGTGTGTTACCCAGGATGAAAGAGTTGCCTTTCTTCAGCTTTTATTCAGCTAATGAATAAATATATTAGGCACTATGTTATCAGGGTTCTCCAGGGAGAAAGAACCAATAAGGGATAGATGATAGATGACAGATAGATAGATAGAGAGAGCATGTATTAGGGAAATTGGCTTCCATTATTATGGAAGCTGAGGAAGCTGTAGAGTCCTATGGCCTAATGCACAAGGGCAGGAGGAGGAGCATGCCCCAGCTTCAGGAGAGAAAGAAAAGAACCCCCCCCCGCCTCGCTCTGCTATTTTGTTGTACCCAAGCCCCCAGCTGATTAAATGGTACCTGCCTGCATGGAGGACAGATCTTCCCCACTCTTTCAGTCCACTGACTCACAGGCCTACTTCATCTGGAAACACTTTCAGACACACATGGAAGTAATGCTTTATCAGTTCTGTAGGTATTCCCTAATCTAGTCAAATTGACACCTAAAATTAACTATCACAGGCATTTTAGGTTTTAGTTATGATTTTGCTTGAATTTTACTTTTTTGATTTTTTAATAACTCATAGCTATATTTTATAAAATCATTTAATGCCAGTCTTTAAAATGTGGGAAAATGGCACACACGGTAGTCCCTTCTTATCCACGATTTTGCTTCCTGCAGTTTCAGTTAACCAGTCAACCGTGGTCTGAAAATATTAAACATAAAATTTCAGAAATAAACAATTCACAAGTTTTAAATTGTGCATCATTCTGGGCAGAATTATGAAATCTCCTTCTCTTCTGCTTCCTCCTGCCCGGGATGTGAATCATCTCTTTGCCCGGAATCTCCACACTGTCTACACTCCCTGCTTCTAGTTAAGAGCCATCTTGGTTATCAGATTGACTGTCTCAGTACTGAAGTACTTGTGCTCCAGTAACCCTTATTTTGCTTAAGAATGGCCTCAAAGCACAACACTAGTGATGCTGGCAATTGGGATATGCCAAAGAGAAGCCACAAAGTGCTTCCTTTAAATGAAAGGTGAAGGGAAAATCATTGTGTGCTGTAGATTTCTAAGATCTACAGTAAGAGTAAATCCTCTATCCATGAAATCGTAGAAGAGAGAGATATTTGTGCTAGTTTTCCTGTCACACCTCAAACTGCAACAGTTACAGCAATAGTGCTTGGTAAGTGCTTAGTTAAGATGGAAAAGACATTGCATGTGTGGGTGGAAGACATAAACAGAAACGTGTTCTGATTTATGGCAATGTGTTGCACCAGAAAGCATTGAGCCTATAGAAAGAATTTAGCAAGGGATCCCCTGAAACGAGTGACACCACGCCATTTACTGCAAGTAAGGGATGGTTACACAGATTCAGGGATGTGGAGTCAGTAGTAGAAAACACTACATCCCAATGCCTACATCATTCACCTCATTTCATCTAATTTCGTAGGCATTCTGTCATCTCAGACCATCTCAAGGAAGGTGAAAATAAAACAAGACATTTTGAGAAAGAGAGAGAGAGGCTGCATTCACATAATTTTTATTAAGTATATTATTATAATTATTCTATTTTATTATCAGTTACAGTTGTTAATCTCTTACTGTGCCTAATTTATACATTAAATTCTATCGTAAGTTATACAAAATCAGTATATTTACAGTTCGGTACTATCCATGCTTTCATGAATTCTCTGGGGGTCTTGGAACACATCCCCCAAGGATAAGGAGTACTACTATAACCCAAACTATATACTTTTTTATTTATCCCATATCAAATATACACAGTAAAGACATACCAAAATATTTTTTAAAGTAAGTTTAAAATGAATATATTCTAGTTTTTATTTATTTTTAAAACATCACAAAACAGAGAAAATATATTACCTTTTAATTTAGATTAATAATACTATTATTTCTGTCATTTTGCAGGAACAAAATATTTTTTATGGCCATAGACCTAAAATGAAATAGCATGATTATGTGCAGTTATGCTCCCTTAGAAATGTCTTTTATTTAAATGTTTGGCAGGTGAATAGGCTCTGGAGTCAAAAGATCTTAATAGAACTGCAATATGATCAATGAGAATGGAGTCAAACACAGGTGATTTTTATTTATCACTTACACAGAACTTTAGATTGTGAATGGCTCTGAAATATTTTATGATATGCTTTTCTAAAGAAGTTCTAGGTAAATCAGTATACTTCTGCTGTAAAATAAAACAAACACGCTCCAATATTGGCTAGAGAGGGACTTACTTTCCTGGGTAGAGAAAAAGTGGGAAAAAGGATACATTGTGCAAAATTACAACTATACTAACTATAATTTTGTAGTACTCTGTTAAATTACTGTTTTATTTTCTCTAATACTCAGCTTATCCATATTAGAGTAATTTGACAATATTCTAAAATATTAAGAAACCAAGGCTCATTTAGTATTTCAAATTCTTTAGAACAATTCTTAACACATAACTCTCAATTTGTTGAATAATGTTAATAGCCCAATTTACTTGAACATAAAGCAGTTGTTCTCAAAATTTGCTTAATATTAATATTTACCTGAGGATGTTTTAAAAACTTCCCACTTCCCAGGCTTTGCCCTGGTATATCCCTAAATGTGAGATCCAAATATCAGTGTTTATAAAAACATTCCCCAGGTGATTCTGATTGCAACCACATCTGGCCACTATTGGCAAAGAAGGGAGACAAAACAAATATTCAGTTGAATGAAGACATGAATTAAATCAAATGAGTCAAAATTAATTAATTTACTTCTATCATATGTTATTTACCAAGATACATTTGGGGTATAGGCATTGGGTAAACATCCCCATTCTAAAAAGGAGAAATCAGCCAAAAGAAAGGGGCTACGGGCCCTGTGTAAATTCAAAACCCAACAGGGCAGTCAGTCATTAAATCTTAAAGCTCCAAAATAATTTCCTTTGTCTCCATGTCCCACATCCAGGCACACTGCTGCAAGGGGCAGGCTCTCAAGTCCTTAGGCAGCTCCACTACCTTGGCTTTGCAGAGTGCGTGCTGCCTTTGAGGCTGCTCTCATGATTGGATTTAAGTGCCTGTGGCTTTTCCAGGCACAAGGTGCAAGCTGTTGATGGCTCTACCATGCTCAGGTCTAAAGGACAGTGGCCCCATTCTCACAGCTCCACTAGGCAGTGCCCCAGTGGAGACCTACTACCTGACATTTCCCTTTTGCACTGGCCTTGCAGAGGTTCTCTGTGAGGGCTCTGTCCCTGCTGCAGGCTTCTGCCTTGGACACCCAGGCATTTCTTTAGAATCCACCACTCTCGCACTCTGCACACCTGCAGGCTTAACACCACATGTAAGCTGTCAAGGCTTAGGGCTTACATTCTCCACAGTGGCAGCCTGAGCTGTACCTGGGCCCCTTATACCCAGAGCTGAAGCTGCTGGAATGTGGGACACAGTGTCCCGAGGCTGCACAGAGCAAATGGGGCCCTTGCCCCGGCCCATTAAACCGCTCTTCCATTCTCAGCTTTTGGGCCTGTGTTGGGAGGGGCTGCTGCAATGGTCTCTGAAATGCCTTTGAGACCTTTTCTTCATTGTTCTGGATATTAGCATTTGGCTCCCTTTCAGTTATGCAAATATTTCTAGCAAGTGGTTGCTTCACAGCCTGCTTGAATTCCTCTCCTGAAAAAGCTTTTTCTTTCTCTGCCACATGGTCAGGCTGCAAATTTTCCAAAGTTTTACTCTTTGCTTCCTGTTTAAATATAAATTCCAACTTCAAATCATTTCCTTACTCCTGCATCTGAGTGTAGGCTGCTAGGAGCAGTCCAGCCACATATTGAATGTTTGCTGCTTAGAAATTTATTCTGCCAGATACCCTAAATATCACTCTGAAGTTCAAACTTGCACAGAGCCCTAGAATATGGACACAATGTAGCCAAGTTCTTCCCTAAGACATAACATGTGTGACTTTTGCTCCAGTTCCTAATAAGCTCCTTATTTCCACCCAACACCTTATTAGCCTTTCATTGTCCGTATCACTATCAGCATTGTGGTCACAACCATTTAAGAAGTCTTTAGAAGTTTAAAACTTTCGTTCATCTTCCTGTCTACATCTCAGCCCTCCAAACTCTTCCAATCTTTGCTCGCTACTCAGTTCCAAAGCTTCTTCCACATTTTCAGGTATCTTTATAGCAACACCCCATTCCTGGTACCAATTTTCTATTATGCTATTCTTGCATTGCTATAAAGCAATATCTGATACTGGATAATTTATAAATAAAATTAGCTCATTGTTCCACTGGCTTTACAGTAAACAGTGCTGGCAACTGCTCAGCTTCTGCAGAGGATTTAGGAGGCTTACAATCATGACAGAAAGTGAAGGGGAGCAGGTACGTCACAGGGCCAGAGCAGAAGAAAACAGATAGTGTTGGAAAAGTTGCCACACACTTTTAAATGACCAGATCTCATGAAAACTCACTCACTATCACAAAGGCACCTCCAAGCTATGAAAGATCTGTCCCCATGATCCAAACAATGACCAAATAGTAGTTTTAATTCATTTAATTCATTTTTCCTCTGTGTCACATTCTTTTTATGATACTGCTTCCCTTTTTATAAATCACACAATTTATTCTGTGTAGGGCATCATCATCCTTTAGATCATTACTTATATACACATATACTGTGGTCAAGCTGCATCAGAATAACTTTGATTAAAAATGCAGATTCTTGAGCCCTACCAAAGAACCACTTCAACCAAACCTCATTTTATAACTTGAATGAGAGGTAATTTTTATGCACCTGAAAACCACTTTAGGCCTTTCTTATGTCCTAAATCTCACTTTGTGTAGAATAACAAATTCACTAATAAAAATAGTTTGCACAATAAGTTGCAGGCAACTATTACAATCTGCAGCTGTCATCTTTTCTGTCACTCGGTATAACCCATATTCTTCTAGGCTGCCAATCATAGCTCTCTGCCATCTGATTATTGCTTCCAGGAGTGCAGGATTTAGTGACAACACGACTTTTATTCCCACCTGTCTGCTCCCCACTTATTTCCTCTGATGATATGTATAGGCATCAACATTTAGTATTTATCAGTGACTCCACATCCTGCCTGCATATTAAAATCAACTGGTAAGGTTTTAAGAATTACTGATGCCTTTGCATGACTTCCTAAGTTTATAATTAAATTGTTCTGGGATGAATTCCTGGCAAGACCTTTTTTCTTTTTTTAACCCCAGCTGATTATAATAGTCAGGCAAGGTTTAAAACCACCGAGCTACTTGTTAGCAAAATAGCATGCGATTTTGTCAGAATCTTAGGTTTCAGGTTCATTATGATTTCAAGCATCAGGAGCAAAATATAATTACCTGGGGATTAAAGCATTTTATACATAAAATGATATAGCCTTACTACACAAATACCAGAAGACTGGAAAGAATATTAACATCTCTCAGTTTGAAAAGTCCTGTTTTCAAGCTGCTGTTACATCCATCTTCAGAATTTATAGCCTAAGGGTTGCAGATGGTAGAGTACTACTTAGAAAAGATACCCTGTTGGGAAAACCACATTGCTTTGCAATTAACCAGAGGAGTTCTTGTTTCCACTCTCTTAGTTATCAGTTGAAAAGAATAATTATTGAGTTTTTGGAGGGTAACTAACCATGCAAATTTAATAGTGTGTAAAAATACGTGTACTTTTAAAACAGGTTTTATTCAAGAAAAAGATAATATAATGAGAAGTATTTTACAAATATTGATTTCAGGGGCAATTCAGTGAAGAAACAGTCTTTATCCTTGTTTGTATTCAAATAATCATTTCAGTACTCTGTTGCAAGAATTTTTGTTCCATATCAGATAAGAAAACTGAAATTTTCAAAGAAGGTATTTTGTTATTATTGCTGACATTTCACCCAACATATAAGCATAACCAGAATGAAGATTTTCTATTACCTATAGATATATATTTTAATATTTGTACAGTTTTATGTATTTAAAACTTCAAGTTTTTCTTTGAATTATTGCTGAAAAAATGCATAAATTTTAAGTGGTCATTTAGGTGAGTTTTTACAGGCCTGTAAACCATCACCCCAAACAAGTCGTAGTGTATTTCTATTCTCTTTCCACAGAAAGTCCTACAGTGCCTCTCTCCAGTCAGTTTCTCCCCATGTTGGCAACTGTTTTCAATCATCATAGATAAATTTTCAGTTTGGATTCATGCAGTAAGTACACTATTCATTTTTGTCTGGCTTTTTCTCTTACCATAACATTTTCAAGATCAATTCATGATGATTATACATAGTTGAGATCCACTGCTGATATTTTGCATATTTACATAAGTGAGGTTGTATGCAATTATTATTGTTTATTGTTTGTTGTTGCTTAATAGCGTGTCACTGGATGGATACATACCATGACTTGCTTGTCTATACTTCTGGTGTTGGTCATTTGGATGGTTTCTGTATTGTATATCGTAAATCATGAAGAAGGGTTCCACATTCTTTTCTAAGTCTATTCGATGATTTTGTTTATGTAACTACCTAGGAATTAAAACACTGTGTTAAATAGTAGATATATATTTAATTTATAAGAAATTGCTTTGCAATTTCTCAAAGTGAGTAAGGAATTTTATACTCTCACCGGCAATTAATAGGTCAGAGGATACTTAGCCTCACCAACATTTTGCTTTGTCATATTTTTTGGTTCAGCCATTCTGGTGGGAGTGAACTGATATTTTATTGTGGATTCAGTTTAGATTTACATATTGACTGTTTATGTTGAACATCTTTGCACGTGTTTATAGGCCATTTGCATGTATTAATTTGTCAAGAGTGTTCAAGCCTTCAACTCATTTTATATTGAGTTGTTAATTATTTTATCATTAATTTGCATACCATTTATTACATATATTGGATAAAAGCTTTTGGTCACAAATATGTGTTGTAATATATTTCCTCCAGTATCTGCTTGTCTACTCATTTTATTATTTTATTTCATAATTTGTGCTTTTTATTTTCTATTCAAGAAAATACACTTCTGTTTTCTTCTGAAGCTTTATTATCCTGGTTATGTCAATTTCTGGAAGGGTTATGGATAAGTGAATTTCATTTATTTCTTATATGGATACCCGATTATTTCAACGTTTGTGAAAATATTTTTCCTCTATTGTATTTACTTGGCATTTTTGTCAAAATCAGTTTATTAAATATATGAAGGTCTATTTCTGAACACTCTACTTAATTCCATTTATTTAGTTCCATACACTAATACCATGCTCTCTTCTTTCTGTAGTTTTATAGTAACCCTTGAAATCAAGTAACTAAGACATTTAATTTTGATATTTTTAAAGACTGAATTACCTATTCTGTATCTTCATTACCTCCACATCAATTTTAGAATTATCTTCTCTATATTTTTTAAATAATTGCTTGGGAATTTGTTAAGGAATCTGACTAGAATCTGCATATCAATTTATGAAGAACAGTCACAGTAATAATATGAAATTTTCATATTTACAGACATGGTATATCTTTCATTTATTTAAATCATCATTAATTCCTCACAGAAATAATTTGTAGCTTTCACATGAGAAGTATGGCATATTCAAAAATATTTCCAGATATGTATTTTTATGCTACTGTATTTTACAATTAAAACATTTTGTTTGGGCACTTTTTATTACAATTATATACAAATAAAATTAATTGGTGTATAGACTATCCTGTAACTTTATTAAATTCCCTTATACATTTTAGTAGTTTGTGTGCAGAAAATTTTTATTTTAAACATCACAATAATATTTTCTGTGAATGAAAAGAGTTACAACTCGTTATCTAATATTTATAGTTTTTTTGTGTACTTTGCTTTATTACACTTGCTAAAATATTAAATAGAAGCATCAAGAGCAGACATTGTTGCCATATCCTCGATCTTAACAGTGTTTAGTGATCTAGCTTTAAGGGCATTGTTTATTGTAGGTTTTCATAGATACCCATTATCTGATTTCAGAAGTATGCATGTATTTCAAGTTTGCTGAATGTTTTGTCATTGTTTTTTACATTATTTTGACTTTTCGATTTTATAGGCGTTATTGAGATAATTATGTAATTTTTTCATTTATTCTGGTAATTCAATGATTACATTTATTACTTTTTGATACTCAGACTAAACTTGTATTTCTGGGACAACAGGACTTATTTATTATTTATTTTATATAGTGCTAAATTTGATTTGCCAATACTTTGTTAAGAAATTTTGTATCTGTGTTCAAGAAGAATATGTTCTGATTTTTTCCTTGTAATATTTTTCATGTTTTGATAGAAAGTGTTATTTTGGCCTCATACAAGGAATTTCTCATTTGGACATTTGTTTTATAATTATCAGTCTGATATTGTTTTTTCTACCCCCTTTTGAGTGAATTGTGCATATTTGAGGTTTGTATATTTTATTTCCTATATTACCATTTTAGCTACATCTCTTTTGTAATTTTTAATGGTTTCTACAAATATTATAATATGCATTTTTATCTTTTAACACCGTAGCTTCAAACAATATCATGCAACTTCATAGACAGTATACAACTTTTACTCAGTTTTTATGTTCATATTGTTCCATTGGTTTTTTTATGTATGACTTAAACACGTTACATTGCTATCATTCTTGCTTTAACCACTTATTAATTTTTCTAAAGTAATTAAGGAATATAGGTATTTCTGCAAATTCCAAGTTATTTTCTATTTCCTATGCTTATTGATCAGTCTCACTCATTTGAAATTCTGTAATTGTGCTTCAACTAAAAGTATTTTTTGAGCATTTTTTATAGCACAAGTCTTTGCGAGTCAAAATCTGTTAGCTTTGTTTGACAATGTATTTGTGAAGGTTATTTACAAAATACAGAATTTCAGTTTCAGAGTTATATTTTATCTTTTAATACCTTAAAGTAACTTCAGAATTATTTATTATTTGTGGTAAGAAGTCTTTATGGGTATCATTTTTCTCCTATACATAAGAGATGTTTTTCTCCCTGACTTCTTTCAAGATGACTTTATCTTTAATTTTTACCAGCTTGTCTGTGATGTGTATATATGTGTGTGTGTGTGTGTGCACATATATTTTGTATTTATGCATTTATCCTGCTTGGAGCATTCAGTAAACTTCTTAGATCTTTGGGTTGATATATTTTCATCAATTTTGTTAAGTTTTTTTGCCATTGTCTTTTAAATATTTCTTCTTCTTTACTGTCTTGCTTTTCTTCTTTTGGGATTTAATTGCACATAGGTTAGATTGATACGTTTTTACATATCTTGGATTCTCTGTTTACTCTTTTCCTTTTCTATTTATATTTTTGTTTGTAAACTTTCTCTTCAAGGATATATTCCTCTTCCTTATACAGTCCCATCTGAAGCTCATGAAATAAATTATATATATCTGATTTTTAATATCTAGCATTTCTATTTGTTCTTCTGTATAGTTCCCATGTCTCAGCTAAAAGCCCCATCTCTTCATTCATTAATTCTTTCCATCTTTTCCGCAAAATTATTTTTAAGTTATAGTTAAATTTGATGTGATAATCCTAATATTTAGGCCATATCTGGATATATTTCTAATAATTATCACTGCTTTTCGGTATGGTACATGCCTTCTTGATTATTAGTATGTTCATTAGGATTTTTGACTACATACTGTAATTATTGCATAAAAGAACAGCAAAGACTGAAGTAAGTAATATTTACCTCTTGTCCTTTCTTATATAGGCTGACAGAATGGAGGATGAGTAAATATATTCGTAGTCTACTGGATTCTGGTTTTTTTTTTTTTTTTTTTTTTAAGCTTAAGTTAGAATCAGCTCACAATCTCTTGAAATATTTTAAGGATGGGGTCAGAACTTTTCTTTTAGCAGGGTTTGGGATCTGAGCTCTGACGAGATTCTGAATTTCTGCTTGTTCTTCTAAGTCGAGTAGCAAGTTTTCAGAAATGTAGGAAATTGCTCCTTTATATACTGCCCTGCTTCTTGTATTTGTGTTGTTGTAGGGTATTGTTTGCTCTCCATTCTCACTCTCCACTTTCTGAGCCTCCAGAGATATTGCTTATCCCTCCTGCCCTGTTTTAGGTTTTCTGACTGTGATCCTTCCCTTGTCTTCTTCAGGTAGCAGTACAGCTTACCTGGGGAGGATTCCCTCAGTTCTGTTCCATCATTAGCCTGAAAGCCTTTTAGAGAGCATCCCTCAGCATTTCTTCCCTGTACCGATTCTGGGATACCATCCAAAAACATTCAATGAAGAACTGCAAAAAAAACAACTTTATTGTTGTGTGGATTCTCGCTCTCTGGCAAGCTATGTAAAATTTTTTTAGTTTGTTTATTTATATGTGAGTTGTATAATGAAAGAAATAGAATATATCAAATAAAACGCTATCAGTCATGCAGTTTAGAGTGAAAAAAAATCTGTGCCATCTTTTGGAGCAAATGCAGTATAAGAAATAACACAACTCAAAAATGGGTTTAAAACATGAAATTACTCCAGAAAGATAGCTAGCATTTAGTGAATATTTTATGAAAATACATAGAAAATGAATACTTTAAGCATCTTTTTAAAAATAGGGGATTCAAAAATAAAACGTTATTTGAGGAGAAATGAAAATGAGATATTTTCTAAAATCATAATGCTTGATTATCTTTTATTCATAATATTTAATTTGTGTTGTCATTACATCTTAAACTTTGAGCTGTTCAGGCAGCTAACAAATTCTTTTGTATTACTGTAAACATTATCATTACTTAAGAAATCACTTCAACAACGCTTAAAATCTGTATGTATTTAATAAGAGGCAACTGAAAATGATGGTTGAAATTCTCACATTTAGGAGAAAAATCTGTAATTACTAAAGACATTTTCTTTTATAACAGGTTATTTGGAATTATTCATTTTGGAAAGAGCTCCTTCAGACATGCATGAAAAACATATACAATAATTTTGAGAAGCTTTTCCTCTTGGCTAAAATCAGGACTAACCATTATAGTGATCTTTAATTGGACGATAGCGTGCTGGGTGTGAACAGTAGTCTAGATAGACGTTAGGAGCTTATGTAATTATTATTTATTTATTTTCTACCAGTTCTAAGAAGGCACAATTGGTTAAGATTAGACCATCAAACTCTGATTAACAGATTTTTAATAATTTTAGGAAATAGATGTTTGAGTTTTGCATATTTTCTATAGCATATAATGGTATATAATAGCATATACTAAGAAAACAAATAAATGTACTGATTTTCTTCAATTCTTTTCATAATTTTTCAGGTTTATCTATCCATACCTCCCTTGAAACACATTTAAAGAACACAGAAAAGCCTTTAGGAACAGATTAGCTTTAATCTTGTGAAAGAGGAGTAACAATAATGCAACACAGATATATAAAACTGCCTCTTGTCTGGGGCCACAATATTCATACTACCTCTGAATCTAAAATGACCCTGTCTGATGTAGAAATTATATTACCGTCATTGAAGTTACCTTCATAATTACTAATATCTATCAAACATCATTGTATTATTACAGCTTAATGTATTCTGAGGTTATTTGAAAAAAAAGTAGTCCAAATATTTTAGCAGATAATAATTCACATTTTCTTCATATTAGCCATAAATATGAATTGATTCTGATTTTTATAAACTAACATGTACATAACAAGTTCAGTAGTGTTTTTATTATGAAAATAGTTTTCTCAGATAAAATGAAGAGTCCTGAGGACAGCTGCAGAAATAGCTACACATGTTAAAGAGGGAATAACATGCTGCATAAGATTAGTATGTCATGCAGTTCTCTTAGCAAGATGTTTCTTAGATTATGTGTGTACACAGAGTGTTTCACCTATAAATTCAGGTTAAGTAGTTTCAGTTGCAAAACCAAGTAGTTCAAATTAAGTAACTACTAAGTTGGAATAATGACTGCCTAAATTGACTAATTGAATATTGAAGTAAGAACAGTTAACCTTCAAATGTCTTGTATGTATATCATCATGACCGTTTATTTTGTTTGTTTTAAAATAAATGTTAAGTTTCTATTCTTATAAAACAGGTTTCTTCTAACTGATTGATATTAATCAAATATTGCCAAGGTTATTATATAGTGGTGCTTACAAAATCCAACCAAATATCCTTTGCATAGAATTGAAGTTGCCTCAGTACCATGCTGTTTTGGTTACCGTAGCCTTGTAGTATAGTTTGAAGTCAGGTGGCATGGTGCCTCCAGCTTCATTCTTTTGGCTTAGGATTGAATTGGCGATGCGGGCTCTTTTTTGGTTCCATATGAACTTTAAAGGAGTTTTTTCCAATTCTGTGAAGAAAGTCATTGGTAGCTTGATGGGGATGGCATTGAATCTATAAATTACCTTGGGCAGTATGGCCATTTTCACGATATTGATTCTTCCTACCCATGAGCATGGAATGTTCTTCCATTTGTTTGTATCCTCTTTTATTTCATTGAGCAGTGGTTTGTAGTTCTCCTTGAAGAGGTCCTTCACATCCCTTGTAAGTTGGATTCCTAGGTATTTTATTCTCTTTGAAGCAATTGTGAATGGGAGTTCACTCATGATTTGGCTCTCTGTTTGTCTGTTATTGGTGTATAAGAATGCTTGTGATTTTTGTACATGGATTTTGTATCCTGAGACTTAGACCAATGGAACAGAACAGACCCCTCAGAAATAATGCCACATATCTACAACTATATGATCTTTGACAAACTTGACAAAAACAAGAAATTGGGAAAGTATTCACTATTTAATAAATGGTGCTGGGAAAACTGGCTAGCCATATGTAGAAAGCTGAAACTGGAGCCCTTCCTTACACCTTATACAAAAATTAATTCAAGATGGATTAAAGACTTACATGTTAGACCTAAAACCATAAAAACCCTAGAAGAAAACCTAGGCAATACCATTCAGGACATAGGCATGGGCAAGGACTTCATGTCTAAAACACCAAAAGCAATGGCAACAAAAGCCAAAATTGACAAATGGGATCTAATTAAACTAAACAGCTTCTGCACAGCAAAAGAAAATACCATCAGAGTGAACAGGCAACCTACAGAGTGGGAGAAAATTTTTGCAACCTACTCATCTGACAAAGGGCTAATATCCAGAATCTACAATGAACTCAAACAAATTTATAAGAAAAAAACAATCCCATCAAAAAGTGGGCAAAGGATATGAACAAACACTTCTCAAAAGAAGACATATATGCAGCCAAAAAACACATGAAAAAATGCTCATCATCACTGGCCACCAGAGAAATGCAAATCAAAACCACAATGAGATACCATCTCACACCAGTTAGAATGGCAATCATTAAAAAGTCAGGAAACAACAGGTGCTGGAGAGGATGTGGAGAAATAGGAACAATTTTACACTGTTGGTGGGACTATAAACTAGTTCCACCATTGTGGAAGTCAGTGTGGAGATTCCTCGGGGATCTAGAACTAGAAATACCATTTGACCCAGCCATCCCATTACTGGGTATATACCCACAGGATTATAAATCATGCTGCTATAAAGACACATGCACACATGTGTTTATTGCAGCACTATTCACAATAGCAAAGACTTGGAACTAACCCAAATGTCCAACAACGATAGACCGGATTAAGAAAATGTGGCACATATACACCATGGAATACCATGCAGCCATAAAAAATGATGAGTTCATGTCCTTTGTAGGGACATGGATGAAACTGGAAACCATCATTCTGAGCAAACTATCACAAGGACAAAAAACGAAACACCGCATGTTCTCACTCATAGGTGGGAATTGAACAATGAGAACACATGGACACAGGAAGGGGAACATCACACACCGGGGACTGTTGTGGGGTGGGGGAAGGGGGGAGGGATAACATTAGGAGATATACCTAGTGCTAAATGACGAGTTAAGGGGTGCAGCACACCAACATGGCACATGTATACATATGTAACAAACCTGCACGTTGTGCACATATACCCTAAAACTTAAAGTATAATAATAATAAAAAAAATTACAAAAGAACATTAAAAAAATAAAATTTACTCATATAATGACTAGTTTTAATACTCTTTAAACTGATTAAATACATCACCAGTTGCTCATCAATGTCTTCCTTGTTCTATGATGAGTTTATGTTCTCTTCATACTTGTTAGTATTTTGTGTCAAATCTGTAAGAATTTAAATATTTCCCCATGTTCATGATTCACTCTTCTTCATTAATTAAATTTATCAAATAAGAACCAAACCATTACTTCTATTCAAAATTTTCCTTCTAATAAATTGTTGCTGTTGGTATGTGCTGAAAATTCTTTTGCTGTAAGGAGCTTCTTGATGTAAGAATAATTTTTATTGATTTAATCATTTAATTGTTTTTTCACGTTCCATTCATTTATTTCTTAGCTTTTCTTCCATTACATCATAAATAAATTTAAAGATGACCAAAAAAAAAAAAAAACAAAAAAGAATTGAAGTTGCCTCAATAAATACCCAGATCTTCATCTAGGTATACATTGTGTTGAAGTATTTGGTTTTTCTCCAAAAACTATATTTAATAAAACACATTGTCAGAGATAAGAAATAAAAATAGAATAAATCAGGAGAAATTTTATGTTGGGAAACCAGAAATAAAAGAAGAAAAATTTTAGAAACTATGTTTAATTCCAGGAAAATGGTTTAGGAACAAAGAAATTATCAAAGCATGATAATGAAGGGCTGAGAGACTAGGCCATACTCAGAAAAATCCAAAGGCCTCATTCTAACTTGCGGATACTCGAGGCATAAGTTGGTATGTGATGAGATTAAGCTGGAGAAATAGGCTTAGACACCAGGTATAATAATTTTCAATTTATTCTAAAATTAAGGTGATTTATTGAAAGATTTTACACATCTAGGTAAAATAATCACTTTTAAAATTTAGAAAGATCACTTGCTTAAATTTTTAGCAAATGCTGACTGAATTTTCAGAGGAAATCCTCCTGCCAGTTTAATACACTGAATATTCCTCCATGAAATATCTTCCATTTTTTTATTCCATGGTTAAAATGGCAGGAAAATCAATTACACAAATGTTAAGAAAGCTTTACTCCAGAAGGAGAGGGGAACTGCCACTGGAGATATCTGGTAGGATAAATCCTGGTTTCTAACAGGCGTCTACCTTGAAATATAAGAGGCAGAGCTTGAATACTGCCAAGACTTTCAGGCCATATTAGAAAGTCCCTCCAATTCCATCCCTCATAAAACTGGAATCCCCAGGAGATATTACTTTGTAGAGAAAAGAAAAAAAATACGGTGGGAATATATGTCTTTCTCAAATTATCTGTAAGTAAAGCAGATAATCTGAAGTAAGCATACATACAATTTCTAACCAATGTCCACATGCACCTGAATTTAGTTTATGAATTCATACTACCTGCATTGTTCAAAGGACACAAAGTTTTATTTTAGTATAGTCCCAAATTGGTGGTGCTTCTAGGTGCCTGACAAACAAATATACTAAAGAAGTGAACTTCAAATGAAAATATCAAGGAATTTCTACCAATAAAAAATCAAACAATATGAGGACATAATATTTTTTAAAATCATAAGGCATATTAATACTTGGGTCAAAATGCTGAGAGATACATAGACATAATAATTATCAAGTACAGAATATTATTTTACTTCCTATGCTTGACAGACTTGACCTTGTTGAATAGCAAATTAGTGAATAAAAAGACATGTCAGAAAAAAATTACCAGAAATAAAACATGTAAAGACAAAGATATAAAATATGAATGAGGGGTTAATATTAAATAACATGGAAGATAATGAGATGAGATAAAAATATCTCTAATTGGATTTTTAAAGCTAGGCAATATAGATCATGTGAAAGCAATAAAGACATGAAGGACACCAATATTCAGATTCAGGATGCTGAATAAAAATAAAACATAAAATTTAAAAAATAAAGATTAGAAAAATGATGTCAACTTTGACACACAATTGAGAAATAACTAAATGACAAGTAGAAGTAAAATTTCTCAAAGGCAGACGCGAGGGTAAAAGCTAACACATTACCTGCAAATAAATGATGATTAGATATCTGGATCACTGATCAAAACTGAAAACAAGGGAATCTGGTAAACATTAAAATAATATCTTCAAAGACCTGAGAAGTTGTGTTAATCTAGTACTATATACTCAGTCAAAATACCTTTTAAAAATGCATGTAAAATAAAGATATTTTCAGACAAGTAAGTAGTAAGTGAGTTTACAATCAAGAGACCTTTCTTAAAATAATTTATAAAGGGTGCACTTTAGGAACAAGGAAAATGATCCTAGAAGGAAGGTCTCAGGTGTGAAAAGGTAAAAGGAGGAAATAAAATGGTAAAGATAGGAAAAATAAATAAATAAAAACCTGCTGGCAGTAGTCCTAAAAAATTTGGTCTCAGAACCTCTTTACACCCTTAAAATTATTACAGATTCCTAATAGTTTTCTTTAAGTGGGTTATATCTATTAATATGTGCAATATTAAAACTAAAACGGATAAATTTTTGAAATATTTACTTACAACCTTATCTGAATATAATAAACTCATTAAATGTTAACATGATATTAGATATGTTTGTGGAGTCCAGCTCCAGGCCAGAATCCAATGGGTTGTATTTCAGGAACAATCATAGGCAGTGACAGAGCTTTCCTGACAAACCTCATGGGAGAAAGCTGCCCTCCTCAAACCTCACTTGGACAGCCAGTGCGTTACAGTTTTCTGGAGGGAGCTGCAGTGAAGGACTCACACCTCCACTCCCACCTCAACCCACTATCATATGCACATCTGCATTCCTCAGGCACCTCTCAGGGGATCTCCACATGGCACTTTTCTTCACTCTAATTTCTTTTCAACTCCTAGCTTTATTCCTCTTGCACCCAACAGCTACCTGAGTCTATAAACAGTCAAGAGCGTTTTGTTCAGGACTCCTGGCAGTAAGGTGAGCTCCTTCCCTTCCCTGTCTGTGCCACATGCCATCCAAATCATACCGCGTTCCTTTCATGGAGAAAAATGACACACTGGGGAGTTGGCACCTTTTTCTTTTGCCCTCCGCCCACACTATTGAAGTAAATAAATAAAGCCTTGATTGTTATTTTTGTTTTGGCTTGTTACCAAAAAAACTTCAGCCGAATTAAAGTTTTAAAAAGTTTAATTGAGCAAAGAACGAGGAGACTCAGAGACTCCAACACAGCCACGTGGTGGGAGAAGCTTTATGGACAGAAAAAGGAAAGTGATGTACAGAAAACAGAAGTGAGGTACAGAAACAGCTGTATTGGTTGTAGCTCGGCGTTTGCCTTATCTGAACACGATTTGAACAGTGGGTCACATCTGATTGGCCAAAACTCGGTGATTGGCACAGGAGTAGGCTACACTCTGTTTACAGTTCCATTTAGGTTATATTTCACGACGTGCAGAGAAACCCTTTAGGCTGAACTTAAAATATGTAAGGAGGAAAAGTTAGGCTAAACTTGATTTAGGGCCACTTATCTAAATCTACCACCTCAGCACCCTGGCAGCTGGATAAGTTACTACATTGAGTTGGGTGATCTACTGAGAACAATGCCCTTCTGGAAGAGCAAAACATTTGAGAGTTCTATGAGGCACTCTTACGGAATGCTGGTGGATTTGGATTTGCAAGAGCCCCTGGGTCTGGCGAGGTACCTCACCAATAAGTTCAGAGGAGTGTTAACAGATGTCAAGGGATATTTCAGCAGTCATGTGAACGGGTCTTAGGGAGTGTTCCAAATTTACAGAAACGTCCTGAAGGGGACTCCATGGAAACTCAGCTGATGTGTCAAATTAGAGATCTAACAGGTTCTTAGAGAGGTAGGGAAGCAGTCTTCTAGCCATTACAAAAAAAATCCTCTGGTGATGGGACCAAAAAATGAGGGAGACCCCACCAGCTGAGCTGTGCTCAACAACTATTTTTTTTTTTTTTTTTTTTTTTTTTTGAGACGGAGTCTCTCTCTTTCGCCCAGGCCAGAGTGCAGTGGCGCGATCTTGGCTCACTGCAAGCTCCGCCACCTCCTGGGTTCACGCCATTCTCCTGCCTCAGCCTCCCGAGTAGCTGGGACTACAGGCGCCTGCCACCACGCCTGACTAATTTTTTGTATTTTTAGTAGAGACGAGGTTTCACCGTGTTAGCCAGGATGGTCTCGATCTCCTGACCCTGTGATCCGCCCGCCTTGGCCTCCCAAAGTGCTGGGATTGCAGGCATGAGTCACTGCACCCGGCCTCAACAACTGTTTTTAACTCTAAGCAGATTATTGGTACCAGTAAATGCCACATGGTGCAGTGGATTGTTGAAACGTAAGTGGAAAAGAGTGTAGAGATGTATAGGATTTCATGTAGCCTGTGTCCTGAAGAGACCCTGAGAGACTCCGTTTGTTAGTTTACACAACAAAGGGGATAGTCTTAATTAAACTTATCAAAAAAGGTAGTGACATGTGGGTATGCTACTGCATACCTGCTCCTTCAGAGTGCCCTGACAGCAGCCACAACAAGAGAACAGAGAAAAAGCAACAGAGCACCATGCCCTAGTCTGTCAGTGTCCATGGCACAGTGGCTCCTGGCCACTCCCTCCTAAAGATCGACCAGAATAGAGTGGAGTAGTAAGCATGGCGGCCATGTCCCCCTCCTCTCTCCAAACAACCTCTACCACTGCATAGCCCGGCACATAGGCACTGCGATGGTGTTCAGACCAGCAGCAGCCTTCTGGGCACCACTGTCCCAGGAACATCCCAGACTGTGTCCAGATTAGGCCCCCCTGCATCACCCCCAGGGATCCTGGGCATGAAACTGGGCTACCCATCCTAGGTCCGTTGCCCCATCCAACTCTCTACACCCTCCCATTCTAGAAAACTTGTGTCCAGTTTCAAAGCAAAAATTGCAAGAGACCATTAAACAAACAAGGAAGACGTTCCAAGTTGATTACAATAGGGGAGAAAGGCCAGAACTCAGTCTGAGCTCAAGTCCACCAAAAAAAAAAAAAAAAAAGGCTTAAAAGTTTTTTGCTTTCTTTGTTTTAGCCACTTCATTGAATAATAATTGATATAGAAAAAGTTGTACATAGCTAATGTATACAACTTGATGGGTTTGCATGGACAGAGCCTCATGCAGTGTGGTTAGCTATCCAAGCCACCCCAGCAAATGAGCTGTGCTGTGTTCACTGACTTATGGGCCAAAGCTAATGGCCTGGCTATTTGATTGGAACACTAGTAGGCCTCAAACTTTAAGCCCTTCTTTGAAGATGAGACTTTTGTATAAGAGAGATTCCGTCTCTACTAAAAATACAAAAATTAGCCGGGCATGGTGGCGCGCGCCTGTAGTCCCAGCTACACGGGAGGCTGAGGCAGGAGAATGGCGTGAACCCGGGAGGCGGAGCTTGCAGTGAGTCGAGATCGCGCCACTGCACTCCAGCCTGGGCGACAGAGCGAAACTCCGTCTCAAAAAAAAAAAAAAAAAAAGAGAGAGATTCTGCTCTAATTAGTTGTTACCCATGTGTATCTTCATCAGAAAGGCCCCTATATTGACTAACGAAAAGAAAAATCAATGAGCAGACAACACTTGTTACCCAAATGTGGAGACTGAATTGTTCTTCCTTAGCAAGCAGATGTGTGACCAGTTGCCTCTTGGATTCATTAAAGAACGCCCACAGGAATTCAAACATCATTTAGGGCTGGGCCTACAGACGTGGACAGACTCTGTTATCAGAACATCCCAAAACAGCATGGAAAAACTGCCCCACCTGCAAGATCCTGGCCAAGCCTAAAAGACTTGGCTAAAAGGCAAGGCTACAAGGCTACTGCTTGTAGATAAATCTCACAAGACAAAATGCTGGGGTATTTTTGTCTGGTCAATTGCATTGGGCCTTTTGCCCCTTCAGAGGGTTCTATTAGATCCTGACTGGAGTTGACACATTCTCTAGTTTGACCTAGTTATCCCTGTATGTTTTGCTGATTTAAGACACACTATCCAGGCCTTAAAAGACTACATTTGTTTTCTATTTGGGTTCCCTGGAATATTTCATCTGGAAACACCCTCAGGTTTGAGGCTGAAGATGCACATCAATGAGCCCAATCATGGACCATAAAATGTGCTCTCTATGCTACATGTTACTTCAAGACACAGAGGCAGTTGAGTATTTAAATGGACAATTAAATGGAAGACTTAAGCAGGGGACATGATAATCCCAGCCCAGACTACACATCCCAGGCAAGCAGAATGGAATCTCAATCCAGCAATTCCTCAAATGAGTAATACTCATTTATACCACATTTGGCCTGGCTACCCCCCTCCCCCTGACCCATTTTTTTTTTCAATTATTCACACTTTAGTCTCCATGGTGAGCCCTGAAAGTCTCTTCAAACCATTTTAACTGCTTCCTGAAAACTCAATTCTATGGGAAATCAGAAGGGCTATTAAACAGTAAATGGTGGTAGACAGCAATCTCCTCTATTTACCCCCTGGGTGAAAAGCATAAATTTTGCCCACAAGGATCTCAAGAATAATGACAAGCAATTTAAAATCTGTAGTTGAACATTTTCCTTAAAGTGGCCATGCTGCTTTTCCTGGATAGTCCCATGGGATGAATATCAATATATACAGTTAAAAACTTTTATTGACCCACAAGAGATCCCAAGCCAGAAAGTTTGGACTCATGGCCATGAGGGCAGGATCTGGGGCAATATGCTTGCCCATGGTAATGAAAGATTGCCCATGTAATAATCAATGAGAAGGAGTTCACTATACTGATAGAACATCAGCACCTTTGAACCCTAAGACCTAGAAACGGGAGGCTAGGAGGAAGGGATCTTAACATTCTCCCCTTTCTCCCTCACATAGTAGCCCTTGTGACTTTGGCCACATCACAATCATTGGTAAGCCTTCCCAGGGAGTTGCTATCACCCTGAATTTAATGAGCTGTTAAATGCATCTCACAGATAAATATCTGAATACTGTGCCACCAAATACTGATTACTAAATACTGAATAGTGATGCCAAATATCATTGATATGGTTTCGTGCTGTGTCCCTACCCAAATATAACCTTGAATTGTATTAATCCCCAAGTGTAAAGGGTGGGGCCAGGTGGAGATAATTGAATCATGGGAGCAGTTTCCCCCATACTGTTCTTATGCTAGTGAATAAGTCTCACGAGATCTGATGGTTTTATGAATGTGAGTTCTCCTGCACAAGCTCTCTCTTGTCTGCTACCATGTAAGACATGACTTTCCTTCTCCTTCACCTTCTGCCATGATTGTGAGGCCTTCCCAGCCATGTGGGACTGTGAGTCCATTCAACCTCTTTCCTTCATAAATTGCCCAGTCTTGGGTATGTCTTTATTAGCAACATACAGTAAATTGGTGTCAGGTAGAGGGGCTCTGCTGTAAAGATACCCAAAAATGAGGAAGAGAATTTGAAACTGGGTAACAGGCAGGGGTTAAAACACTTTGGAGGGCTCAGAAGAAGACAGGAAAATGTGGGAAAGTTTGGAACTTCTTAGAGATTTGGAGGGCTCCAAAGACAGAAAGATGTGGGAAAGTTTGGAACTTCCTAGAGACTTGGTGAATGGCTTTGATCAAAATGCTGATTGTGATATGGACAATAAGGTCCAGGCTGAGGTGGTCCCAGATGGAGATGAGAAACTTGTTGGGAACAGGAGTAAAAGTCCCTTTTGCTATACAGAGAAACTGGTGGCATTTGCCCCTGCCCTAGGAATCTGTGGAACTTTGAACTTGAGAGAGATGAATTAGGATATCTGGTGGTAGAAATTTCTAAGCTGCAAAGTGTTCAGGAGGAAGAAGAACATACAAGTTTGGAAAATTTGCAGTCTGATGATGCAATAGAAAAGAAAAAACGATTTTCTGGGGAGAAATTCAAGCCTGCTGCAGAAATTTGCATGAGTAACGAGGAGCTGAATGTTTATCACCACAGCAATGGGGAAAATGTCTCCAGAACATGCCAGAGACCTTTGCAGCAGCCCCTCCCACCACAGGCCCAGAGGCCTAGAAGGAAAAAATGGTTTTTCAGGCCAGACCCAGGGTCTCCCTACTGTGTGCAGCGTAGGGACTTGGTACCCTGCATCCCAGGTGCTCCAGCCATGGCTAAAAGGGGCCAAGGTAAGGTTCAGTCCATGGCTTCAGAGAGCACAAGCCCCAAGCCTTGGCAGCTTCCATGTGGTGTTGAGCCTATGGGTGCACAGAAGTCAATAATTGAGGTTTGGGAACTGTATTAGTCCATTTTCATGCTGCTGATAAAGACATAACTGAGACTGGACAATTTACAAAAGAAAGAGGTTTAATTGAACTTACAGTTCCACATGGCTGGGGAAGCCTCATAATCATGGCAAAAGGCAAAGAGGAGCAAGTCCCATCTTACATGGATGGTGGCAGGCAAATAGAGAATGAGGAAGATGCAAAAATGGAAACCCATGATGCAACCATCAGATCTCATGAGACTTATTCACTACCATGAGAACAGTATAGGGGAAACCACCCCCATGATTCAATTATCTCCCACCAGGCCCCTCCCACAACACATTAGAATTATGGGAGTACAATTCAAGATGAGATTTGCTTGGGGACACAGAGCCAAACCATATCATTTCACACCTGACCCCTGCCAAATCTCATTTCCTCACATTTCAAAACCAATCATGCTGTCCCAACAGTTAGTTCCCCAAAGTCTTAACTCATTTCAGCATTAACTCAAAAATACACAGTCCAAAGTCTCATCTGAGACAAGGCAAGTGCCTTCCATCTATGAGCCTGTAAAATCAAAAGCAAATTAGTCAGTTCCTAGATACAATGAGGGCACAGGCATTGGGTAAATATGGCCATTCCAAATGGGAGAAGCTTGCCAAAGACACATTTCTCCATTGTGACTCAGTATTTTTCAATTCCTAGTCCTTCCCTTCTCCCGCTTTCAAGCCTGCTGTGTCTATCAAAGATAATGTTCTTTTTCTTGGGACTCTTCAGTAGTGAGTAACACATTCGTCCCACCACCCCACCTGTGCTGCATGTCATGTGACCCTTACTCAGTGCCATTCTCTGTGGGAAATACAATAACGCAAAGCTGGCACCCTTTTCTTTTGCATTTTGCCTACACATTGCAGCAGGTTAATAAAGCCTTGATGGTTACCTTCAGATTGGCTCATTGTCTTACTTGACCACTTCAACACCTAGCTACTCAAAAATATGTTATCAAAAATAACTAGATTTTCCAAAAGTTTAGTGAGGTAATTATTAGGGAAATGCAAAGCACAACTACAATGAGATCCCCCTTCATACCTATTCAGATGGACACTATCAAAGACACAGAACATAAATGTTGGTGAGGATGCAGAGAAAACCCTTATGCACTGTTGGTGGGAATGTAAAATGATACAGCCCTTGTGGGCTGTCTACTGAAACAGTGTAACGGTTCCTCAAAAAATTAAACATATAACGTCTATGTGATCCAGGATCCCACTTCTAGATATATGCTCAAATGAATGGAAAGCAAGCTCTAAAAGAGATATATGTAAACCCATGTTCACAGCAGCATTAGTCACAATTGTTGAAATGTGAAAGCAACCCCTGTGTCCATGAACAGATGAATGGATAATCAAAATGTGATCTATCCATATAATGGATATTATTCAGTCTTAGAAATAAAGGAAATTATCAAGTACACTATGACACGGATGAAGGTAGGGTACATTATGCTAAGTGAAATAAACCAGTCAGAAAAAGACAAATACTATATGTTTCCAGTTATATTAGATACTTAGGGTGGTAAAAATCATAAAGACAGAAAATAGAATAGTGGTTGGCAGGGGGTAGGAGGAGAGAATGAGGAATTATTATGTAATGTGTACAGAGTTTCAGTTTTCCAGGATGAAACAAGTTATAGAGTTAGATGTTGGTGACCGTTTTATAAAACTACCACTGTATTATATTCCATTGACTTGTACACTTAAAAAGAGTTAAGATAGTAACTTTTATGTTACATATATTTTATGACAACGAAAAATGGAAGTTTAGTGACAAGAATTGTTTAGGGAGAAGAAAAAAGTTTAGTAAGAAAAAATGTACATTTTCCAAGATTCTTAAATTTCTAGATTAATGGAAGACAATTGTATTCCTCACATCTGCTTCTGTTTTCAATCTGCTCAACTGGAGTGTATGAAGATATTTTGGCTTCCTATAGACACATTGTTGGAAAGAAACGGGGCGAACATTTAATCAGACTTTTCAGTTAATTGTGAATTTTTGAATTAATATTGTACAAAAAGTTAAGTGGTATTTTTTTAAAGATTAATTGCTGCTTGGAGTCTGGAACCATATCAGTGAAGTTTTGGTATTCTGTTATGCTAAAATCTCTTGGTCTCTCTTCAAATTTGAGTGGTTCTTTCACCCATGCCTGATTTCGTAACGTGAATTAGTTATCTAAAAGTATCAGTTCCCTAACTTATGCAGATTTTACAAATATTGACACATTTCATTGTATAATAGTAAAACTCATGTTCACCTATTTAACCATGAATCTGATCAGAAAAGTCCTTAAGTTTTGGGAAAGTGTCAAACACGATGTTAGATACAAGTTTCCTATCATTCTAGGTTTTTTGTTTGTTTGTTTTTTGAGAGCTCAAATTTTATCATTGGCAATATTGTGAGTAGTTTCCCTTGAAGTGGCAGATTTACTCTGTTGATTTAGTTCTTCACAAAAGAACGATATTCCATTCAAAAAAAAAAAAAAAAAAGCAGCTAGTTTAGCTCAATAAAACTAGTCACACAACTGTTTTTCCTTGAAATAATAATTACACTTCAGTTTACAGCAGAAATCCTTTATACATGTTTTTCATTAATCCAAAGCATATTAAAAATGTACTCATGTCAATATTTAATGAAAGTGAATAATATTTTACTGATTAATCAAAGACATTCTTAGTGAAAATGACTTTTTTTTTAACAGTGTGTACATTGTGATGAAGACTATAATGGCTGCTCATATTATTTGGTAACACTTCCTTGATTCTTGCTAAGATGTCAGTGGTTTTCCCCACTATTACTTTTGCACAATTAGTAAAAATTCCAAGATGCCAACACAGTGAAAAGGGCAAATGACATCTTGACATTGTTATGATATTTGTATATTTGTTTTGAGATCGCCAAAACCCTGAAAATGTCTCAGGGACCCCCCAGAGTTCCACAGACCACACTTTGAGAAAAGTGATCTAGGCTTTAAAGAGGGCAGATTGAGTATGCATTATATCCCTTTGCTTATTTGGCAAATTCCACTAAATAACAGAAAAGTGTTTCTTAGGAATGTATTAAAAATGTCAAAGAGAATAGGAAAGGATACAACAATAATATTGTTTTGGAAGCTGGAGATGGATGAATGATGACAGCTGATGTCACAGATTAGAGAGAGCTAAAGCTTAAGCCAGAGTGGAGAAAGTGGAGAAGTCATCTTTTTATCAATGAGCTCCAAAAGAGTTCAAGAAAGGCAAACTTGTGAACATCTTTAGGTTAAAACATGAGGACTAATGAAAAGCACTTTTAAATTTTATTGCATATCCCAGATTCCTTTTCTCACACCATCTATGTATGTGATTACCTAAGCAGAAGCCAGATTTATTTTCTAGGAGAGTAAAATGGTAGATCCCTGGAGCAGGGGGTATCAGAAACAGGGACTATCAGGGTGAAGATTAATGTGCTAAAAACAGGGTATTGAATGTATATCTATTTAATGAATGCTTAGATTTTCTTCAGCTTCTAAAATGCTTCCATCTAGGTCTATAATCTACAAGGAAGAAAAATAAATGAACTGTCAAAGGGAACCTGTCAAGTCGCATAGGAAAGGGGCAAGATTCAGACTTCTTCAGTGGTTCTCCAAGTGAAAAGGGCCAGTCAGATTGCCCAACTATGAGGCTCATGATATACAAGTTTCTAATCAGATTTTTATTAGCCTATAATTAAATTATATCATTTGGGTAAAATTCTCACTGTCTTTATTTAAATAGTTGAAAAAATTCATGAGTGAAGTCTGGAGTTTACTGTCTTGGAATGTTTTTAATTATGAATGCAATTCTCTTAAAATACATAAGATGATTGAGTTTATATGTTTCTATTCTGTCAGCTTTGTTTTGTTTTTCAAATGAATATTCTATTTCAGTAAATTTTTTGGCATAAAATTGGCATTGCTCACTTATCTTTTCATATCTGAAAGATATGTGTTCATTTCCACTTTTCATTTTCAACATTGCTAGCTCTCTCTTTTTTTCTCTTTCATTAAACAGCCTTGATAGCATTTCGTGAATTTTATTGATATTTCCAAAGAACAAATTCATGTGGTTATTGATTTTCTTTCATATATATTTTTTCCTTTTTATGATCTCTGGCCTTATCTTTCCTAATACTCTCTTTGGGTTTAATATACTGCCCTTTTTTAGCTTATTGAGATGAGAGACTGGATAATTCATTTTATTCTGTCTCCTTTTAGGATGTGACATTTAAGTAACTCTAAGCCCCAATTTGCCTGAATATCATAAGTTCTAATTATCATTCAGATTATTTATTTATTCATTATTAGATGATTCAAAATATCTTTGAATTTCATAGTTACTTCCTCTTTGATCCATGGTTTATTGAAATATGCACCAATTAATTTACTGACATCTGAGTACTTTTTAGTTACTAGTTCTGCTATTGATCTTCTGAAAATTCCCATCCTTTGCAAGTTTTTGAGGCTACTATGTGACTCAAGATGTGGTCAGCTTTAGCAAGTGATATGTTGGCTCTGAAAATAATATTGCATCTGCCATTGCTGGGCAAAGTGAATGTATATTATCTATACATTATATCTGTATTCATATCTATATCTATCTGCCTACTTATCTATGACGGTTAAATTATACAACCCTTTTTTTTCTCTGTCTATAGCTTGTAGATGCCAGATTGTGGAATTTAACCTCCATAATCACATGAGTCAATTCCTTATAATATAAACCTTCCCCCCTCCACCGTCTCCTGCTCTCTCTTTCTCCTGCTTTCGCTCTTTCTCCTGTTCTCTCTCTCTCTCTCTGTGTGTGTGCATGTGTATGTGTGTGTGTGTGTGATTTTTTGTGGGAAATTTTCAAAAATGGAATTAAAAAATAAAAGCTATAAACTTTATTTCCAAACATAAGCTCCATTAAGGTCAAGAAACTTTGGTAAGCAATGATACCAGCCATTTAGTCAATTTCCAAAGAACCGAGGGCCCTGGGAATTTAACTATGTCAATGAGGTCTTTTTTACATTATCAACTGAAGAAAAAATAGGTGCCCTTTACAGATTTTTTAAGATTAAGAAACAAAGAGAAGTCAGAAGGAGCTAAATCATGACTGTAGAGTGGGCACCTAATGATTTCAAATTGAAACTCTCACAAAATTCCCCTTGTTTGGTGAGAGAAGGGAGCAGGAGCAATGTTGTAATGGGGAAGGAGTCTGTGGTGGAGCTTTCCCAAGAGGTTTTCTTCTGCTAAAGTTTTGGCTGAGTTTCTCAAAAGACTCTCAAAACAAGCAGATGTTATTATTATTTGGAACTCCAGAAAGTCAACAAGCAAAATGCCTTGAACCTCTCAAAAGGCTGTTGCCATGACCTTTGCTCTTGACCAGTCCACTTTTGCTTTGACTGGACCACAACTTCCACCTCTTTGTAGCTATTGCTTTGATTGCTCTGTCTTCAGGATGATATTGGTAAAACCATGTTTTATCTCCTGCTACAGTTCTTCAAAGAGGTGCTTCATGATTTTGATCCCAGGTTTTAAACATTTTCATTGAAAGCTCTGCTCTTGTCTGCTCAGGATGCAATGGTTTTGGCATCCATTGAGTGGAAATGTTTTTTAACTTTAATTTTTTAGTCAGAATTGTGTAAGCTGAACCAATTTACATATCTATGGTGTTGGTTATTGTTTCTGCTGTGAATCCTTGGTCCTCTTCAGTTAAGGGCTTTTCTTCCTGGAAAATGGATGTGGATAGTCTGCTGCTGCAGGCTTCATCTTCAACATCATTTATCCCTCCTTAAAATGAGTTATACATTTGTAAACTGATAATTTCTTAGGGGCATTGGTCCCATAAACCTTTCATAAAACATCAAGGATTTCACCATTTTTTCACCCAAGCCTCGCCATAAATTTGATGCTTGTTCTTGCTTCCATATTAGCAGAATTCATGTTGCTCTAGTAGGGGCTCTTTTCAAACTGGCGTCTTATACTTCTTAGTGCCTCAAACTAGACTTTGTTTGGATATGTCACAAAAAGTTATTAAAAATTTATTCTCATCTAAAACTTTGAAATGTATGCATGGTTTTCTCTTAATATACATTTTTTGATGAACTTTTTGGATAGATTATAGATCTATCCAAAAATGAATAGATTAGATGGATAGATAGATAGATATCAAATAGGTCAATTGGGTCAAATTTTTAACTGTGCTGTTCATCATATCTTTATATCATTAACAATTTTTTCTCATTTTTCAACATGTCTTGTGATAGACAGTAGGTGTTAAAGCCCACCATGATGACCACTTTTACTTTTTGTTCTGTCAATTTTTTCTTTCGGCGGAAGGAGTGTAATCCTCTAATGGAAGAATAATATTTTTAAAATAAGGGCTTAAGTTTTATATATATAATATATATCATATATTATATATTATACATAATATATGTACTATTATATGATATATATTAATATGTGTATGTATATTGTTATTTATATTATATATTATTTATACTATATTAATATTATATTACATTATGTATTATACATAATATAGTGAGAGTGCAGTAAATTTTCCTAAACTGGACCCACCTATTTACCAAGCACTCAACTCAGTAAACCACACTGCCAGCATTCCAGAAGGTCTTTTCAGGCCCACTTCAAACAATTTAACTTCTGTCTCTTCAAGGTACCCACCATGCTGATTTTCATCACCAAAGATGTATTTTGTTTGTCTGTTAACTTTCTATAAATGAAATTATAAATACATATTTATTTATGTCTGGCATTTTTGTGCAACATTAAGTGCACCAGTTTTTCTATAATGAGTTTTACTGTATGTAGTTGTACTTTGTTCATATTCCTTGACATATAGTATTCAGTATTCTACTTTGTGAGTCTCCACAATACAAGTGTACATTTCTATCTTCCTTCATAGAAACATTTGTCCTTATTTCATAGAAAATATGAGGAAGTTTTACTGTAGTGTTTTTATTTTTTAAATCTCACTGTAAATATCAGTTCAATAGTAGAAGGTAGGATAAGTTGAAGGAAGAGAGATGCATTAATCAAAGTGGTGAAGAAGTGCCTTGACTACAGTCCCAGCTACTTGGGAGGCTGAGGCAGGAGAGTAGCTTAAACCCAAGAGACAGAGGTTGAGGTGAGCTGCGATCGTGCCACTGCACTCCAGCCTGGGTGACTGAGTGAGACTCCGTCTCAAAAAAAAGAAAAGAAAAGAAAAGAAGAAGAAAAAAAACAGTATCAAATAATTCCTCTGGACAGTGGTAGAAAACAACATATTTTGTCACAATATTTTTCTCCTTTGGAAAAAAAAAAAAAATCCCTGGTTTTTCTTGTAGTTTTGATTTCATGATGAACTATGACTTGATAGGAAAGTAAGGCTTTTATATTTCACCCTAGCAACGTTTTTTGTTTGTTTGTTTTTTTGTTTTGTTTTGTTTTTTTGAGATGGAGTTTCGCTCTTGTTACCCAGGCTGGAGTGCAATGGCACAATCTCTGCTCACTGCAACCTCCGCCTCCCGGGTTCAAGTGATTCTCCTCAGCCTCCTGAGTAGCTGGGATTACAGGCATGTGCCACCATGCCCAGCTAAATTTGCATTTTTAGTAGAGACGAGGGTTTCTCCATGTTGGTCAGGCTGGTCTCAAACTCCCGACCTCAGGTGATCCACCCGCCTTGGCCTCCCAAAGTGCGGGGATTACAGGCGTGAGTCACGGCTCCCAGCCACCCTAGAAACATTTTTAAAAATCCTGGAGATAATTTATTCGTATAATTTACAAAACTGTATTGAACCTATATTATATGTTAGGAACTTAGCTACAGCATTTTTAAAGATGAATAAAACATAATACAATTCAGATTCTTCATGTAGGAATAACAATCTAAAGGCCTGCAGAGCCAACAGTTTAGTATTGAGCATACTGCTGTGAGGTTTCCCAAAGAAGGTTATAACTAAGCTGGGTGTTGAAAGAGGAGCAGAAGTTTTGCAGGCAGAAAGACAGAAAATGGCATTCAATAAAGAATATCATATGCATGTCAAAGCATGTGTCATCAGTTTGTAATAGTCAGCTAGAAGAGGTCAGAATCTCAAGCTTACTGGAATCACTAATGTGGTTTGAGAGAAATGAGACAGAACCAAATTGCAAAGGGATTTGTCTACATGACATAATAAAAAGCTAGAACTGTATCTTCTAAGTAATGCAAGTCCACTATTAAGTAGAAGAATAAAGCTATCTTTATAGTTTCATTTACATTTCTATTTCTTAACTCTTCTAAGTCTAAACTTTTATTTTGTGTTTTCATTGGCTTTTATTCATATTAGTCAGCTACACATTTTTAAAGCAACTAAGTAGTCATTTCCCAGCCCTGTGATACTTAGGCATAGGACATGGGACCAGTAAAAGAGAGATGGGAAACATGCAGTTAGAAAATTAGAACCTGAGTCAGAACCAACCTTCATTCCTCCCTATCCTCCTCCCAACCACCCACCCTCCTTTCCTCACTTTTCTTTTCTTTTCCTCCTCCTCCTCCCTCCCTCCTTTCCTTCCTTCCTTCTTCCTTCCTTCCTTCCTTCCTTCCTTCCTTCCTTCCTTCCTCCCTCCCTTCCTCCCTCCCTCCCTCTCTCCCTTCCGTCCTTCCTTCCTTCCTTCCTCCGTTTGTTTTTTTCTCTCTCTCTCCCTCTCCCTCTTTCCTTCCTTGCTTTCTTACCACAAATATCTATTCCAGGCATTCTATATTGCCAGTCAACGTTTTATACATCTGTAATCCAGAAGTTATCTTTTGATAAAGGGGAACAAAAAATAAATAATGGGTAAATATATGATTGATCTAGTTCCAGTTTAATGCCTGAAACAAGTATAATCTCTGTGTAACATTTAGATTGAGGCTTTTGGAGTAAACTGACCTTTCATTCAGTTCCATTTTTACCACAATCATGTGACCACAAGCACATTACTTAAACTGTCTGGATGGAATTCAGTGTCCCAATTTATATAAGGGTGAATCTTTACTTAATATATATGTTTGGATATTAAATAATGTAATATTTTAACATGTCTGATATATAAGTACACATGTTACTTATTAAAATACATTTATTATGTATTTATTGAATAATTCTGAGTAGACTATGAAGAAAACTAGAAAGTTTGCTTTATTGAAAATTAAGAAAATGAAAAAGCTTGAAGAAAAAAAGATTTCCACAAAGAAAAAACACTTTTTACAAACTTTTGCCATTCTCGATTTTTACATTTCTATTTCTTCCTCTTCTTTAAACTTTTATTCTCAGTCTTTTCATTGGTTTTTCTTCATATTAGGGAATTTAGCAACAATACCATGTGTTACAAGTCCCCCTAAAACTCAGAGACTTATCAATGTATACTTTTATTTTACAATTACTGAGTTATCTCACTCTTAGATAAATGAAGTGATTTATTTTGTTTAAGTATTAGAAAACCAGAACTTGATTAGTCAATTAGAAGTGGCAAATATCTTCAATAAATTTTTGATTGCATCACTGACACTTTTCAATTATTTCTACTGTGTTTTTTAAAACTCTGAGAGGCATGAGCAAAATAATACTATTTCAGCATTAACTAAAATTCTAGTTCACACACTCATCTTTAGTAACCACACTGTCCAACAATACATTGAAAAAGTGATTCACTATAACCCAGATCAATAAAGTCATTAATCACTTCTTCTCTATAGGACAGATGATAAATCAGCCTATTGCACAAGGGAAAATTTGACCCCTTGTTTTCCTAGAAGTTTAATATATGTATTAAATATATTTAATATATTACACATTAAGTTTATATATAATACCTTTGTTATATTAATTCTTTAATATCCACTGACTAGATAAGCCATTTTATATCACTGAGATTTTATATTTTATTCCTTTTTTTACTTTTATATTCAATGCTTAGAATAATGCCTTCTACAGTGTAAATACTATTTTTAAATGAATGAATTGCCAATAATTTGTGTAATTAACATGTATTGAAAGCCATTCATCTATGTAACAAAAGCCATTGTCTATACTTAATACATAGTGATATGTATTAAGACATTGACCTATTGTTAACTCATTGATCACTGGCTCATCCATACTACTGGCCCATCCATATTATCTTTACTATTTCCTGCAGTTTAGTAGTTTTAGTTTACAGTTTAGTACAAAATAGTAAAGAGATATACAAATATAATACATGGGAAAAACACGCCTATAATGAAATTAATATAGATAAAAGCCTTTAGGAATTCTGAAGAGGTAATGATCATCTTATTTGGGTAAAGAAAAATTGGTCATCATATGTGAAAAAATAGGCCAATAGACAACATTTGGAAACAGATGTTAATATATATAAAACATGGCTTATTCATATTAAATTGCAATATATTATCTTTCCAATGTGTTGTTGCTCATTAGCAATGCATAGTTAAACGTGATTTGCAAAATTGAAAGGAATGCAGTTCATTACCATAATATTAACAATTTGGTCAAATGAATCTGTGAAATTCTACTGTAAAAATTTTGTCTGAGGCCGGGCACGGTGGCTCAAGCCTGTAATCCCAGCACTTTGGGAGGCTGAGGCGGGTGGATCACTAGGTCAGGAGATCGAGACCATCCTGGTTAACACGGTGAAACCCCGTCTCTACTAAATATACAAAAAATTAGCCGGGCATTGTGGTGGGCGCTTGTAGTTCAAGATACTCGGGAGGCTGAGGCAGGAGAATGGCGTGAACCCAGGGGGCGGAGCTTGCAGTGAGCCGAGATCACGCCATTGTACTCCAGCCTGAGAGACAGAGCGAGACTCTGTCTCAAAAAAAAAAAAAAAAAAAAAAAAAAAATTGTGATTTTCACCAGACCGGAAAAAAAATGTTTATCTTTAGTATTACCTGAAAGGCAAAATGAAGGTATAAAATCTATAAAGAAATATAATATTATTTATTTTTCTAGATTGCATGGCTACTATGCTCAGGCAAAATAGGTTTTATCAAGCTTTGGCTATATGCTATCACCTTTGAGATAAGATTTATAATTTTCCTTAACATATACAATACTTATTTATTTTGATTGTTCTTTCAACATATGAAAAACACATGTTAACATTATCAAAAGCCAGTTCCTTACTTATGTGCTTATACTTTTGAATCAGTTACAGTAAACCTTGGTGCTAATTATTGGTTGTATAAACATAGGTAAGTTCACAATCTTACTGAACTTCAGTATTTGAAACTAAAAAATGAGAAATATATACAATGTATAAAATTATTGAGATTGTTAAATTAGACACTTTGTCTAAAGCATATGCCACAAATGCTGGCATATATTAATTACTCATTTTACATTATTTATTTTATTATTATTATTATTATTGTTTTTTGAGATAGGGTCTCACTTCTTCACTGAGACTGGAGTGCAGTGGCATATTCTTGGCTCACTGTAATCTCTGCTTTCCAGGTTCAAGTGATTCTCCTGCCTCAGCCTCCCAAGTAGCTGGGATTACAGGCATGCACCACCACACCTGGCTAATTTTTGTATTTTTAGTAGAGACGGGTTTTCGCCATGTTGGCCAGGCTGGTCTTGTACTCCTGGCCTCAAGTGATTCACCTGCCTTGGCCTTCCAAAGTGCTAGGATTACAGGCATGAGCCTTTAAGCCAGGCATATATTGTTTATTTTAAAGATCAAATGCTTACAGTGATAATACTCTTTTTTACTAGAGATTATTTTGCTCCTCTCAAAATCACATCCTTTTTGGAGATCTTTCCCAGATAAGCATATTTATATTTTATACTGTTTATGATGACTTCTATTAAATAAATCAGATTTCATCATTAAAATATAAACAAAAACAACGTTAAAACCCAGTATCTGGTTGGTCACAAGCACTTGCTGTATTTTTCTTCACGGCTTTTAAAATTCCTGAAATATGGCATGTTAAATTGAAGCTAACCTCACTGACCAAAAACTTTTTTGATAATATTTAAAATGAAATAATCTATTTTTCCCACTTTCATTAAAAAAATTAGTATCTTTTAAATTCAGAATATTGTCTTTGGTAACCCAAGAGACTTGTTTACTAGGTCAGGTTTCCCTCATATCTAGAACACACAGACCTGATGCTTCACTGTTGCATCAAACTTAGTTAATATCTGTAATTAATTCTGTAATTAAATTTGTAATTTTCTTTCTTTTCTTCTAAAATATATACTCCGTGAATGGAATATCTGTATCTTTCTTTTATGTCTCAGTTGTTTAATAATAGAAAGAAAATATTGAATAATTATATTTTATTTAATCATTTAAAAAAATTGTTCCTACCCCTAAGAGGTGAATGCACATATACGTCTATGATTGTATGACAATGTCTATGTAAAGGAACTGAATTTTATCAAAGCAAAATTTAGGCAGGGATCCCACTTTTGTATGTGATAATCTTTCCAGTCCTCTTGGTCACAACAATAGCATTGTCCAATAGTAATATAACCTGGGCTGCAAATGTTAGCCATGTTGTAATTTTAAATTTTTGATTACCACATTATAGAAGTACAATGAAACTAGTGACATTGATTTCAATAATGTCTAATTAAATCAATATATAAAGATATAGTTTCACCATGTAATCCTTATAAAATGTTAATAATATATTTTATTTTTTGTACTAAGTCTTTGAAATAGGTGTGTATTTTATACCTGCGGTAAATCTCAATTCAAGCCAGCTACATTTAAAGTGCTAAAAAGCCACATGTGGCTAGTGGCTATGATACAGCACAGCTCTAGAACAGAAGAGAAAATATTAAAACAATTTTCTTTACTAGAAAGATCATTAAAATATTTATTTAAGAGAGATAACTTTATATAAACTGTTTCCAAAAGTTGATATATATTATTAGAAATCTATCTTAACCCTTATTTTGCTGAGGTTGATTGCTTGAGATGGAGTTGTAACTCTCTTCTAGTGGCTGTATTTCCGCTTTTTGATTTCTGTAGATGAAACCTGCTGCCCTTCATGCTTTCCACTTCATTTTTTTCTCTTAAGTTTTTCAAATATGTTTTGTCTTTCTTTTTTTCAAAGTAACTAAATGGAAAGAGACTAAGGGTGTTTTAAATTTGGGGATTTATTACATTTTGAATTTTCAGATCTAGTGCCTGGGGGGAAAGTGTTTTTCATTGAAGTAAATACTTCCTGCAAAACGTCTATGAAAAGTTTGTTCATGTGGTAAATACTGTTTGTCAGATTGTGTTCAGAAACACATTTTCAGAGCTCTGTTATTCCAGAATTGTCACAAAAGTTGCCCACATTCATACCTTCAAACAGGAAGAATGAGTTTGTGGTGCTGCTTGCTCTGATGCTTTCTGATTCAACTTTCATTTTGTATAGTTCAAGATGCTGGATTGCTTTTGGTGCTCTAATCATGATTCTTCCTACGAAATATTGGTGGGCAACAACCCCTACTCTTATTTATCTGTATCCTATAATGACACTTCAGTTATTTTTGTGTGTATGCTGTACGGTCATAAATCAACAAAGACTTTTTCTTCTGAGGACTTGGGCACACAGGCTTCCCACACAATTTATTCCAGGGGCATCACACAGAATTTTGTAGAATTCTGGCTTAGGTGGTCTTTCTCTATCTCTACCTCTTTCCCTTCGGCTTTTATTAAATTGGGTTGAGCAAGCCGCATCAAGTATAGCTATGGATCATGCATCTCTTTTCAAAACAGACCACTTTGCAAAAGTATTATGAAAAGAGAAAACTTCAGGCATTTTTAAGTTCCCTATAGTTTAAAAGGCTGATAATTATCATTTCGATTGGCCTATGTAATGTAAACTGTAGCCTTTGTATATTATTGTAGTCCTGAATGCAGAAAATAGAATACTTAAATGACACATATTTTGAAATATCAAAGCTTTGAAAAGAAAATAAAAATTTTGCTGGGCATAAATTCTAAATGTTACTGATTTGGGGCTAATGTTACCTGATTTAATTCATCTTTTTTCTTCTAATATTCCCATTTTATATCTGTGTTTTGAAAAAATCACAATTTAATACAAATAGAATTTACTTTATGCAACAAAGTGAGAGTTTCAAGGAAATTAGTTTCCAAGATAGTAGTGGAAAGTGCTTATTTTGGCCTATGCACAACAAACTCAAAATTTCATCCAGAAAAAGTATTCAACTAGCAATTATATATTGCTAAAAATATTTCAAGAAATACACACACTAGGACAATTTCAAAGTGTACTTCATTAAATATTTAAATATGCCCAACTATTCACAAATAACATCTTTGTCTTTTTTCCCTTTGTTCATCACCTCCAGTCTACCAATGTGTTCCTTCTTATGCACAAACACTGACATTCTAATGTGTTATTTCTGAATTTATAAAGTATATAATATTTATAATTAAATAATCCTAATTATCTGAAAAAACTAGTAAGAGGAATGCCCAACTTGGTATTTTTAAAAATTATGACTGACTATAAATTCTGAGCAGAAAGAAAGCCCATTTTTAATGCTGTCATGAAATTATCTATTCAATAGTCTCCTCCAGCAATGTTTTTCTAATTATCACATTTCTCCAATGATTTTTATAATGTTGATTATTTTAGAACTCTAAAGAAAAATAATATTCTTTTGTATAAAAATAGGAGGCAATATCCCCGAGGGATAGAATTACAGCCACAGAAGGCAGCTATACTTGACCAGCTGTTCTATGACACAGTGCAAGGAAGAATCCAAAAAAAGCAAATATGTATTTGGGGCAAGATTCTGTGCTGCATCACTGACTTGGTAGTGAAGAAGAGACATATGGAACTGAGAATAAAAGGGAATGGAATTTTACTTTAATGAATACAATGAATATGTTTATATAAGCCAAAGAGTTTTCAATGTCACTGTATGACTAATGCTGAAAGAAGACTTGTTTGTTTCTATAAATTACACTGGTGGAATTTTTCAAGGTCATTTTATTATATAAATTATACTCCTTACGAAAATATCAGACTTTGTCTAATAGGAAAATAGTTTTAGGCATCATATATATTTTATTTTTTATTATATACTTATAATGTAAACTTACTATATGAGAGCAAATTGGTAGCTTTTTTTTTAGGATGCAATGTGCTTGAAATGTAAGCAGTCACAACTTTTCTCTTTTTCCATTCTGTTTGGCATTTCTTCTGGCAATTAAAATACAGTTGCTTTAACAAGAACATCAAGTGTATGATCCTACCACACAAATAAGACAAATACAAAGGTAGAACCGCCATGGGTTATTTAAGGGATGGGTAGACTATCAGCAAATATTCACAAGTGAAAATCATCTTTGGCATTCAGAACGAGGACTTTTACTTTAAAATGTAAATAATTGTTGAGGGTTTTATACTAATGGAAGACACTGATTTCATTGCAGACAGTTGGAAAAAATATGCTTAGTCCTGCAAATCTTATAATGATATTTTAAAATACAAATTTCTGTTGTGAAGATGTAGAAATAAGAGGGCAGAAATACACTATTTTCCTCAAATAAGCTTTATATGAAATTAAGGATATTTTTTGAAGTAGACCACTAAAATATGGAGAAATGCTTTGTTAGTGGGCATGTGCTAATCATAACCTGGGATGTTTTATACCTAAACTCCAATTTCCAATTCATTATCCATGATAATTTATATTTTTGCTGTTTAATGAAGCTAAATTTATTTAAACTTCAAAGAACAGAGATGAAAATATGTCTGCTATCAATTGCCTCAAAATTAATATTTGAATGAACAGAATCCCACTCTCTCTTTCCTAAAATACTGACTTCGAGGCAGAGAAAAACTTGAATAGTCCCAGAAAATGTGGAGCTTATGTTGAACTGTTGGTCACATTTGGACAAAGTAAGCAGAATGTTGTAATTGCCCACTTCATCACTGTGAGAAAACAGTGTAGCTGTTTAAAGCATTATTATTCAAAGTGTGAAACATGGACTAGCGAGTGGATATTAGCTGGGAGCTTGTTAGAAGGGTAGAATCCTAGGCTCCACTAAGATTCTAGTACTGCAGGTAATTGAAGAAGCCCAGATTAAAATGAAAATGGTGGCATAGTAACAATAGAATAATCGTATTTCTTTTCATAGTATTGTGATTTCAGAGGGAAACCCCATCAATCACAGGCCAAGGACAGAAAAAAAGATTATTGTGAACATGATAAGAACACAAAGTTAAACTCAAAATTAAGAGACACAAATTAGAAAACCAAAACATAGACTAGACCAGAACACACATGTGTGTGCACGCACACACACATTTTGAGAGGTGGCAGAGGGTGGTGAGGTGTGTCACACTATATTCAGATTTGCTGAGTTCCAGGACTACACTCAGCAGAGGCCAGATATTTAGGGCCCAGATGAAGCAAGATCTATGCCACTCCATGTGTGACAAACACCTGAGCTAGGCTTTAGATTAAAACGATGCTTGGGCTACCATAAATGGAGTCTAAAAAATAAATTAACGAAACATGTTAGTTTACTAAATATAGTGGACTCCATCTCCATCCATGTCCCTGCAAAGAACATAATGTCATTCTTTTTTATGGTGCATAGTATTCTATGGTGTATATGTACCACATTTTCTTTATCCAATCTATCACTGATGGGCATTTAGGTTTATTCCATGTCTTTGCTATTGTGAATAGTGTTGCAATTAACTTACCTGTACATATGTCTTTATAATAGAATGATTTATATTCCTTTGGGTATATACTCAGTAATGGGATTGCTGGGTCGAATGGTATTTCTGCCTTTAGGTCTATGAGGAATTGCCACACTGTCTTCCACAATGGTTGAACTAATTAATACACTTTCATCACAGTGTATAAGCATTCCTTTTTTACAACAGGCACAGAAAACCAAATATTGCATGTTCTCACTTAAAAGTGGGAGCTAAGGCCGGGTGTGGTGGCTCATGCCTGTAATCCCAGCACTGGGAGGCCAAGGTGGGAGGATCACAAGGTCAGGAGATCGAGACCATCCTGGCTAACACAGTGAAACCCCGTCTCTACTAAAAATACAAGAAAATTAGCCAGGCGTGGTGGCCTGTGCCTGTAGTCCCAGTTTCTGGGGAGGCTGAGGCAGGAGAATGGTGTGAACTTGCAGTTCTGGGGAGGCAGAGCTTGCAGTGAGCCGAGATTGCGCCACTGCACTCCAGCCTGGGTGACAGAGCGAGACTCTGTCTCAAAAAAAAAAAAAAAGTGGGAGCTAAATGATGAGAACACATGGACACATAGAGGGGGACAACACACACACTGGGGCCCATCAGAGGGTGGAGGGTGGGAAGAGCGAGAGGATCAAGAAAAATGACTAATGAGTACTAGGCTTAATACCTGGGTAATGAAATAATCTGTAAAACAAACCCCCATGACACAAGTTTACCTATGTAACAAACCTGCACATGTACCCCTGAACTTAAAATAGTTAAAAAAGTTAAAAAAGGTTTATGTACATAAGTATTTCCTGTAAAAATATGTCACAAAAATAGAGACTATGCAAATAAAACTATGGTCAATAATATAGAATATAAGAGGTATTATTTCAGTGAGTAGTTTAAGCATGCCAAGGTCATTGTGATGTTCGCAAGAAAGACATATATATTTAATAATTTTTGTTATTTTATGAGTAACAAATAATGTTAGAATTTGAAGTTAATCATTAAAAAGAAAAGAAGAAAAAAACAAAAGGCATCTATCAAAAGAAAAATACATTGTTAAATGAATAGGAGGCCAGAAATGAGACACTACTAGTCAAAACAATTTATGACAAATATTACAGAAAACAAAACAAACATGGTGCAAATCAGTTTAAATATATCATTTTTTACTGTATGGATTACATTCACCTGAAAATGTATAAAATCAAAGAGGATAAAAAAGTGCAAGTGAAATACTAAAATTAAATGACTAAAAACCCGAGGTGGCAGGCGCCTGTAGTCCCAGCTACTCGGGAGGCTGAGGCAGGAGAATGGCGTGAACCCGGGAGGCGGAGCTTGAATAGAGCCGAGATCGCGCCACTGCACTCCAGCCTGGGTGACAGAGCAAGACTCCGTCTCAAAAAAAAAAAAAAAAAAACAAAAACAAACCCAAGGATGTTTTTAAATGAGTAAATATATAGTAGATAAATACTAACAAAAAACATTATAAAATAAATATTACTATCAGAAAAACTAGAAACCTTGATACAAGTACTAATCGGGTAATTGTATGGCATACCATATAATAATAAAGGAAACAATTATTCAGAACTAAAGATTAAAAAAAAGTTGCATTAACCTAACAACAAACGTTTGAAATCTATGTAAAATTAAAGAAAAGCATTACAAGGAGAAACAAACTCACCTAAAATCCAAAGATGACATTGTAATACAGCTGTTTAATAATTATATTAAAAATGAATTTAAAAATTGTAAAATATAGATGATTTCAACATCCCACTTAACACACTTTATATAATACACATTTGGAAACATCTGTAATCATGACAGCCAGTGACTAACTTTCTCAAACATCAATGAATCTTTTACTGAAAACTTAGCATGTTTAAGGCCAGAAAAAAAACTCTGCAAGTTATAATTAGTAATAAGATACTAATACAGTTTGGCTGTGTCCTCAGCCAAATCTCATTTTGAATTGTAGCTCCCATAATTTCCATGTGTTATGGGAGAGAACTGATGAGAGGTAATTTAATCACGGGGTGGTTCCCTCCATATTGTTCTCATGGTAGTGCATAGGTCTCACAAGATCTGATGGTTTTATAAGGGGTTTGCCCTTTTGCTTGGCTCTCACTCTCTCTTGCCCACCACCATGTAAGACATGCATTTTGCCTTATGCCATGAGTGTGAGGCCTCTCCAGCCACATAGAACTGTGAGTCCATTAAACCTCTTTTTATTTATAAATTACCCAGTCTCAGTTATGTCTTTATCAGCAGCATGAAAATGGACTAATACAGATACTAATAAAGATTTCTGATAATAACAATTTTAAATTAGAAATAACAAAAATAAATAAATGATTTTTAACAATATATCTTAAAACTGATGGAAGCCTATGCTTCCAGGAAATTTGAGAAGACATAAACTACTCCTTATTTAATATTAATATATCATTAACAACTAAAAACCTTGGGGATTGTATACAAAAAGGTAGAGAGAAGACAGACCTGCTAAGGACATTGGAACCTAAAAAATGGTAAAATGATGAGTTCTCTGGGTTTTCTTTTTACCTCATATATCCCAGAATTAGAGCTGAACACATAGATAACCTAGAAAATCAACTGAGTACAAGATAAAAATAACTAAAAACTCTATTGTCCCTAGCCAAAGGAACAGTTCATTATTTTTTTCTTGTTACTTTCAAGATATTCGCTTTGTATGGGTCTTTTGATTTTTTTGACTTCTGCCTTTTTCTTTGGATTGAATCTAATATATTTAAATTTGGATTTTTTGCGTTTGCCTTATTTGGAGTTCATTAAGGTACTTGAATATGTAGATTATGTCTTTTATCAAATGTAGGAAGTTTTTGGCCATTATTCCTTCAAATTTTATTTCTGCCGCTTTATCGTTCTCCATTCCTTCTGGAATTCTTATTATGTGTATGGTTGTACTTAATGGCATCCCACAAATCTCTTAGGTTCTGTTCATTGTATTTTATTCTTGTTTCTTTCTGTTCCTCAGATTGAGTTCTGTTGACCTATGTTCAAGTTATCTGATTCTTTCTTCTGACTCCTCAAATCTGCTTTTGTTCTCATGCCAGTTTAAATCTGCTGTTGAGCCTCTTCGATGCATTTTAAATCTCACTTTTAGCCCTCTAATTTATATTTGATAATACTGTATATTTTTATATTTATTGAATTTATGTATTGGATGAAACATTACTTTCACACTTTCAAGTTTTTAGACATGATTTCTTTGACGTATTTGAACATATGTATAACAGCTGATTTAAAGTCTTCCTTGATAATAGTCTCTATTGACTACTTTTTTTCAGTTTAAGGGTTACTCCCCTATTGCTTTGCTTATCTGATGTTTTGTTTTTCTTGAAAACTAGACATTTTAAGTTAAATGTTTTGGCAACTCTGAGAAAACTTTCTCCACAAGGTTTTGTTGTTGTTGTTTTGTTAGTGACTTTCCTGAACTAATTATTAAGTCTGTATTCTTTGTTGTGTCTAACCATCAAAGTCCTTGCTTGATTACCTTAGTATTTAGCTATTCATTGGACAGATATGTTCTTAGATTATTCAACAAATATGTTTCCCATCATTCACCTAAGGATCTGTGTGTATTTCTCAGAGGTACATCTTCAATTCTGTGATAAGTAGTTCATAACCTTGACTTAGCCTTCGCTTCCAGCTTCCATAGAGCTCATTGTGTGCTAGAAGTAAAAAATCAAGGAATTCTCAGTGAGCTCTTTCCTAGGTATATTCATGGACCTGCAAATGTGTATAATCATAAATTATCAGAAATATGTCACAACTTTTTTCTCTTCATTTGTCTTTTATTTTTTTCTTTTATTTTCTTCTTTTGTCAGCTTACTGCTTGCCCTAACTGATATTTCCACCTCAGGCTGATGAGAGATTAAACAATTGCAACAAATGTTTTTGACAAATTTCAGGGAGACAGGGCTATTCACAAAGACCAAACTTTGATCAAGTCAAATGACAACAAACCTTGAGCATGGAGTTTCTCAGAAAGCCATCAGCTATATAAGACAGTTCAGTCTCTTGGAATGAGACTTTTTGAGAGCACCAGACTTGTCCTTCTTCCAGTGATTGTGTTAGGTCACTCTCATGCTGCTGTAAAGAAATACCCAAGACTGGATGTGATGGTTAACATAGTCAATTTGATTGGATTGAAGGATGCAAAGTATTGTTCCTGGGTGTGTCTGTGAGGGTGTTGCCAAAGGAGATTAACATTTGAGTCAGTGGACTGGAAGAGGCAGACCCACCCCCAATGTGAGTGGGCACCATCGAATCAGCTGCCAGGCAGCTAGGATAAAAGCAGTCAGAGGAACGTGGAGGGACTAGATTGGCTTAGTCTTCCAGCCTACATTCATCTTCCATGCTGGATGCTTCCTGCCTTCCAACATCTGACTCCAATTACTTCAGCTTTGAGAGTTTTGGTTCTTTGACCACAGAATAAAGGCTGCACTGTTGGCTTCCCTACTTTTGAGGTTTTGGGACTCTAATTGGCTTCCTTGCTCCTCAGCTTGCAGACAGCCTATCGTGGGACTTTACCTTGTGATCATGTGAGTCAATATTCCTTACAACTCCTCTTTATATATACATCTATCTTATTTGCTCCATTCCATTAGAGAACCCTTATAATACACTGGGAAATTTATGAAGAAAAGAGACTTAATTGACTCACAGTTCTGCATAGATGGGGAGGCCTCAGGAAACTTACAATCATGGCAGAAGGAACCATTCAAAGGGCGGCAGGAGAGAGAATGAGTGCCGAGTGAAGCGGTGAGCCCTTACAAAACCATCAGATCTCATGAGAACTCACTCACTATCACAAGAACAGAATGGGGGAAACCGTCTCCCATGATTCAATTATCTCCAGATCCTGCCCTTGACACATGGGGATTATTACAATTCAAGGTGAGATTTTGGTGGGGACACAGACCATGAGGCCAAACCATATCAGTGACTAAGTTCCTATTTTTCCCAGTTCCTGTGGTTGTGAGTTTTCAAAGCTATTATGGAGCTGAAGATACAGATGTGAATTATGGTATGTTAAAATATCACAAAGGTCACTTTTCTTAGAAAGATGCAGCTATTTTGGTTCATAAATGCTGCTAAAATATTGCAAGCATTATTTAGTTTCCAGAATTCTGGAAAAGTTAATTTTGATAATTACGGTGTGTTTTTATTGCTTTTATTGAGGACCAGTTTTTTTTTTAGTGGTTCTTACTCTACCATTCTAAATGTCTTTCCATACGTTATTATTTAGATTAAAAAATACAGAAATAGAAAACAGATGCATGGTCACCAGAAGTTATGAATAGAGGAGAAGACAGAGGATAGGAGGCAAGTGGGCAGAGCCACAAAAGTGAATAATGAGAGTTTCTTGCAGTAATAGACATGTACTTTATCTTGACTGCTTAAAAACACAGAACTGGGCCAGGTGCGTTGGCTCACACCTGTAATACTAGCACTTTGGAAGGCTGAAGGGGACGGATCACTTGAGATCAGGAGTTCGAAACCAGCCTGCCAACATGGTGAAACCCCCTCTCTACTAAAAATACAAAAAAATTAGCTGGGTGTGGTGGCAGGCACCTGTAATCTCAGCTACTTGGGAGGCTGAGGCAGGAGAACTGCTTGAACCTGGGAGGCAGAAGTTGCAGTGAGCGGGGATCGTACCATTGCACTCCAGCCTGGGCAACAGAGCAAGACTGGAGTGAAAAACAACAACAAACCCAGAACTGGCCATAATATTACAGTCTTTTTTTTTTTTGGCAAATTACTCTTTGTATGTTCAAGGTAGTTCAGAGAAACAGAGAATATAGGATGTACAGGATATACAGATATAGGTATAGATTCGCACATTTATTATAAGAATTAATTCATGCTATTATGGAGGCTAGGAAGTCCCACATGTGCCATCTGCAAGGTGCAGGAGTAGGAAAGCCAGTAATATAATTCAGTCTTAGTCCCAAGGTCTTAAATCCAGGGGAGCTAAAGACATTAGTCTGGGTCCAAGATTAAAGGCCTGAGAAGAAAAAGTGTCAATGTCCAATAAAAGGAAAAGGCATGCATCCTAGCTCAAGAAGAGAGAACAAATTTGACCTTCCTCTGCTTTTTTGTTTTTTTCTGGGGCCCTCAATGGATTGGATGATTCCCCACCCACATTGGTGAAGGCAATCATCTTTAATTAGTCTACTAATTCAAATGGCAATCTATTTCTGAAACACCCTGACATACCCAGAAATAATCTTTCCAGCTATCTGGACATCTGTAAGCTCAATCAAGTTGATATATACAATTAACCATCAGAAGCCAACCTTTGTCAAGCCATACTCATCTCCTTACAGTATTCTTTATCTCCCAAAAAACCAATTACAAGGTTACAATTCCACCTAACATGATACATCTCTCCTGTATACAACTGAAAATGCACTAATCCTTTTCTTCAAAGAGGAGGTTAAGTCCTTGAGTAATGTTTACTTTTTCCTGACATCCTATGGCTTAAATAATATGACCTAACACTTATAGTAATTAAATAATAATATGTCAATATAGCTTAAGTTATATGTTAAGGTAATAAAATAAAACAATACATTTGTTTAATATATTTATACACACACGCAAGCATATTCATAACAAAATAAGGGGAAAATACTCATGACAATTATAGTCTTTATTTGTATAACTAGTCACATGTTCATAGCTGGTATTTAAAACTATCTTCTAATACCCATACTATATTCCTTTTACCTTCAGCAGGCACCTCAGCTGATCATGGTTCTTTACATGATAAATAACCCAAACCTCATTTCTGAAGACTTCTAGGCCATTAGTTGTCCTGCCCAGGTTAAGTTTTAGTTTCCCATTGACCTTAATCACAGCGCATATTAATACTGAGACAACCCAAGTGATTTTCAGTAGTCCAGATACACTCTTTCTTACATCTCTTGTGAAGTAATAGTCCAATTTCCCCCTTGGTAGTCCAGATCAATCACCCCAGCCAACATTGTAACTCCCTTTATCTGTTGACTTAGAGCCATGAGGAGCTCAAAGTGGCCAGGCAGCATCCTTAACTTCCAGTTGAATTGGATTATTGTTGTGTCTTCTCATAGATGCATTCCTCTCTCTGAATCTAAGACCTTTAATCTGGCATATCATTAAGTCACAGGAATAGAAAGCAACATTTTGCTAGTGGGTTACTAGGAGTAATGTTGAGAGGTGCCACTTCCATTTTCACCCATTGATTTAAGGATTCATGAATTATGGATATGGGAGAAACAGTATCATATATTGGATGCTTATTCAGGGCATATATAACATTCTAGAGAAACTCACCCCATGCCTGCAAGATATTGCCATCTGGATGGCACTATAACTGAGTCTTCAATATGTCATTCTACCATTCTATCAAGCCAGTTGATTTGGACTGGTAATACCAGTGAATTCTATAATCACGGGCCAATTATTGCACTGTGAAGTGAGTTCCTGGATCGGGAGCAATGCTGTGTGGAAAACCATGACTGAGATTGTGGCTAGAGCATTCTGTAAGGCCATGGGTGGTGGTTTTGGCAGAAGCATTGGGTACTGGGAAGGCAATCTGTATCCAGAGGAAGTGTTTATTCCAGTAAGGATATAATATTGCCCCGTCATGATAGAAGTGGTCCAATATAAACGATCTGCCACCAGGTAGCTGACTGGCTACTTCAGGGAATGGTGTCTTATAAGGGACTCAATGTTGGTCTCTGGTGCTAGCAGATTGGGCACTCAGCAATGACTATAGACATTGGCCTTGGTGAGTGAAAATCCATGTTGCTGAGTCAATGTGCAACCTCTATCCATGCCACCATGGCCAATTTGTTCATGAACTCATTAAGTAATGACAGTGGTCTCTGGAGACAGAGGCTGAATGGTATTCACAGAATAAGTCAAAGTATGCACTTGGTTATTAAAATCCTTTTCTGCTGAGGTCACACTTTGGTAATCATTCACATGAGACACAAATAGCTTCATGCTTTTTGTCCATTCAGAGAGATCTAGCCACACACCTGTTCCTCAAATTTCTTTATCAGCAATTTTTCAATCATGTTGCTTGTAATTTCCTTAATGTCCAGCCAAAACATTTACTATGCTTCATGGATTATTACAAAATCACAAAAGTGGCCATTTTTTTCTTCTAAGCAATATGTACAACTATGCGCACTGCCCAAAGATCTGCCCTCTGGTAGGATGTCCTTTGACAAATATTCTTCAGGGATGTTCCAGATTGTGGCTGTAGCTACAGCTATCCGCTTTCATGTTGGTGGCCACAAATCATGTGCAACCATCTTTAAACTAGGCTGATGATTTTTCTTCCTCTGTTGATTGATTGCAGGGAATTCCCCATGAAGCCACAGGTACAAGCTAAGAGGGAGAAGAGTGTGTAGCCGAAGAGAAGACCATGAGCATTTGTGCTACTTCTTCATGTAATTTACTTGTGCTTTCAGGGCCTGCTTGAACCCAATCACAGATACACCACTTCCATCTGATGATGGAGTTTTGCTGTGCACAACAAATTTTATGGCCCAGTGGGTCAGATAACACCCAGTTCATGACAGGCAGCTCAGGCTGCATGGTAATTTGATGGCCCATGATGAAGCAATTGGACCCTACTAAGGTCCAGAAGCAGGCCAAAAGCTGCCTTTCAAAAGGAAACTAGTTAGAGGCACATGATGATTGATCTAAAATCCTAAAGACCTTTGCAGCAATTCAGCTGTAGGGGGTTGACAAAGGCCCCAAACAGCCTCCCTATCTACCACCAACACTCCAAGCAGTGTTGGATTTGTTCAATTATATAGCCCAAGTGGTAGAGCAGCCTAGACATATTGCAGATCCTTCTCTTATTCTGGGCCCCTCTAAATACTTATAGTTTTGGGTCACTTCATTGATAGCCCAGAATAACCCACTCAAATAAAACATAAGTTGTCTCCCATATCCAAATGGGCCCACTAGGCCTTCTGCCTCTTGCTTGGTTGCTGAAGTGGCCTGTTGCAACCACTTTTTTCTTTTACCTTACATGAAAATTGCCACATCCTCACACCACTGGACCTGTAGGAATTTTACTAAGGTAGAAAGCTTCCAAATTTTAGTTGAATTTATTTCTTACCCTCTGACACATGAATGTCTTACTAATAAATTTAATATAGTTGCTCATTTTTGCTCACCAGGCCCAATCAGCATAATCTCATCAACATGGACCAATGTGATATCTTATGGAAGGGAAATTAGGTCAAGACTCCTGCAGACTAAATTATAACATAGGGCTAGAGAGGTGATATACTCCTGAGGTAAGACAGTGTAGGTATAATGCTTGTCTTGACAGTTGAAAGCAAACTGCTTCAAGTTCACCTTATGAAATGGGATGGAGAAAGAATTATTTTTCAGATAAATAACTGTATACCACATGCCAGTGCATGTGTTTATTTGCTCAAGCAATAAAACCACACCAGGTAGAGTAGTTGCAGTCACAACTTGGTTAAGCTGACAATAATCCACTGTTATTCTCTGAGATCCATCTGTCTTTTGCAAGGACAATAGAAGAATTGAATTGGCATATGGTGGGAATGATCATCCCCGCAACTTTCAATTTCTTGATGACAGTACTACTCTGCAATCCCTCCAGGGATGTAGTATTGCTCTTGATTGTTTTTATTTTCATAGGTGGAAGCATTTCTAGTGATGTTGACTTCACTTTTCTCACCATACTAACCCTCACAGAAAACTAATGTGGTGATTCTGTCAACAGCTAAGATGTCTTTTTCTATCATGAATCTGAAACTGGGGTTAAAAAAAATTACAGGAAGGGCTTGGGGACCCACTGAAATCACTGTGAAATAAACCTCAGCTAGAAGCCCACTGATCACCTGACTTCCATAAGGCTCTAATTTGACTGGAGGGTCACCGTGATGCTTTGAGTCTTCTGGAAGCAATATAAGTTCAAAGCCAGTGTCCAGTAGTTTCTGAAAGGTCTAATTATTTTCTTTTCTCCAATGTACATTTACCATGGTAGGAAGGCCATGTATTTCTTTGGAGAAGGATAGAAAAATGTTAACAGCATAAATTTTAGTTAATGTTTGACAGTCCTTCCTGGAGGGGACTAAGCATCTTATTACTTAAAGGGGTTTTGGATGTGTAAACTGGGTCAACTCTGGGGCTTGATAGAGGAGCCATGACTCTCTGTTTTAATTATTTGAATTAGAATTTCACTCAGTTGACCTAGAGCTCTCTGCTTATACAGATCAAGTAAGAATTTAGCAGGATTTTTATTTTTTTCACTCTAGGAACACCATGATCAATTAGCTAAGGCCAGAGGTCTGCTAGAGTCATGCTATTCTGATTGCTGCTTTATTCTGTTGTTCATTATTATGCACATATTGCTTTTGGTGGTCGAGTGGCACCACTTTGTACCTGCTGCCCAAGGATCAAATTATTCTCATTGTATTTCTGTGTTCCATTTGAGTGGCTGTGATTCCCACTGTAAGGTTTGACCTACAAAGAAAAACTATCATGACATTCTTCAAGAATACTAGGCTCCCTTCAACAACTTATTTTTCAAAGTATTGGTAAATGGTATGTCTTCTGAATTCTCCCACTGTGGTGTGGGTGAGTGAGTCTCAAATGATAAATCCACTCTAACACCTGAATTCCTCTAACCCTTTAAATCTCTTCTTATATATTAAACTAGGGAAGTTTAGGCATTTCCAATTTGCTCACTATGGGTCATCTTTGATCCATGTTTCAGTCAACTAACCAACCAAACTATTAACTAACTTTTCAAATTGCAACATTAAATGCAGAATCTTCTCATGGAGGCCATGTCACCATATGCAGCTTATTCAAGTTTATGTTCCTTTCGCCATTATCCCACACTATGCCCCCTCGCCCCAAATACTCTATCCATTTTACACGTTTCCTAGATTTTTGCTTGTGCCAATCCAAAAACTCGAATAGTTCTTTTGGAGTGTAGCATGACTCATTATTTGGAGTGTAACTTATCTTTCGGGGTCTGCTGGGTCTAGTTATAGATCTAGCAGCAAAGAGGGATTGTAGGGGTGAGTCTTGAGGAAAATCTGCATTTCTCACATGGCAACTGCCTCAGTGGAGACTATTACCATTTCCTCAGGCAATGCAGGGCAATACGGAGTTAATTCCTTCAGATGGAGGTAGAAAAGCCAATATCACTCTGGATGGAAAGACTGCTATTACTGGGAGTGGGAGGTCCACTACCACTGGGGGAGAGATAGCCACTTCCAATGGGAGTAGGGAGGCAACTTCTGCTGAGGGTGTAGAGGTCATTTCCATTGGACAAGAAGAATCTTCAGAATTTAGAGGCTCAATGCTCCCAGTTTCATCAGGGTCTTCCCACAAATACCCGTTTCAATTTATAGGATCTCATTCTTTCCCAATTAACCCCCTGACTTTAAAACGAACCAAATGGATCAAGACATATATTTACAGGTGCAAAATATAGCAAACACAAGGAGGATAATTTTGAGGAAAACAGTGTTTAGGTACATCACCATAAAACTGATGAAAGCATTTAAAGAAAAATTATAAATTGTGTAAATACAAATAATAATTGTGAATAATCACTTTTTATCAGATACCATGGAGGCAAAAAGATGGTGGAACAGTATCTTTAATATGCTTAAAGAAACAGAAATAAGTATCAATTCAGAATTCTATATCCAGTGAAAAATTTTTTGTAAGAGTGAAGACAGTAAAGACATTTTCAGATAATGGAATAATAGGAGTGAACTGAAAGGATTAAGGAGTAAAAAATCCCAGCTCACCAGTTACCAAGAATAATGTATTCTCCTAACTGCCAGAGTGGAAAACTTTGTATTTCATGGGACATTGACTAAAGTACTTAAAGGCCTTTGTCTCAGATGTAAGGGCAAACAAGTCATAGACAAAATAATGTACTGGTCCCATCTAAAAGCTTGAAAGCAAGACATGAAAACATCAATTTACAAGTAAATTAGCAGCATCCCAAAACAAACTCAAGAATATTTATAGCATGTAGAAATATCTAGCACCCATAAAAAAAAACTACATTGCCTGCCATTATCTAGTTAAAAGCCATCAGGCATGCAAAGAAACAGATAATATGACCCATAATATTAATTTAAAAAGTCAAAACTTACCCAGATATGATCCAGATTACATACTTAAGAGAAAAGGACATTAAAACAGTTACTATGTCTGTATTTTGCTTGTAAAAAATGTAGTATATTCTTTTTAAACTAATATAAGACTACTGAACAATAAAATTTAAAGTTTTGCTCAATAATAAAATCAAAAAATAAGATACTTAAAATAAATGAGCAATTCCATGCAATATCACCGCACAGGAAACTACAGAACATTGCTGGCTCAAATTAAAAGACAATGAAATAGAAAATTTCTTGCTTATTGTTTGGAAAAATCAATAATCTTAATATTCAACATTATTTCATGTTGACTTATAAATTCAAAACAATAAATATGAAAATTATTGCTGCTATTTTTTTGAAAAATTAACAAACTAATTCTATAAATTTTATAGATATACAAATGACCTGGAAGAGCCTAAAAATTTTTTAAAAGAATCACCCAGTTAACTGCATACACCACCCTATTTCAAGGCATGGTATAAATCTAGTCATCAAAACTGTATGGTATTGGTGAAAGAATAGACACAGATTGGTGGAACAGAATAGAATCCAAAAACAGGCCCACTCATAAATCTTCAGTTAATTTTCACCAATGGTGTCAAGATAATTCAATGGTAAAAAGAAAAATTTTGCTAAAAATTATGCTGAAACCATTTGGTTCTCCATTTGAGATAAAAATGAACATACACAAAAATTAATTTGAAATTGAATCTACACCTAAATTTAAAAGCTAAAATGATAAAACTTTCATAGTAAAATATAAAAGACCATCTTCATTGTTTTGGGTAGGTATGATGGTAAATACTGACAATATTTTGTCTATGACTTGTTTGCCCTTACATCTGAGACAAAGGCCTTTTGGGTACTTTACTTAATGTCCCATTGCATTGAAGGATGCAAAGAATTGTTCTTGGGTGTGCCTGTGAGGTTGTTGCCAAAAAAGATTAACATTTGAGTCAGTGGACTCAGAGAGGCAGACCCACCTTCAGTGTGGATGGGCACCATCCGATCAGCTTCCATCGCAGCTTGAATAAAGCAGGCAGAAAAAGGTGCGTGGGAGACATCAACTTGCTGAGTCTTCTGGTCTTCATCTTTCTCTCATGCTGGATGATTCCTACCCTCAAACATAAGACTCAAAGTTCTTCGTCTTTTGGACTCTCGGACTTACATCAGTGGTTTGCTAGGGGCCCTCAGGCCATCAGCTATCGACTGAAGGCTGCACTGTTCACTTCCCTACTTTTGAGGTTTAGGGGCTCAGACTGGCTTCCTTGCTCCTCAACTTGCAGACAGCCTATCGTGGGACTTCACCTTGTGATCGTGTAAGTCAATGTTCCTTAATAAAATCCTCCTCATATATACATCTATCTAATCAGTCCTATCCCTCTAGCGAACGCTGACTAATACAGTAGGCAAAGATTTTTTAGATAAAATACAAAAAACAAAAATAATGCTTGAAAAATGATTTCAAAATAAAAACATTTTATTCTCAAAAGATACTATTTAAGAAAACAAGAATGAAAACAAAAACAGGAGAAAATAGTTTCAATACATATATGTGACAAAAAATTATATCCAGAATATATAAAGAAATATTATTGATCAATTATAAAAAGGTAAACTACCCACCCAAATAGTACAAATATTTGGATAGACAATTGCAAGGATGGCAAATAAACACATGAAAAGTTGCTTAATGTCATTTGTCATCAGGGGAATGCAAATCAAAATCATCATTCCATAAAACTAAACGTGTATTAGAATGGCTAAAATTATAAAGGTGACCAATTCCAAGTTTTGTAGCATATGGTATGTAATGCTGCTAGAACTCTAATACGTTGCTGGTAGGCATTTAAAATGGCACAACTACTTTGTAAAAATATTTGAGAATCTCCTAAAATATTAAACATGGACTTGCCATAATTCCTACCCATTTCAATTCTATATTTACTAGATATAAATGGAAACATTTGTTGACATAAAGATATGTACATGTACATATGCCCAGTACTGTTCCAGTTTGAGTACTAAAGTCCTGAAGGCTGAGAAATCTCTCCATCTTGGGCAAACTGGGATCTTAAGTCACCTGTCATACAGATGTAAAGGTAAATAAATAAATAAAATTAATTGAAAATTTGATGAGTAACAATATTTATATATTTTCAAAGTACCTCTCTCATAAACACATTTACAAAGAAGGAACAGTAGTTTTACATTGTAGAAGCCTGCCAGACACCACCTTGATCAAATGATCAAAGTGAACATCATCAGTAATTTTACAAATGAAAATTGTGTGCTACTTGATGGAATACCCTGAAGAGCATGTAGTGCACTTCTGTGATATTCTTGTCAAAAGGTGTATACGGAACCTAATCATAAGAGACCATCATCAGGCAAATAAATATTTAGGGGCATTTTTTGAAATAAGTAAGACATAATTTTCAAAAGTATTCATATTTAATCCCTTAACTCTTGAGAATCAAGGAAAGGCTAAGAACTTGTTCCAGAATGAAGGAGATTAAAGGGATATGACATTTCAATTTAACATGGGATTCTGAAGTGGATACTTTCCCTATAAAAAAAGTTACTGGGGCAACTGGTAACATAGAATGGAGTCTAAAGATTAAATAATAAGAATATATCAATGTAAATGTCCTTATGATATTGATCCTAATGTGGTTAGGTCAGAGACTGTCCTTTTTTTAGGAAATGCATACTAAAGTATTCAGAAGCGAGGGCCATCAAGTTAGCAACTTACTGTCAAATAGTTCATAAATAAAATAGTTTTTTTCTACCTCCATATTTTGTAGGTTTGTTATTGTTTAAAATGTAAGAAAACTGTATATAGTCTTCTAAATGGAGAAAAAACATATGCATAAAGTTTTTTTTTAAGTTATAGTTTAATAGAAGATGCATGTGCAGCAGCCATCCTTGCCTGATGCAAGATTTCTCTAGCACACAGATGTGCTGAAGACAAGTCTGGGACTGCAAGCATGAAAAAAATATATATATCCAGCTTAGGACAATATGAAATGTTAAACATGTTAAAAGAATGAAAATTATATCAACCATTCAGATTTCTATGATGCACTTCTCTTTTCAGATTTAAACTTATAAAACATAATTTTGTAATTTAAAAACTGTTGGAGCCATGGACCGAATTTATTGAAACTTTTAAACTCTTTAAAAATTGCAAATTAAATTTACTAATGTCAAATTTCACATACTTTCATTTTAGTAAATATTATGCCACTTTAATGCAATTTTTGAATATATAATGTCTTTATTACAATTTATATAACTAATCTATTTTGCCTTACCCTAGACAATATTCTTTATTAAAAGATTATCACAAACTCAAGTGTATTTACTCTTTTTGAAGTAAACACAGTGAACTGGAAGAGTAAATTATGTCCCCAAACCGCTTCAAAAATCATTTAATAGTAATATTAAAAAATGGCACAAACTATTTTCCCTAAGTGACACACTGAAATATTTCAGAACACCAGGAAAAATTAAATAAGTTTCATGATATGATAGTTTTCCCTCTTCACACATGCATTTCAAAGGAAGTGCGAGTCATTGGAGGACAGAGAGTAAATCCAATTTCAAAGTTTCACGACCTAAGTGTATTCCTAGTGATAAAGGGTCCTTGCCATTGAAGGTGATTTGCATTTTCCTCTAAATAAACAGAAGAAAATTTTGAGAAAAAAATAAAGAGTAAGAAGAAAGTGAGTGAAAGAAAGGAGAACAGCCGTTAATCTAGTCTTCTAGAAGTTAAATTGTATGACAGGCCCAAGGGCAATTTAAAATCTGCCAGCACAGCTTCCTGGGGAGTCTGCCAATAGGCAAATGCTACAGCTAGAAAAACTATTTTCACAACTTGACATCAGAACTCCATGATGACTATCAGGGGTTTAATGGCGACCTGAGGTTCTGACCTTCTCAACTAAGTATAAAGAAAGAAAATGCAGAAGGAAAGAAGTTGAATTATGGAGTGATAGATTTATGATCCACTCAAGGTCATTAAAAGTCATTTTACATAGAAAGAACAATGATATATGCTCTTGATACAATCATAAGAGTTTAGAAATAAGACTATTTTTTAACAATTTTGTCTTAAACCTTTAAAATTCATAATTTCTTTAATATGTACCACAAATATTACTGTACTATTTTGTGGTAAACTAACATATTTATGTTATTTAATTTTTCAATGTTTTTAGTTCATTCACCGTAAGAGGATTCTCCAGAGTCTCACGGCAGTTATCACCTTGTTGGTATTATTTTCCCTAATTAATTATTTTTCATTTTGTTTAGATTAAAATATTTTTGTATTTTCACTTGCAGAGGTTATTTAAAGTTCCAATTTTCTCTTTAACATGTTCCTGCAACAATTATGGCATTAGGCATAAAAAGGATCCTCAGTTCTGTATATCGTTAATGTTACAAATATATAAAGAAACTATATCTTCTTGAAATGTAAAAATCATTTGAAGTTTTCTTCCTAACAATTTTGGAATTATCAGAGATTGGATTACCCATAAGCCATAAAACGGAGGAATTTAGGAGTGCTTGTAAGTTTCCATCAAGACAAAATTTTTGAAAAGAAGAAGATAAGTATCCCTTATTTCACAAACTTTGTGAGGTAGAAATGATTATATTGGGCTTATGTTGGAAAACCATTCAAAGCACACACACATCTATAGAGAGAAGGGTGGATTAAACCAAAGTTAAGGGAAATGGCATAAACTAGGAGCATCCTAGGAAGAATGAGGAGGTATGGGGATAGCAGGAAAGGTAGATAATGGAAAGAGAATATCAGAGAACAGGGAGCAACATGGGAAGTGAATGACATGCAATTAAAACCTTTAGGAGCAACCACAACTTTATATCCAATTTTTCATTTCTAAATTTTTGCAAAATAAGAATTTGCCCTATTTCAATCCCTTCATTCCCCCTATTTCAATCCCTTCATTCCACCCTTCTTTAGGTATCTACCTTGCAGAGTAGCCTTGGGCCACATTAGGTCATATATAAGAACACATAAAAACACAGAACTGTACATCATATTTTGTAAAAACATAGAGACTCTTATCTCCCAAGAGATTTTGATTTCTGGAAAATGCAAATAAATTTTAGATAGACTTATAAATGTTAGTTTCTTGATATATTATATAATGGGACATTAGGATTGCCATATCAAATATTTTCTAATCTATATTTTAGGTGAATATATTGTTGAAGAGTGATATCCATATAACATCCTATGGTGCTACTATTAAAGTCAGAATGTGGGGCTCAATGATTTGTATCAATATAATAAAGAAGGTTTAATATTAAAAGTGAATTACCATGGACAGGCCAGAAATTTTGCAGTTTTTTTCTCCACTTACTTTCTGCTAGGGGAGTATAATTCACTTGAATTCTGTTAAAGAATCTCTCAAATTAACGCTACAAGAATTGAAGTTTTACTCTTTCCCCTACCTTATAAATACCTATAGGTTCTTAGATATTTGGAATAGTGCGCCAAATATTGAAAATCCTGGCCTCTTCTGTGTTAACACTAAAACTGATGAAATAGTTCACAGTCACGTAGGCAAGAAAATATGACCAGATTTGGGAATTCTTAACACATAGCCCAAAGTTGGCACGACTGAATTATCCCGAAAAGATTATGTCCAATGATCCCCTATACCTGTAAAATCAGTCTTGGTGTTGAAAGACTTTTATTGGGAGGGAGAGATGGAAATACTGGAAGACTACTTGGGATGTTGTTGAAAGTTCAAATTTGTGAAATACAAATGAGTCTGGTTTGGCTTGGGAAGTACTTCATTTCTATTGCTCTGAAGACAACCTGGGTGTAGCTAAATATTCTATGATTCTATAAGCTAAATATTTCACTCTCCCAGGACTCAATGGTATTGGACTACTGAAATAGGAGAAGGATCATGTATATTATTATTCTCCTTCATACATTTGATACCAGATCTTGAGAAGTGAGTTTAAATTTAATTGAATAAATGAGTTTCCAATATCTATAATGCTTTTCTGAATCCCAAATTCATCCTGAAAACATTGCTCTTTTAATTATTTAACCACCAAAACCATCTGTATTAGCATTCTAATACTTATTTTGTACTTTGAGTGTATTAAAATAAATTTCAATGACATTTGGTAATTTTTCTTCTGACTTTGAATCAAAAGATAATGGAGATAGTATTTAGTATGTATATCCTAAGTGCAATTTTTATTGCCATTGGTAAAATAACTGCATGTGGTTATATGCTGGTTGCTTATAAAATAAAAGAACTGCATATAGCTAGCAATTACATTAAATAAACCACAGACTGTTGTATTTAATAGGCTATGTAAGAAATACATTTTCTAATGAAAAATTACTGTGGCAAGCATCAAGACACTTGTGAATATAAAATGGCAAATAAAAATGTAGTCCTCAAGAACAGAAGACTGTTCAAGTAATGATTTTTGGTAAATTTGTTATGATATACTGTTGGGAGAGGATAAACAATCTAACAAATGGGAAAGCATACATTATACTAAATGTCACTGTGCATGAATTAAACTTGCATAATACATTCCTGATAAGCCAGTTCAATTAGAGCTTCACACACTTGCAATTTTTTCATGGTACAACTAGATGGCCCTCTTAGGAACAAACGTGTCGCATTTTTGTTATCTTTGGGTGAATATTATTTTAAATAATTTGGACATAAAAAATCTCCTCAGTCAAATTACATTATTCAATGACAAAATAAAATACAGTATGCTTAATAGTTTAGTTATTAAGTTATTAAAGATAAAGATGAGCATAAATTGCTATAATATATAAATATATATGCTCAAATTAGGATTATTTTGTAATTTTCATTTTGTTTTTAAATATAACTTTTTAAACTATAAAGGAATTTATTTTGTTTTTATCAGGAATTTTTAAAACTGTTTCCAGATAATTGTAGATTCACATTGAGTTCTAAGAAATAATATAGATAATAATACATCTTGAATAGCTATAGTATGACATCACAACCAGGAGATTGATATTGCTGTAGTGCATTAATCACGTTTGTCTTTCACCAATTTAAGATGCGTGTGTGTGTGCTTGTTTCTGTGTAATTTTATCATGTGTAAACTCACATGACCATCATCATATTCAATATAAGAAAAATTTCAACACAGGGATTCCTTGTGCTACCATTTTATAGTCACGTCTACCTCTCTCCTCCTCTCCTTCCTAAGTTTTATGAACTTTTAATTTGTTTTTCAACTCTAATTTTACCATTTCAAAGACGTTGTATAAATGTAACCATACTGTATTTTGAGATTTTTAAAAACTCGTCATAATGTTCTTGAGATCCAACTCAGTTTTATGTATCAATAGTTTATTCATTTTTATTACTGACTACTATTCCATTGAGTGAAGGTCCTGCAGACTCTTTAACCATTTATCTGTCAAAGGACATTTAGATTGCTTTCAGATTTGGTTCAATACAAATAAAACTGCTATATAAAATTGTTTACAAATTTTTGTGTAAATTTAGGCTTACATTTCTCTGGGAAAAAATGTCCAAGATCAAAATTACAAGGCTGTGGGGTAACTGCCTATAGAATTGTTTAAAACATTGTTATAATCTTCCAGAGTGGATATACTCTTTTAGATTTCCACCAGCAATGCATGAGTCCTCCAATTTTTCTCCATTCTCACCGGCATTTGGTGTTACTTTTCTTTATTTTACTCATTCTGGTAAATGTATAGTAATATCTCATTGTGATTTTAATTTTCACTTCCCTAATGGCTAATAATGTTGAACATTTCTTCATATGCTTATTTACCACCTGTATACCTTTCCAGCTAACTGTTCATATATTTTGTCCATTTTCTAACTGGATTTTTTTTGTACAGTTGAATTTTGGGAGTTCTTCATATATTCTAGGTACAAGTCCTTTGTCAGAAATGTGGTTTCAAACATTTTCTCCCAGTCTATAGTTTGTGTATTTGTCCTCCTAATAGGGTATTTCACAGAGCAAAAGTTTTAATTTTGAAAAGACTCAATTGATCAATTCTTCATTTATAAATTTTCATTTTATAGATCATATTCATTTTCATTTCATTTCATTTTCATTTTATAGATAGTACATTTGCTTTTAATTCTAAGGATTGTATGCTTAGCTCTAGATTTTCTTCTACTTTCATGATAAATATTTTGATGATTAATTTTGAGTTGATTTTGATATAAAATGTGAGGTTCACCTTAAGAGTTTGTTTTTATCATTTGTTTCCTTTGGTGCCTGTGAATGGCCAATCGTTCCAGCACCCTTTGTTCAAAATGTTATTTTTTTCTCCATTGAATTGCTTTGTACTTTTGTCAGTAATTAGTAGGCCATATTTGTGTGGAACTACGTTTGGGTTTTCTATTTTGTTCCATTGATCTATTTGTCTATTTCTTTTCCAGAACCAATATGTCTTGTTTGCTGTGACTATATAAGCCATAATATGAGCAGAGTGATTAATCACACTTTATTCCTTTTATTCAAAATTATTTTATCCATAATATACAGTGTGATTGATTGTCCATATTAATTTTATAAGCTTAATATATCTACAACAGATCTTGCTAAAATTTTGAAGAAATTGCATTTAAACCTATAGATTACCTTGAAAAGAATGGATAATTTACTATATTGATATTTCCAGTTCAGGAACAACATATATGACTACATTTATTTATGTCTTCTTTGATTTCTTTGATTTCTTTCATCATAATTTAGAAATCATCAACATATAGAAACTATGTATGTTTTGTTACTTTTTGTTGAATCAATTGTAAATGGTATTTTGTTCTTTATCCACAAGTTCATTATTTTTAGGTAGAGATGAGAATGATTTTGTATATGTGTTAATCTTGTATCTTAAGACCTTGCTAAATTCCCTTTTAGTTGTAGGCATTCTTTTGTATATTACTTAGGGTTTTCTATATAGACGATTATAATGTTGTATATAGGAACAGTTTTATTTCTTCTTTTCCATTCTATGTGCCTTTTATATCTTTTTGTTGCTTTTTGTGCTGTCTAGAATTTCCAGTACTATGTTGGATAAGTGGATAGAGCAGATATTGTTACCTTGTTCCCAATCCTAGAGCAAAAGCATTCAGTCTTTAACAATTAAGCAAGAAGTTACTGCAAGTTTTTGTAGACTTTTTCCATCAAGTTAAAAAAATTCTCCTCTATTCCTAGTTGTTAGGAGCTTTCAATCATGACTGAGTGCTGGATTTTATCAAATATTCCTCTACATCTATTGATATGATCAAATAATTTTTCTTATTTACCCTATTGATACAGTGGCTTACACAGATTAATTTTCAAATGCTGAACCAGCCTTGTATAACTACAATGAATCCTATTTGGTCATGATGCATAGTTTTTTGCATTGTTGGATTTGATTTGCTAATATTTTGTCGAGTATTTTTGCACCCTGTTTGTGAGAGATATTGGTTTGTAATTTTCCTTTCTCATAATGTCTTTATCTTTTTTTCATATATGGTACTGTCGGCCTCATAAAATGAGTCAGGAAGTGTTCCCTCTGCTTCTATTTACTGAAACACATTATTGAAATGTGGTATCATTTTCCTTAAGGTTTCACCAGTAAAAGCTTTTGGACTTCATATGCTCTTTCTTGAAAGATTATTAATTATTGATTAATAAAATTTACCAGTAAAACCGTTTGGACTTTATACTTTGTTTTCTGAATTGTTATTAATTATTGATTCAATACATTTAATATTTTTAGACTAATTCAGATTACAGATTTCTCATTGTGTGAGTTTTGGTAGATTGTGTCTTTGAAAGAATTGGCCCATTTCATGTAAATTATCAAATTTCTAGGCATAGAGTTGTCTATTTCATCATTTTAATGTATATTATCAGTAGCAGTGACTTCTCCTTCATTTTCGATATTGGTTATTTGTGTTCCCCTTCTCTCTCTCTCTCTCTCTCTCACTCTTGCTCTCTTGTTACACTAACTAGAGGTTTATTAACTGTATTTATTATTTCAAAGAAGTCATTTTTGGTTTTATTTTCTGTATTTTCCTGTTCTTAATTTTGCTGAGTTATAACATTATCTCTGTTATTTCGTTCCTTCTGCTTATTTTGGGTTTATTTTTGTTGTTTCTTTTCAATTCTCTTAAGGTGTGAGCTTAGATGATTGGCTTGAGACCTTTCTTCTTTTCTTTTGTAAACATATACTCTTATAAATATCATTCTCAGAACTATTTTAGTTGCATACAAAATATTTTTCTAAGTTATGCTTTTATTTTATTTTAATACTATAATTATCATTATTTTACAAAGCACTCATGTGCCCCAACAAAAACAATATACTAGGTAATATAGTTATTAAATTTAAAAAAATCCCTTCTTCTCTTATGAAAAACCATGTTGGAGTAGGCTTGCAGGCTTTTCTCCGAACATGTGAACATGAATTGCTATGTGAATACATATAAAATACTAATGTGATAGAAAGGGACAATTGAGGGGTTTCATTTAACACTTTATTAATGGTCCTTATTCCATGTAATGAGGCTGAAGTGGTTTGCTGCCAGGTTGTTCGTTATGTTTATTCCAACTATGTAGTCAAAACCTAGGGCAATAAACACATAGGGTTGCGTATTCACACGACTATATTGTGAGTAGATCTAGTCAAATTTCCACTTATAAATTAATCTTTGCAAGCTCCTAATTTGAAAGGTGAGCATGTGTTGCACATTAGGTTAGTGTAAATTCAGAGAAAGAACCCAGTCCTTTCCATAAATTCTAAGTATGTCCTCATTCTTAATGGATGGACATGACACTCTAGTAAATGGCTATAGGTTTCTTTAGAAAGACTGAGAAGAAGATTGCCTAACACAATAGAAAACCTTGGTCTAGCTCAACCATGTTAATCTATTCACTTTTGTATTTGTTGTAGAGGTGGGCTTGTGATGAACTCGTTGCCAATAAGACACACTGGAAAATCTTTTGAGAGTCTTCTTTGTAAAATCTTTCCCCTGATAAAAGATAGAGCCTTTCCACTCTGACTTGCATGCTAACGCTCTTGAAGACATGATACATACTAGAAAGTTTGTACTGAGTTTTCAAAATCACAAGATAGCTGATAGCCATAAGACAGAAAAGTTGACCTAGGTTGGGAGCAGTGGTTCATTCACTTGTTATTCCCTGTAACTGGAATGTTCTTTCCCATAAAACATCTTGCCTGAATGCCTTGATTCTCATAGGTCTTTATTAAAATTTCACTGTCTCAGTAAAGTGTGCGATTGTTATCCTATTTTAAGTCTACACTAACCTCAATTATCTCTCTCCCCATCTACCATTAGATTCATTTCTTTAGACTTCCCAAGATATAACATTTGTGATTTCGGTCTTCTTTATAGACTGAATTACACCACTAATTCATGAATTATATGAAGGCAGAGAATTTTGCCTACTATTTTCTCAGGGTCTAAAACTGTACCTGACACATAGTAATGTTTAACATTTGTTTAGTCAATAAATGAATTAACCACCTGTCCTAATAATGAAGAATGAGCCATGTGGTACGAAATGTTTGGGTTCAAATCCTTGTTTAGCTACTCTGAAGTTGAGTAATGTAAGGAAAGTTACTTATCTATGGTTTGATTCATTCATCTTTAACATTGGAAAAATAATAGTATTTATCACATAGTATTGTTAGGAAGATCACAGGAGATGGTATATGTAACATATTTTGCAGAGTGCCTTGCACATAAAAAGTGCTAAAATGTTAGTTATTATTATAATTATTTTTCTTATTGTTATATCAATATAAGATTTAGACATATCATCATAAGTATATTATTAACATTGGTTAATTTGGGCGACCTTCTTGCTATAACACATATTTTATATTACACATTTCTGTATTGTTCAGGACAAAATAGTTATTAAAAAATTCTTTATCTGTAGACCCTTATATATGGATTTGTCTTCAGTTTGTCTTCTTTTCTTTGGAAACAATTTTATTTTAATTATACTCATTACTTTCCACCAAGAAATGATTATAGATATAATTTTCCACTTCTCTAATCCTCAGGGAAGCTTGATTTTTAATTCTTTTGCTGGCCCAAAGTCCAGCTCTCACATTTGAAGTTTTATTCCTTGGGGCTTTCCTTCTCAACTCCCCAGGGTCTTGCTTCCCATTTGCTCCACCACTGTGCAGTGGTTCTTCTATTAAGAATGTAGCAGACCTACTACAGTTATCAAAAGCAGCAATATACTCAAGGAAATTTTAAAGGTCTTATAGACTCCCCTAGTGCTTTCCTCTCGAGAAATCCATGGTTTTTCACTTCAGTCAACATTTAAATTATTTTACTAACTACCTGTCATGATCAAAAATTATTTGTTATATTTCAGTAATCTCAAAAGGAATGAGAGGACAATACTATAAAGCTTTTTTGAGTTTCTGTTTCTTATTATAACATTTTTACTAAAAATTATGTGGTTAAAAAGTACAAAGAAATAAAAACTTATAAAACAATTTTTTTAAATTATGTTATACAGCATAAATGTTAATATATCTTAAGGTTTTTGTATAATTCTGTGAGTTATGTTATATACACCCACACTGAATCACACATACATGCACATATATATGTGTGGGGGTGTTATGTGTGTGTGTTATGTGTGTGTGTGTGTATACACACACACATTACACACAAATACATTAATATTTTAAATTTCCACTCTAGAATGAAGCATCTTGTACATGCTCAAATAACTATTCAGAATGGACTTACTTATTTTACTACTGTCACTGATTTTACTCTCATTATTGATTTTCTAATTCTTCTCCTTCTCCTTCATTTTCCTCCTCCTTTCCTTCCTCTCACTCCTCCTCCATCTCTGCCTCTCTCTCCCTTATTTTATCCAAAAAGAGGAGAACAATATCATCTCATTAGGTAAACTTACTTTCTTTAAAAATTGTAACTTAAAATTATTATTATATATTATCAGCCATTTGTAGTTTTTATTTTTGAAAGGCATGTTTCTCTCAGTTGTTTATTTTTATATCAATTAATAGATTTATATAGTGTACAGTGTTATAATTTTTATTAAGGTTATTATGAACTGAATTTTGTCCTTCTCAAATTTATATGTTGAAACTTTAAGCCCCAGTACTTCAGAATGTGACTGCCTTTGGAGATCTTTAAAGAGGAAATTAAGTTAAAATGTAGTCATTAGGGCAGGTCTTAATCCAGTGTTACTGGTGCCCTCACAAGAAACGGAGATGAAGATACAAACACAAACAGAGAGGACCACGTGAGGACACAGTGGGGGGATGGCCATCTCCAAGCCAAGGAGAAAGGCTATAAAAGAAACCAATCCTGCCAACACTTTGATATTGTGCTTCTAGCCTCCAGAACCGTGAATAAATACATTTCTGTTGTTTAAGCCACTCAGTCTGTGGTATGTTTTTATGGCATCCCTAGCAAACTAGTACAGGTTTTAATTACCCTATTATCCTTTTCCACTATAAATGTTGAGAGTATATTTTCTAGTTTTTTATTGACTTTTTTTTTTTTTGAGATGGAGTCTCACTCTTGTTGCCCAGGCTGGAGTGCAATGGCATGATCTTGGCTCACCGCAACCTCTACCTCCCAGGTTCAAGCAATTCTCCTGCCTCACCCTCCCAAGTAGCTGGGATTACAGGCGCCCACCACCACGCCCGGCTAATTTTTATATTTTTAGCAGAGACGGGGTTTTGCCATGTTGGCCAGGCCGGTCTCGAACTCCTGACCTCAGGTGATCCATCCGCCTTGGCCTCCCAAAGTGCTGGGATTACAGGCGTGAGGCCCTGCACCCAGCCTTGTTACTGACTTTTTAAAGTAAACTCTTCCGAATATGACATAATGCCAGAATGGTACAAAATTCATAATCATATATAGCTTAATACTTTTTTTTAAAATGAGTATACCTACATGACCACCCCAAATCAGTAATTAGACCATTATTAGCATCCCAAATCTACCCTTATTCTTCCTCCAGTTACAAACTTCATCCATGTATAAAGAGCATTCTGTCTCTGTTCATTAGATCTACATGGATCTCAAGTTTAGATATGCTCAGCTTTAGTAGATACTACCAAACAGTTTTCCAAAGACCTACTTACAGTGCCAGCAGCAGTATAGCTGTACATGAGAATGTCATTTGCTTCAAATCAATACCAACCAGAGATATCACCAGTTTTTATTTTAGCCATATATATTTTTCATTCTATTTTGTTTAAACTGGTATCTTACAGCTTTAAGCTTAATTTTTCTGTTGCATTTGAGATTGAACATCTTTTCAATTTCTTTTGGCCCAATTACACTTCCATTATATGACATCCTGGTTCAACAGCTTTAACCGTGTTTTAATTATTTTATCTTTTTCTTATTGACTTATAAGAATTCTTAATATAGACCATATTTTAATCTGCATGTATAGCACATTTTATCCATATTTCACCTTCCATTAAACTTTTTAATATTGTCCTTTAATTAGCAGAACTATTTAACATATTCCTATTTATTATGTTTCCTTTATGGTTAACACTCTGTATATCCTCTTTAAGAAATGTTCTGCCTATCACAAGGTCAAGAAGTTGTTCTCCTGCATTATTTTCTAAAAGTAGTTTTTCCAGCATTTAGAATTTAGAATTTTTAATTTTATGAATTATGGGATGAGATTTTCTTTTTCCTTTTTAATTCAAGTTTACTTTATTATCAGAAGTTTTAGCCTCTTGAATCTTTTTAACTTTTAAGTTCAGAGATATATGTTCAGTTTTGTTACATAGGTAAACTTGTGTCATGGGGTTTGCAGGACAGATTATTTCATCACCCAAGTATTAAGCCAGGTACTCATTAGTTATTTTTCCCATTTCTCTCCCTCATCCCACCCTCCATCCTCTGATATGCCCCAGTGTTTGTTGTTCTCCTCTATGTATTCATGTATTCTCATCGTTTAGCTCCCACTTATAAGTAAGAACATGTGGTATTTGGTTTTCTGTTCCTGCATTAGTTTGCTAAGGATAATGACCTTCAGCTCCATCCATGTCCTTGCCAAGGACATGATCTTCATTTTTATGGCTTCATAGTATTAATATATATTTTTAAAGATAAATATTTACTTCAGCCCGTATCATTTATTTTTCTTCTTCACTGCACTGCAGTTTCATCTTTGTCACAAACCAAGTCAACAGATATGCAATTATCTTTCTGGGTTTTCTATTGTCTTCCATTGATCTGTCTTTTCCTACACAAAAGCCATTTTGGTGACATATTTTCTCAGTTTTTGACTGTCTAAAAATATGTTTTGTTTATTTTTGAAGCACATATTTACGAGGTTTAAATTTCAAGGTTAATGATTATTTTCTTTCCAACCTATAAATATGTCATTATGTTTTCTTTTGGCTTTCTTTCTTTCTTTTGAAAGTCAACAGTAAGCCTTAGAGTTTCTCATAGAAGATAATGTTTTCATTAGGTTTGCAATTATTCACTTAACTGTAAACATATTTTCTAGTAACCTGTCTTTCAATATACTATTTGTCTTTTTCAATTCTGTCCTCTCTAGTGTTAAATTCTTCTACTGAGCTCTTTATTTCAACTACTATATTGTTCAGCACCAGAATTGCCATTGCACTTTTTACAGATTTTAGTTCTCTGGAACTCTAGTTTCCCAGAATCACATACTTTGCTGAACATAATAATTACAGCTCTTTTTAAAAATTTGTATTTGAATGACTATTTTTAAGTTATTTTTCTTTATTCTGCAGAATCAACAGAATTTTGATACATGGTGATTTGTATGCATGGTGATTTTTCATGGAATGCCAAATATTTGATTTGAAAAATTTTAAAAAGTTTTATATAATCTTATTTACATCTGGGAATCCTGATGAAATATTATTTTATTTTAGTCATAATCTGAAATAACAGCTTATGGTTGTCAATAAATTTTGATGCAGATTGCCTTAAATCCAATCAGAAATTAAACTGATTAAGGCTGCATTTTTAGACCTTTTTCTGATTTCCTCTTAATCCTAGGCTATATCCCTAGACCAGGTTAGGGTCTGGAATGTTGACAAGATCTCTATATCCTCCAAAGTTCCTAAATTCAAATATTTTTTATTCCTAGGAACATGACACTTCCCTACTCTCTGCACATGAAGGTTTCTGCAGGTCTTTTGATCCTCTCCCCCAGCATCAGGCATATGTGTGCAAATGGCTCAATGAGAGCAGCACAGTACGAGGCTTACTTCTCTGGGCTTCATATATTTTAGGGTCTCTGATTCCCCAAGTCATGATGACTTTGCCATCTCAGAACTCTAAATTATTTTCTCAGTCCCATAAAATTACCAAAATCTTTCTTAATGCCTATTCTCTGCAATTTTCTTCTTAGCTCTTAAGTTATGTGCCATATTTTCCTTGTAAACTGGTAAACTGGAAAACAGCTTAAAATACTGGGATAATCACAGTAATTGTCCTTTCTTATATTAGGACCTTGGCCTATAATGTCCCAACTGCATTGGGAGCTCTTAGGAGGCTTTCAAGTTCAATCATGTAACTGTTACTCACTGTAAAATATAAAATGATGTGGTTGGATTATGGCAATAATAATGATCCTAAAACGTGTGATGTTAAAGAGAGAATGGCCCAAACATTAAAATCAAATTGACTTTATTCTTACAACCTAAGACATTTTCAAAATTGTGTCAAGTTTTTAAACTGTGACGTTTTTGTTTTGATTGATATTTTTCTTGGGATTTATAGTAACTATTTCAAAATATTTTTAATAATATTACAAAAGCATTTAGGGCCTTAAGCAAATATTTGTTGACTGGAATTTCCTTTTGTCTATGTGCAGATTCATTTTCTTTAGAAGCTCATTGGTTATAGTTCTAATTTTGATAGGTAGCTTTTTGGGTCAAATGTCTACCTTAATCCTTTAGTTTCTTATTATTACATTCTCAGATTAGTTCTTCTCATGAAATCCATGTCTTTCTTTCTTATTTTGTTTGTTTCTGTTGCTGAGATAATTTTGTAAGTGTGAAGAGTTGTTATATCAGAATGCAGGATTAGGAAATAATTTAAGATATCCCATATATAAAATTATTTTAACTGTCCTAACTCATGATTGACACCTTTATTTGGATATAGGATTAACGTTTCAACACCATTGTTTTCCCAGAACTTACAATGGTATAGTTTCTTATGTCTGTTCTCATGACAGTAGACTGCATAGTCTTCTCTTCTGTAGATCATATAATTTTTCCCCCTTTGGCCCTCTCTCATTAATTGTACCATAATATGTATGGTTTAAAATCTAAAGATTTTGTTCCTCTTCAGCTTTGTTCCATATTCCTATATCATTTACTTAGCAATTTCATTGAAACTACGGCCCCCTGAGGGACACTAAATATATTCTTTCTTAGGAGTCAGAATGAATGCTGCTTTGAATTTCTTTTTCTGAACAGTTATTTTTATGAAATTGTAGTCAGGAATCAAAGTAAGTCCCTCCTCAAGTCAATACTTTAAAATGTGCAAAAAGAAAATAAAAATACGCAATACCTGAGTAACTTAAGAAAACAGTTAACATATCAGACATATTTCTATTTAGACCAATCACTTCAATTTCTAAGGTATCTTCTGTCAACTACCTTTGATAACTGTATCCATAAATCTTCTTTTCAATATTAAAAAAATATATTATTTTTCTAATATTAGCATCCTGAGCATACTTGTGGAAGGTCAAAGGTATATTTAATAAACTTACCAAAATTTTCAATATAGAGTTCTCTGTTACTCATTGTGCTAATATATCTACAATAGTTAAACATTTATGCAAATTCAAATATTAGCATCTTTTCCTCCTGTGAAAATAAATTTGTAAGTTTCCATTTGAACAAAATATTTCATTTATTTGAGTTATTACCATATGTAATTATACGAAGTGAATATATTTTTTAGAGCTGCCATAACAAAGTGCTACAAACTGGTGATATAAAACAGCAGAAATTTCCCTTCTGACAGTGCTGTAGTCTAGAAGTTCAAAATCAAGATGACAGCAAGGCCATGTTCTCTCCGAAATCTGTGGGAGAGAATGCTTCCCTTCCTCTTCAAGATTCTGTTTGTTGGTTTGTTTGTTTGTTTTTTCTCTGGCAATCCTTGGAGTTGCTTGTTTTGGAGATGCATCATTCTAATATCCATCCTCATGGTCATATGGACTTATTTTCTCTTTGGATCTCCATGTCTGTGTTTCTTGTCTTCTTATAGGGAACACTAGTCATTTTGTATTAAGGGTCCATCTTACTCCAGTATGATCCATCTTAACTAATTACATCTGTAACAATCCTGTTTTCATATCAGGTCATATTATTTCAAAATATGAAAATCCTAGGGGTTAGGATTTCAGCATCTTTGGGGGTGATACAAACAGGAGGCAGGGAAATACTGGGTAGAAGAGGGTGGAGTCCCTGACAAGGGTTCCACCCTCAAGCCTGAACCCCTGAACCCGTGGCCCTAAATGGAAACTTCACATTCCTGTTTTCCTGCCAGAATGTCGCCTTTTGGCCTGCCACGCCTATCCTATACCCCAAAAAACCCCAAGCTCCTGACAGAGGAGCAGAGCAGTGCAGCAGAGAAGGAGAGAAGAGATGAAGCACCTGACTATTAACAGGAGAAGAAGCAACTGAGCATTGGAGACCACAGATAGACGCGGCTTAACCTCAGATAGCACAGCTTCGGAGAGGAGCTCAGCCCTGTCCTGCTGGGCTTCAGGGAAAGGTCACCTTCTTCCAGGACCATCCCCTCTCCAGCTCCCCTTATACTGAGAGCTACTTCCACCACTTAATAAAATCCTCTGCATTCATCACCTTTCAAACAGTTCATAAGACCTGATTCTTCCGGGATGTCAAAGAAGAACCCGGGTACCAAGAGGATAGGGTATAAAAGGCTGTCATCACCCTGATTCTTCACTGAGCTGGTTAACACCTAGCCGTCCACGGACAGCAACTGCTAAAAGAGCATTCATTGTAACACACTCCTAGATGCTGCCTTGGGGCTGGAGCCCAAAAGTGCTCGCCCTGGCCCCGGCACTCACTTGCCTGCATGCTCCCCATCCCACAAGGGGTTTGAAAGCAGTGGCAGAGTAAGCAAGCTATACCCCTGTAGCAAGTCCCACAAAGGGATCAAGAGAAATCTTCCATCTCAGGGTGATCTAATTCAACCTGTAACACAAGAAAAATCTCTTAAGTTTTTATACAGTGTTTAATTTCAAATAGAATAGGACATATAATTCAATTACATAAAGCCAAAATTACTGAACTGTGGCATTACCGTATTTTGTGGTTTTTCAAATAGCCAAACTAACTTTCAGTTCATTTGGTTTATAATTAAATTATTAATATTTAATGCAATTAAGAATAGCAAATTAAACAAACTACTGCTCTTTTAGTGATTAAGTAAAACAAAAATCTCAATTTGAAAACAGACAGAAAATCATTTCAGATATCCTGAACATTTGCCTTTGTGTTCCCTTTTAGTATGAAAATTATTATGGTACTGTTTTCCATAGAGTATATAAATACAAGGAAAGATATTGAAAAGACATAAGGACCTAGATAAAGATACTTCAGAGGAACAGTACGTGTCTTTTATTTGTCTCAAGTTGATTTTTTTTCCTTTATGTTACTTTTTTATTCCTTATGATTTGGTCCAGTGATTCTTAATATTTTTGTGGATAAGCACCATTTAAGCAACATGTGAAACTGCTGAGCTCAGCACACAGAGATTCTGATTCAAAGCCTGTGGTGTGACATTGGTACCTATGTATTTAAGAGGCACTTTCATCCATATCTTGCCTCCACCACTGACCATGATTCTCATCCAAGTATAGCACACATCACTTTTTAAAACACACTTTTTGTTACTGGAAATGAATATCATAATATCTCAAATTATTTTAAGCTTTAAACATTTTCCATTAATTTGTAGAATTTTTTTTACCATTGATTTTGCTTTTTGTTACTAAAATTTGGATTTACCTGTGAGATTCTTTAAGGTTCCTACAACTCACTGTATTGAAGGGATCAAGCGTAAATAGATTAGCAAATGTGTGGGATTCCTTCAGCCGTAGGCAGAATACAACGCTATCTATTTCTGGAGCCTCTTTACCCCAATGCGTGGTTCTCTTTGGAATGGGTATTTCAAATAGATTTATTTCCTACACTTACATCTTTGTCCCAGTTCTAGCAGTGCAAGGTGCTCTCACTGCATCTCTTTTCTCTGCTGTCACAAATCGCTTCAGCCAATTCTAGTTCTTTGGTTTTTCCAACAAGATTCCGAAAATGGTGACTTTATGCCTTCTAAGTTCACGAGATCTAGAACAATTTATTTTGGAAACTTTTTTCAACCATTTCATTCTTGTAGCAATGCATGTTGGATTCAGCTATTTTACAGATCAGTAATCATCTCTTCAAGGGTTGAGTGTTATTTTGCACTCCTAGTAGATACCTTCACACTTCAAGAGGGGTTACTCCATTGAAGGGCATCATTTCCCCAAAGAGTGCTGGGGACACATAAACCAATCTGACAATTATCTTCAAGGAAATTCTCACTTGCTTTTTCGGATCAACTTCCTGTCTCTTTATAAACATAGACTTAATGTTGCTGATTGGGGAAGAGCTATTGAATATTTTTGAGACCTCTTAAAATGCAAATAGTTCAGCATTTCCTTTTTGAACTTCTGGAAATTTAATGGGTTTTTTTTTCTTTAGTTAATCAGCCTTATACAAATTGATCAGCCTGAGACAAATTGTAAAGTCCTATTAGAGGAGTCATCTAAACCAAGTTTTTCTGTTAAGAAGGTTAAGTATCAATGTTACATGCTATATAGGTTGCCCAAAGTGCCTAGGTTCTGACAATTTGCACTTTTTACCCATGTTTACTGTGATGAGGGCCATGTCCTGATGAATGGTGCATTGGATTTTTTTTCAATCTTATTTAAAGTGCACAAGATTAATAGTTGTATGTGGGGTGGAAGTTGCAGAAAGTAACTAAATCTGGAGAAAAGTTCCAACAGACCTGAAAGAGGCAAATTATGAAACTGAAAGAGAGTACAAACTAGGAGCACGTGAGCCAAGGAGAAGCAAGCAGGCAAGATTGGGAGGATACAAGGAACACTTTTAGCTGTGTATTACGGAACAGAGGAAGTATGAAAAACACACAGAAGAGATGAAACCTAAATTCTTTATTGACAACTGAGCCAAAAGAGCAGTAATAATACTCACTGCAACCTCCACCTCCCGGATTCAAGTGATTCTCCTGCCTCAGCCTCCCGAGTAGCTGGGACTACAGGCGCACAGCACCACACCAGCTAATTTTTGTATTTTCAGTAGAGACGAGGTTTCACCATGTTGGCCAGGATGTTGTCGATCTCTTGACCTCATGATGTGCCCACGTTGGCCTCTCAAAGTGCTGGGATTACAGGTGTGAGCCACCGCACCTGGCCCTGATTTTTTAAAATAAACCACATATTTAGTTATTCATATAATTTAATGGATGGAAATATAGGATTTGCAGTTGAAGCATGTCAAAATAAGTTGAGCATATAAGTATTACATTGAATGTACATTTTCTACTATACATAATTTTAAATATTAGTCTTTAGGTCGAGTCAATGTTTTGCCTATTAACCTAGACCCAAACTGTTTTTCTCAGTTATTTCAATCATGATGAGAGTTATACCACTTTGCTGATCCCTCAAACAATAAGACACTTAAGACATATGTCTTGCACTTGGGTATCTGTAGAAAAGTGCTTAGTACAAATAACTGGTTATCAATAGATTCATCTTTTCTCCTTGTTATCTCGAAGAAATCTTATTTTCTCCATTGAAATTAATCATTTTTATAATACTACACTAGATCATATATGGTGTTACATTATATTAAAACATATTTTATATATCTATAGAATCTGCATTTCTACTAAACATGAAGGTAAAATTTAGTTTCTTAATGCAAATAATGTGTTGTCTACTATAATCTATCACTTTATTTATGTATGTATGTATTTATTTATTTATTTATTTTTGAGACACTGTCTTGCTCTGTCACCCAGACTCAGCTCACTGCAACCTCCGCCTCCCAGGTTCAGGCGATTATCCTGTCTTAGCCTCCAAGTAGCTGGGATTACATGCACCCACCACTACACCCCGCTAATTTTGTTATATTTTTAGTAGAGACGGGGGTTTCACCATGTCGGTCAAGCTGGCCTCGAACTCCTTACCTCAGGTAATCCACCCGCCTTGGCTTCCCATTTTAAGTGAAATAATAGAAATTATGGTAGTCCTGGGCCATGCGAGGCGGCTCACGCCTGTAATCCCAGCATTTTGGGAGGCCGAGGTGGGCAGATTTCCTGAGCTCAGGAGTTCACAACCAGCCTGGGCAACATGGTGAAACCCCGTCTCTACTAAAATACAAAAAATTAGCCAGGCGTGGCGGTGTGCACCTGTAGTCCCAGCTACTCAGGAGGCTGAGGCAGGAGAATTGCTTGAACCCGGGAAGCAGAGGTTGTAGCCAGCTGGGATCGTGCCATTGCACTCCAGCCAGGGCAACAGAGCGAGACTCTGTATTAAAAAAAAAAAAAAAAAAAAGAAAAGAAAAGAAAGAAAGAAATTATGGTAGTCCAGATTTAGATTGAATTTCTTCACATTCAGAGCCTTTGTTTTCCACATGTTTGACGATGATACAGTTTCATTCTAGTATTAATTTATTTAATAGCACTGAATAAGATGAGATTTGTTTTTACATTTCACATTCTCAGTTAATGTATTTGTACAACACAGCTGGGAACAGTTGCAGTCATAAACTCAAATGATTACATGGTTTCTAAAATGAAGAAAAACTAATGGTACTGATACAGCACAGTTTTTAAATCAAAAGTTAAAATGTTAGGAAAGATTTGTTATTCAATTGTAGCTTTAGGCTGGTCTCATCATTCCCACCTGCCCCAATAAAATTAGTTCAGTCCAGTGTAATTCAATTACTACCATTAAAGGCAAGTAGCCTCTCAAGAGGGTGTGAAAAGCATTTGTTACAAATGTATTTTACGGTGTGTGAAATAGTTTGTATTTTTTACAGCATGTGGAGGAAGTAAATAATTTTCCATTTGTTAGATGAATCAAAAAGTTCAAAAAGATTATGAGAAAATAATGGGAAGAAAAGTGGAATTTATATTTCAATGTTATTTTTAATATTTTTAGTTTATTTTGCTTTGATGTTTGTGTGCGTGTGTGTACTTGTATGTGAATGTGTAATTCATTACACTCTCAGAATGAAGTGTCTAATTTTTTTGTTTATTTGAATATTCAATCAAATCTAAAATATAAATATAAGTGTACAAAAACAAGATAAAAACAAATATAAATATAAAAGTTTTGGAGGTAATAAACAGTTTTATGGTGCAGATCGTGATGGTTTCATGGGTGTATACTTTCCTCTAAACACATCAAGTTGTATACATAAAACATGTACAGGTTTTATATGTCAATCATATATCAATAAAACGATTTTAAAAAGAGAATTAAACAATAAACAATCATAATAATGTTATAAACTAACCATTCAAAATAATATAATAATATTTCATATAAAATTAAGACCCAGTAGCTGTTACTAATTGCTTGCAATATAATACATCAAGAGTGGGCATTGCCGAAAACTGTGTAGCAAGCCTATTATCACCACGAGTTGCAAATGTTAAGTAAACATCTACCTGTAATATGAGTTCTTCCAGGTGCATACTGGAGAATGAATCAATCATTTGGTACTTTTCTCCAGACGTCCTCTTTCGATTTGCCTATGCACTCAAGTTAGAAGCAAAATATTAACTGTTTATCTCATGTTCTCATTGTGTAGTTCATATTGCTTAGTTTGCATGTTTACTATTTAAAAGTTCTATTGTTTCTAGCCCTTAAAATCATAAATTAGTCTCTGGCCTTCTATTTCCATGTAGAACAAACTCACACTAGGGTGTAAAATACATTTTATGTGCATGTAATAAATTATGCAATTTATTTAAAATTGGTGATATGAATTAAATTATAAAATTATAAAATTTTACCATTATTCTCTTGATGGAAGGAGGTTTCTTCTCTGAGTAAAGGGCCTATAGCTTGCAGCTCACACCGATGCAAAAGTTAAAAACAGAAAATAGGAAATTTTGTTCTCTGAGGGTTAGAGTAAATTTTAGCATATTTTAATATTTAGGTCATGTAAAATGCAATGGTTATTGAAAACACAAGCAGGGAGGATGATGTTGTCTATTGTATATGAAAATATTCCTTTGAGCAACAACCATCATTTAGTTGTGCTCAGTTTTTACTAGAACAAACCCCTAAAGGAGGAAAGTTTCAGCCGAATTTTCTCATTCATCATGAAATGACATTTTGCTTTCAGTTTTTATAACCCAACCTGGTTCTTTAAATCTGCACATTTTATTATCTAACTGGTACGAAGACCTCAAAAAAAAAGTCTAAAAAGCCAATACATTTCTGCCAGCTGTGATCTGTGCTAATGTGAAAATAATACATTGAAGTATCAGTTGGCATCTTGCCTTAAGCTGTACACATGCAAGGCTGCTCTCACAAATATGCAGAGATACGCTTTCACAAATTATATTATTAAAGATGTGGCTCCTGGGAATAAGCTAGGATTCCTGACTTTGCTCTTCGGTGCTTTTTTTTAAAATAAATGTTTAAAGTAAAAGTCTTAAATTATATACAACAGGGGAAAACACTAAACCACAATTAGTGGATACATTCAATGAAAATTATCTATATCAATCAAATCACAGATTTTAGAGCACTGTGGTTTAAAAATGTATCATATTATTTTGCTAGCTCATATCACTTTGCCTTAATGTTTTTTTCTATGTACAGGAAAGAAAGAACAGTATTGTGGGTCAGGGGAAGAAAGGTGCAATAAATGGAATATGGCAAGATAATGAACTCGCGTTCCTGAAATACTGTCACTTCACCCTGTCTTTCTAAGTTAAAAACAAAAACAAAAACAAAACTGAAGCACACTCTTAGACTATGCTTCATGGCCATGATTTTAACCAAGAGCTCCAGAGGAGAGTGCAAGTGAAGGAATTCATCTGCTGGCATTAGGTAAGAGCTCAGGACGTTGTAGCAAAGAAGAAGGCCACATTCCCTACCCTGAAGCCCAAGGAAGATGAGTGAGCTTCTCTCTGTATCTCTGCTATTGGGTAACACTTTACCAAGTGGTTTTTATCTCAGGCAGATACTGCCACAGCACCCATTAGCTACTGGTTTGGTATTACCCAAATGATCCCATAACCTGTCTTAACAGCTGTTGAAAGTATACAAGATAAAGTATAATTAAAGAAAAATTTTACTGAATCAGTTCATTGAAGGAGGATGAGTAAATGGAGGTAGGAAGATGCAGCTAAAAATATGAAATCGGTTGCTCCTATTGAATTATAACCAGTGGAAAGAATAGAAAAAAAACTTATGCAAAATATAATAAAAAATTTCCAATGGCATAAAATTACAATGCAAAAATGTTTCCTGAATTGAAAAGAAAATAAAAACATGCTTTTTAAATGAACAGATTAAATGAACTTAAAAATAGAATGCCACTGTTAAACTCTGAATTGATGTTCTGAAAGATCAAATGGAAGTACGGTCTGACAATAACAAGAATGTAAGTTCCAAGATGGCAGATACACATCTGCATACTTTTCTCTACTTTCAGCACCTAGCCAATAAAAGGGGCTTAGCAAATGCTTGTTAATGAAGATATAATCAACACATAACGACTTCAAGGTTAAGAATGAAAGATTAGTGAAACAGTAAGTAAAGAGATCAAACATGAAGACAGAAAATTGCAGGAGAAAATCATTAGCTTATGATGTTACAAAAGCAGAAATGATAGGACTTATTCTCTAGCAGCAGAGATATCCATCAACTATTATGTGTATATATACACATGTAAATATATATATATAATCAGTGAAAAATACAGAAAGTATAAATAATAGAATATTATGTATCGAATGATCCAATTTTTAAAAAAACACAATTATAATATTCTGGTAATTCAAAATAAGTTTAAATAAATGAATCAATGTGTGTATGAACTTAAGAACAATGTGCAAACATAACATGGCAGGCATTTGTTAATGTTTACATCAGGACAGTAGGATGGGGGTAGAAAGAAAGCAGTTATCATTTTTCTTTATGCATTCTGAACATTTTCTTTTTATTTGTAATGAGGTTTTCCTCATTACAAATCTTGGGAATCTAAGATGTTTGCAATCTCATCAGCTGTGAGTCGGAAAGACAAGTGGTATAATGGTTGAGAGTGCAGATGAAACGGGAGGAGTTTTCCCTTATCCCCCTAGCAGGGCATGCGACAGGGGTGTGGCTTGCTTCTTCTGCGCCCCACAGCTCAAACCCCTAGGGGGATCATGCAGATGGGCAGGTCGTTGGGAGCTTGGGCTCCGACCCCACGACCGCAACAGCGTCTAGGTTGAGTATTTACAGCTGCCAATGCTCTAGTGGGCATGTGTTACAGTGCGCTCTTTCAGCTTAGCAGTCTGGAGGCAGCTTTTGTTAATCAGCTCACTTAGATAGCGTACAGGAAGAATCAGATTGCCACATGGGCTTGCAGAATGAGTGCAAGGTTTTACTGAAGGGTGGAAGTAGCTCTCAGCAGATGGATAGGGAGCCAGCAGGGGGATGGAGTGGGAAGGTGGTCTTCCCCTGGAGTTGGGCCGCTCAGCTGCCGGGCTCTCAGCTGAATTCCCCTTGGCGTCCATGTCATCGACAGCCTACTGACATCTGTCAGTGTGTTCTTCTCCCCGTGTGTTCCTCTCGATGTCCAGCTGCCTGTGTGTGTGTGCCTTCTAGGGTCTAGGGGTTTTTATGGTCACAGGAAGCGGGGCATTGCGGGCCAGAGTGGTCTTGGAAAATGTAACATTGGGGTGCAAAAACAGAAATGCTTGTCCTCACTTAGGCCCCTGAGCACAGGCCCGGGGGTGGAGCCTTCACCAGGGATCCCGTCCTTCCCCACCCAGCACTTTTCTGCCCCGTTTCCGTATCACAGACTCTAGGGTCAAACTGCTTGGATAGACATTCTGGTTTTTTTCTATATAAAAGCTACATAAGCATTTTCCTCTGTCTTCCTTAGTTTTTTTTTAAATTTTTTAATATACATAAAATGGAGATGAAAGTGGTAATTTCAGCCTCATAGGGTTGTTGTAAGGTTTAAATAAATTAACATATACAAAGCATTTAGAAGAGTGGAGAGAACAGAGTATCTTCATAGATGTTAGCTGGCATTATTATGCAGCGTAAAACTGGAACAGAGTGAGTAGAGTACAGGACATTTTATCTACATCTGAAATCCCTAAAGATTCTAGCAAATTTGAAAGCCAGACTGGTTAATGCTGTTTTACAAAATAGCCCTCTCTCACAGAATCACCCAGTCACTCTAGAGATGGAAGGTAAGCTGAATTCATCCCTATTGCCCCCGGACTGATAGGATCTTTTGAAATTGACTCCGCTCAAGATCTGTAAGCCTTCTAGCCACTTCCGTAGATATCATTTTATGCCAGGGTCCCTGCGGGGTGTGGAGGTAGAGGAAGACACCATTAACCCAGTGTGTTTTGGCAAAGAGGGAGATTTCCAAATACCTCTCCCAATGCTCCCTAAATCTGAAAACATTGGTGTAGATAATTCTAAAGATGAAGTACAAATATTCTTGGGTGAGGTTACAAGGATATTTTCCTGCAGATGGATTTTAGAGCTTTTCTGAAGAACAGTTTTTCAGTTACAATGTATAACTGATGTGAGAATAAAGGTTTGTAACTGGCAGGGTGGAGTTAGCTACTTTGCAATTTGGCGTTAAAACTGCCCTCACATACAAAAATGCGTGTGTGAATATCCATCAATATCTTCCCTATCCATTTGGCAAGATCAGTTATTGATTATATTATAGGCTATCTCCCAGGTTTTAGAAGGTTCCTTTTAGCTTTGATTCGAGAGGGCAAAAAAGAGACAAATTGCCTAAATCTTTGCTTGAATTCTTAAAATCATAATCCCTAACATATAATTTGTATTGCTCATGATTTTAATGTTAATATTTACTTATATTTATTTATCGACATCATAGTCTTTTTGTTCTCTTGTATGCCTTAATATGAAGTATATTTTGTTTACAGATAAATTAGTGTATGTATGTTTGTGTACATGTATATGTATGTATATGTAAAAAGTAGTTTAACATGAATGTCCTCTGTACTTCTCTACATATTTATCTACTTATTCAGCTATTTCCATTTAGAAGCTGCCTGCTACCTTTTTGTAGGTGTTCATCATAATATAAGTAAATCCCTATCAAAAGACACTTATATAATAAAAATGATGCAGTATACATCTGTTACAAATATTTTGGTGAATTTATCTGATTTTTTCTTACAATAAAAATTAAAAATAAAATTCTAGTAAAAGGACTTTTAAAAAGAGTTTTGGATATCTAATGACAAAAAATTTTAGCATATTGCATACAGCCACAAAACATATTTACTACTAGCCATTTTAAGTTTTATTAAGTGGAAAGATGGGGAAAAGAACATCGGATTATTACTTTTTGTTATATTTATTTGATTACTAATGTTGCTGTGGCAAATATCCATATTCTAATTCTGGGCACATATTGGAAATGGCTGGCAGCCTATGAACCCAAGTCTTTGCAGGCATGACTACAGCCACCAGTTACCTGGGCATGTTGGCAGCCTCAGAATTTTTGGAGCTGTCCTCACCCCCTTATTTTGACTTAACATTCCTCATATTCTAATAACCCAATTTGTCTCCCCTCACCTTTAGGCCATCAAACTCCAGATGATCCCCAGTAAGGGGTACCATCCTTTCAATATTCAAGAGGTACCTTCTACAAGGGACCCCCTAGAATGCCCAACAGTGAAACGGGAAAGAGGCAAAACCCTGCCCCTGTCTCTATTGGACCTGGCTGCATACCACTTTCACCAACCCGTGGAGTCACCCTCCTGCCCTGACAGCTAGAAAGAGGCCAAGACCAACAGAACCACCACTTCCCCTTTGTCAGCAGGAAGCAGTTACAGAACACTGACCTTTGTCCATTTTCCCCCAAAGATTTAGGGTCTTGAGCTCTTGAGAGAGGCATTTTACCAGTAGTTAGGCATGAGCGGGGCAGGAGAGGGCTCTTCCCCCACCCACTAGGAATGTCAGGTGATGGTCTGGCAATTACTACATTGCCTCTCTAGAAGTGACAAACTCACAGCCAGTGCTGGGAGAAGCCATTTCCTCATGGTCCACAACTGTTGAACTAAAGTGTTGATTAAATGCAGATGCCAGGGAGATACAACCTCCCGAGCATGTGCATTAAGAGATGAAATGGCAGAGGATGACCTACTAGGGCACATCACTGGAAAAGGGAAGAAAACCTCAGATGGGCATGCGTTCAACTTCCTAAACACCCTGCGTGTGCTCACTTCCCAAGGGTAACCAGGGCACTGCACAGGTGGGCAGTCAACCCTAAAGGAAGGATCATGGGAAAGGGACACAGGACTGTGGAGGTGGGCCAGCCTATCGAGTCCAAGGATCAAGGTTAAACATTGCACTTGTTCTTCCGGTTGCCTATTTAGGTCTCTTCCAAACGCACTTTCCTTTCTTTTCTGCTCTAAAGCTTTTTAATAAACTTCCACTTCTGCTCTGAAACTTCCCTCCATCTCTTTTTCTCGCTTATGCCCCTCAGTCCAATTCTTTCTTCTGAGAAGGCAAGAATTGAGGTTGCTGTAGACCCATAGAGATTTGTTGCCAGTGACTCAGATACTTGCCACTAGTGTGTCTAAATATATTTTCCATATGTTTGCCCCCTTTTTTTTCTCAGTTTTTGTATGAATTTACATTCTAAGCTGATTTTTCTATAACATTTTGAGGGTTATCTTACTGGTCTGTATAAATACTTTTTTATAAATTAAAGGTATTAGCCAGGTGCAGTGGCTCACACCTGTAATCCCAGTACTTTGGGAGGCCAAGGTGATTGAATCACTTGAGGTCAAGAGTTCAAGACCAGCCTGGCCAACATGGTGAAACCCCATCTCTACTAAAAATACAGAAAAAATTAGCCAGGCATGGTGGTGTGTGCCTGTAATCCCAGCTACTTGAGAGGCTGAGGCAAGAGAATCATTTAAACTCAGGAGGCAGAGGTTTCAGTGAGCTGCAATCGCACCACTGTACTCCAGCCTGGGCAACAGAGTGAGACTCAGCCTCAAAAAATAATAATAATAAATATAATAAAAAATAAAGGTATTGATCCTTCAACTATAATTTTATATTATACTTCCCCCAAATTTGCCATTTGTCATGATTTTAATAGGTTTCCTTTTAGTCACCCAAAAGTTTGACACCTCACATGGTATGCATTTTAGTGTCTTGGGAAGACATTCTCCCTTGAAATAGCACATGAATGTTAGTTTTCTAATAGTTGTAAAGAGAACAGACTTCTGGTATGCCTTTTACTTGCATCAAGAATTTCTCTGGGCAGCATAAAGAGCCTCATAAGCTTCAGAATCATTATCTAATTGATTACTATCAGTAAAAAATTTTACTTTTTTTAGAGAGAGAGAGTGAGAGGAGGCACATTTACTAACCTTCTTCATAGAGGAAGAAACTGCAACATAGTGCGATTTGTCCAAATGACCCCCGTCATTCCACAGAACAATAGCAGAGGAAAACTCTGGTCTCTGCTCTCCAGACCGTTCTAACTCACCTAGCCTCTTATTCAGTCTTAGCTTTTGGAAGCTGAGATTTTAGTTATACTCATCCACTTAGATTCCAAGGGGTCTGTAGTATGAAGTACATCAGATTTGCAATATTCAGGGCCCTGAGCAGACTGGGACAGCAAAAATGACCGCAGGAAGCAGGAGGTAAAGTAGAATAATTACAAAATGCTGGGATGCAAGCCATCCCTCAGTATGAACATAAATACAATTTTTAGCATTGCCATGAATCCTAGTGTGAAAATTGTTAGATAGCTGCCAGGATAAATGTCAGGTGTGGTTCTGGAGTGAGAGGACATTGAGATGCATCAAATACAATCTTTCCTTGACGTTGTTCCTATTAATGAAATTTCACCTACTGGGTACTTAATTGTATAGAAGACTCTGCTAGAAAGAATTCTGATTGCCACACTGGAGCTCTAATAAAAATCCAGCATATAAAGAATGAATATGTCTGGGTGTGGTGGCTTATGCCTGTAATCCCACAGGTGCAGTTGTTCATGCCTGTTATTCCAGCAATTTGGGAGGCTGTGGTGGTGGATTACTTGAAGCCAGGACTTTGAAGCTTCAGTGAGCTATGACTGCACCACTGCACCTCAGCCTGGGTGACAGAGAGACCCCATCTATATTTAAAAAAAAAAGAAAAAAAATGATAAATGTGAACAAGAAAGAATGCCTCTCTAAGTCCTTTTGAATCTTTAAGCACATTTCTAGCTGGCTTCTTAACAAGAATAAAATACCAGGTCTTTACTAATAAAACCCCCAAAACATTGTTTTCTCAGATGTTTGAGACAATGAGTTACTGTAAAAAAGCAGGAGATATCGATCTAAATAATCTTTCTTTCATTTCAGCTGTGTACCTGAACTGATTATAACACAGCTTTACCTGTTATGATAACAGCCATTTTATTCTCAATGTATTAGAGTGGCTATGATATTTCTCTTTATTGTCTCCATGTACAGGTTGAGCACATTTCACAGGTTCAGCCTGGATTATCCCTGGAGATGCCTGATCACTTATGGAGTCTTGGGGGATAAAGGTCTTGTACTTGCTAAATCCCCTTATAATAAATGTGCAAGACATTTAAAATTAAACAGAGTCCTTATTAGCATTCTAGGCCAAATCAAAAAGAGAAGGCCAGATGTCTACACTTGATATGAATGTTAGTGACTTCTAAAGGTCAGTAGCTCCAATATTACTAGTGGGTGGGTCCAGAATAGGAGTACAGTTTGGTGAATTTTTTGATAATTCCTTATGCACCTTTCATTTTCTGTTACAAAATAAAAATACAAAAATTTATTGGGAACTAAACAAAAGAAGGTTATTCTTTTGCTTGAATCACTCTTTTTTCCCACAATTTACTTTACTTGGTTATTTGAAATCATCATCTTAAATGTTTTCTTTCCCACAATTTAATTTAGCACAGTTCATTCCACCAGTAGCCAATGCGCCACTCTCCCTTTCATTTAGTTAAGCCACCCATTGCCCATCCTACTTAATATGCAGGTAAGCATTGTAAGATTGACACATTTATATCTTAAAATTAGCAATTTGTTAACTAAATGATCTTGAGAATATTGATTAACCACTCTGTTCCTAAGTTTTCTCCCTAAAACTACATACCATCACCTGGAATTTTAAGAGATTTTAATGAAAAATAAATATATAATACTATGTGCCTACTATGTGTCAGGAACAATTCTAAGCACTTTCTATATATTGACTCATTTAATATTAACCTTTAAGATAATCTTCTGAAAGTTAGTATTATTCTTATTGGACAAATAGTAGTAGTACAAGTATCCCAGTATTGCACAACTATTTAGTGGCAGAGTTCGGACTTAAATGTAAACAGCATATCTCCATCACCTATAACCTTAACTATCATCCTGTACTAGTATAAGGAACATGCTCAATAACCCTTAGCTCCCTTTCCAATTTTGTCAATCCTAGATGTAAAAGAAAAATAAAAAATGAAAGAAATAGTGTAAGTGATTAAGTGGCGTTCCATCTAAGCAGACAGTTTAGGGAATGTTCGTTTTATTGATTTTTATCTTCTAGGTGATAAAATATCTTCTGGTGTCTTGACTGACTGATCTTAATCAGGAATGAAAAGAAACAGAACAAGGCCACAGACACTAACCACTGTACGTTGCCCATGGCATTTGATCATGTTTCCCTTCCACCCTCCATCTTCTACTGTCTCACCTCAATGATGAGCCATCTCTCTGGCAAAGCTCACTATAAAGACACCACTCAAAAATAAATCCTCCTTCAGTTCTCTAGCTGCCTGACATTTTTTAATAGAATGACTCCAGCACCATATGTCAGAAAGTCTTATAAACAGCATATCTCGTCACCATCCTTTGGATCCATCAAGCCTCAATAAGAGTGAGCAAAAATGAAAAGGAGATAATGAAGGTCTATTATTTTATTTTCCAAGCACCAGTAAAGAAACTTATTCATAGATCTTTGAGAATGATACATTTGTTTAATATTAAAATAATGTTATTTTTCTGAGTCACATTTTTGCATTACCAGTGTATTACTGGGCTATGGTAGGAGGAAAAGAGTAATAATGAAATCATGAAATGGTTATTAAAGCTTCCCTTCAAAAGTCTTATTTGTTATGTCTGTCCTTTCGATTGACCAAGGGAAGTCACACAGCCAAGAATTATGTCGGTGAGACAGGGAATATGACCCCTGCACACAGAGGGGGAACTAAATACTTGGGGAAAAAATAACACTCAGACCACCTTTCCAAATATGAAAACTAGGGCAATGCTGTCAGAGAGCCTGATTAAGTCAGTGTAAGGAAAATCTATCCCTGTTACTCACAATGCTTACGCAAGCACATGTACTTCTGGAATATCTTTATTTCCAATGGAACATGTATAAGCCCAAGAAAAAATTAGCTTGTGTCACTGACTGTTTAAAGCTTGTATATTAAATTTAAAAAGTGTTTTCCATATTGCCAAAAGACATATCCACAATCTTCTTCCTTAATTGAGATATGATAATTTTAGTGTTTTTTTTTCCATGCAGTTTTTTTTCTCTTTAATTTCAGAAATTTGGCAAAAAGCTGCAATACCCCATTGCCTTCAGGGAGAACTTTGTTATAGAACCCCAAGAAGGATGAACCTACAAGTTAAATCTCTTGGCTTTTTCTTCCTAAAGCTTGAACTACTCCTGTTATTGTGCAAGATGTTATAGAAAGAGACGAGATAATGCTTTTGAGGAGAAGGGGAGAAGAATGGTGAGGGTGACAGAGAGGAGAGAGAGAGAGAGAAAGAAGGAAAGAGACACTGAACAGAAAGGAAGATTACTAAGATGAGTAGATGGTGGGTGACTGCATAGAGGATGTGGAGACCTCAGTAGAGATGGCTTAGTGTTGTAGAGATGGATCTTAGTGTAGATTTCAGCTTCAGCACAAGTTTCAGGTTACACTTGTGATTTGGAATCAGGATCGGGGACGCTAGAATCTTGACATTAAAAAATGACAATGGTGGTTGACCACGGTGGTCCGAAGATTAAACATCATTACCCATTTCCAAGCACCAAGCAAATCTGTAAAACTTGTGTACCTTCTCATCAGCCAGCCAAGATGGCAGCATGTGGTCCGAATTAAACTAATTTAAATAAAATTAAGGAACTGTATATCTCTGAGATACTTGATTTTATGGTCTGAGATGCGTACCTTCTGTAATTAACAAAGGGATTTGATTTTCAGTATTGCCAATGTCGTATAATTATAGATTTGAAATTAATTTTTTTCTCCCACTTTCTTATGTCTACTTAGTTCGCTCTTACGTACAGATAGAAAAGAGAGAAAAATCATGTTTGAATTATTAACATGGGAACTTGTGAAAATACCCAAAATATTTTCACTATTGTCAGTGAGAAAGGGATGTTAGGAAAGAAGCTAGATATTATTTTATCTCAGATCTAATATGTCTTAGGGTCTCTTGGCTTCTTTCCTTGATTCATGGCTTCTCCCAGCCTCATTTCATCCCACTCATATCCATCACCCTAAAGCATCCTTTTGCACACATCTTGACCCAAGAATCTGTAGTGGTTCCCTGTTTCTGCGAAATCAAATCCAAGTTTCCAAGTTCTCATATTCATCTTCAAGGCCTCCCATCCCTGGGTCATGCCCAATATGTGTAGCTAAACATCCAGGTCCTACTGTTTTTTTTTTTTGTTTGTTTGTTTGTGTTTCACTGAGTCCCTCCTCTGTGTCTTTTCTCTTTGCTTTATGTCCCACATACAATTTTCATCCACTTCCTCTCTGCGTTTATTTCTTAGCATTTAAAACTATATTTTTGAGCTTCACCTTAATTATCTTCAAATAAAGCAAGACTAGAATGACTGTTTGAGGTTGTTATTAGAATTGAAGTATAACATTTCGGAAGTTCATATTATCTGTTAAGTTCATAGTATCTGTTAAGTGCTTGGTGCTTAATAAATGTGCATTCCTTTCAATTTTTCCAAAAATAATATTTCTATCTTTAGATTATTATTCTTTAACTCAGTTGTTCTTATGCTTTTCCTTATGTGGAAACTGATATTATGCACCAGTACCCAGTTACCTAACTACATTGAACCAAACCTATGTATCTCAACTTCTTGCCACCTCCGTTTCCAATGTCCTAATTCAGATATTTTAATTAAATTATCTTGGCAAAGCCTAGCATAGTGGCTCACGCCTGTAATCCCAACACTTTGGGACGCTGAGGCAGGCAGATCACTGGAGCTCAGGAGCTCGAGTCCAGCCTGGCCAACATAGGAAAATCCTTTCTCTAGTAAAAAGTACAAAAATTAACTGGGCATGGTGGCATGCACCTGTGGTCCCAGTTAGTTGGGAGGCTGAGGTGGGAGGATCACTTGAATTGGGAGGTGGAAGTTGCACTGCACTCCAGCCTGGGTGACAGAACAAGACCCTGTCTCAAAAAAAAAAAAGAGAGAGAGAGAGAATCCTATGGGCTTAATAAACACATAAATATTATTGAATAATAGCATGGCTAAGTAGTTTTGTGAATTTAAAGTGCTGTGTTTACACATGAAAACTAATTACTGATTATATGCAGCCTCGAATGGATTTTTTTTCATGTGCTATTCTTTTCTGTTCTCTATGACTCTAGTTAACACCTTTCCTCACAGCCTGACACATTCATCTTGCTTTTAAATCCAGTCTTTATATTTTTTCCATAATCATCTTGTACCTTATGCAAAACAATATTATAAGACCTATTAAGTTGTGCTATATTTGTTGGATTAAACTTCTCCCTTTCTACTTGACTGTAAATGCCTTCAGGAAAAATAATTTATTTCATTTTATTTTGGCAATACCTGTCACAGTGCTTGGCATATTTGCTGCATAGAAGACTGCTGCTTGAAACACTTGTGGATCTGTTTCACACCCAGAGAAACAATAAGATACAACATAATATGAACATGTAGCTATGCTAAAAGTTCTGGCTTTCAGTGCATGGCCACATTTTTGGCACATGACCTTTGAAAACCCGCTTGAATTGTCTAACCCTCACTTTATCACCTGTAAGATATGATTAAAATGCCTGTTAAATGTCTAATTGTGAAATTTATTTTTAGAATGAAACAAGGTAATGAATGTGAGAGTGTTCATATTCTAGTTTCCATTGCTGAGTAACAAACTACCGTAAAACTTGCTAGCATAAACAACTATTTTATTATGCTATGGATTCTGTGGGTTAGGAGATAGTTATGGAAGGATCTTCTTGAGGGAAGTTCCAAGTTTTTGCTTGGAGATGTCTCATGTGGTTGAAGTCACCTGGCAGCTGGACTGTAATCATTGAAGTGTTCTACCTTGATTGCTGGAACATTCTTTTGGAGTCCTGAAGCTTCATGTAAAAAGTTTGGCTGTAAAAAGTTTGGCTATCCTGAGGCCACCATGCTATGAAGAAACTCAGTCCAAACAGACAGGTGTTGTGTCTGGGCATCTTGGGTGGTCCTTGTTGAGCCACTTCCCCAGGGACAGCTTTTCCCTTTTCCTCCTATTCACATCAGAGATGAATCTGAGGCACCAATCAATATTCAAGCAGCTTATTCTGGTAGCATTCTTAGAAGATGAGCCGCAGGAGCAGGCTAGTGGCCTGGGCCAGATATGGTCAGGAGCCAAATGACCACTTGACCAAGACTATTGTAGTAGTCTGTTCTCGTGCTGCTAATAAAGACATACCCAAGACTGGGTGATTTATACAGGAAAGAGGTTTAATGCACTCACAGTTCCACATGGCTGGGGAGGCCTCACAATCATGGCGGAAGGCAAGGGAGAAGCAAAAGCACATCTTACATGGTGGCAGGCAAGAGAGCTTGTTGCAGGGGATCTCCCATTTATAAAACTATCAGATCTTATGAGACTTACTCACTACCATGAGAAAGGTATGGGGGAAATCACCCCCATGATTCAATTATCTCCACCTGGCCCTGCCCTTGACATGTGGGGATTATTACAATTCAAGGTAAGATTTGGGTGGGGACACAGCCAAACCATATCAAAGGTCACAGTTGAAAGAACATTCTCAGCATTTGATAGATTCTTTCCCCTTTCTAACACATCTATTCAGTTTGGGGGAGTTACCAGGTGTTGCTTTTATAAAGAGAGTTTAAGCCATGTTTGTAAGGGTAAAGCTTCATTTTAAGGTTTATGTTAAGTTGCATCTGTGTTGAGGTGGCCTTGTCTCTAGGGCAACCAGGGTTTTCAGGTCCCGTTTGTTATATAGAGACCCAGTAATCTCTCAGCCAGGACTGGAAGTCCCCAGGTGAGGTTACATCATAATGCTAAGTGACATATAGTGTAGGCCCAGTGAGATGTTTGAGTGGGCATTATGGCTATTATTAATCTTATAGCATACTACAACAGGCCACATGTAGGTGTTCTAGTTTGTGGCCCCAGGCTGATTCCCAGGTAATAGCTGCTTTGGCTTATTCACATATCTGGCAGTTGACTCTAAACCTTAGCTAGAATTTTAGTTGGGGCCATTTACTGGAGCACCTACATGTGGCCACTCTAGGTAGCCTGAGGCTCCTCATAGTGTGGCAGCATCAAAATTTTTGGGCTTTTTATTTGGTGGCTCGAGGCTCCAAGTGCAAACAATCCAAGCAGAAAATTGAAGCTGCATTAGCTTTTATATCCTAATTTGGGAAGCTATGAAACATAAATTCTTCTGAATTATTTTGGCTACAAATAAATCACTACCAGATACAAAGGGAAGATACATAGGCATGTCACTTAATAACAGGGCGATAGAGAACTGGAGATTTTCTTAATCACCACTTAAATATAAACTGTATATGGTTAAACAGTATAAAAAACTATAACTTATTATCCTACAAAAGGTAGTTTTATCTATTTTCATTATGTTGCCCATATTGCCAAAAAACATAACTAAGCATATCTTCAGATCTTACTTGTCACTCATGACAACATAATCTCCAGGGAGATACTATAATTTTATAATTCCTATCTGACCACTTAGTCATCTGTTTCTTTACCAAATGGTTGGATGTTAACTAGTGTAAGCTATTCTGGCAACTCTGTTCTCCACATATTTTATAGTTTGGATACATGTGAGATGTAATTTTGGCAAATGAATGTCGAAGGAAAGAGTACTGAGGGACTTCTGAAAAACAGTGTTTTAGATGTTCAGTCAGAAACATGAGGAGAACTTCTGTTTTCTAACTCTGAAGGGGACTGTGTGAGGTGGTGATGCCTGGAAATGTTGCATTATATTGAATAAGCATGAAATTTACACTAAGAAAATAACACTCAAAAGATGGAAGATATCAAAAGATAGCCCTTGACAGTATCATTATGTCATCAAATTATCCATGCCATAATCTTTTCTTTGTGTTTCTAGTTATGATAATATAAACTATGTATGGATTTAACCTTTTTAGTGGAGTGTTCTGTTATTGTACTTGAAAGCATCCTAACTGATTCAGGAATATTAGAGATGGTTAGCCAAGCCTACAGATATGGTTTGGATCTTATGTGGAATTGTAATCCCCAGTGTTGGAGGTGGGGCTTGGTGGGAGATGATTGTATCATAGGGGGGATTCCTCATGATTTAACACCATCCCCCTTGGTGTTGTTATGATGAAAATGAGTTATCGTGAAATCTTGTTGTTTTAAAAGCATGTAGCATCTGCTTTCTCTTTCTTCCTCTCACTTCAGTCATGTGAAGTGCTCAGTTCCCCTTCACTTTCAGCCATGTTGGTAAGTTTCCCAAGGCCTCCCCAGAAGCTGTTATGCTTGCTGTATAGCCTGCAGAACTGTGAGCCAATTAAACCTCTTTTCTTATAAATTACCCGGTTTCAGGTATTTTTTAATAGCAGTGCAAGAAAACACTAATACACCTACTTGAAGAAAACTTAAAAATATTACTTAATTTTGTTCCAAACCACCACAGTCTTCTCTCTTTCACTCTATTCTATTATATTCTCCTTTTTTTTTACTTTCTGTCTTCTTCTTTTCTTCTTTTTCTGTCTCTTTTTCTCACACACACACCACACATAAATTAATCTTGTGTATGCATGCATGTTCATTCAGTCTACTCAATTCTGCACTCACTTTGACCACAGGAAGATTGAGATTGAGTACTACTGACTCCTAATTAGAGCACAGTTGACTCAATGCATTGATTGTTAAGCTGCTCTGCATATTAGATATGCAAGGATTGTTTTCATATTGCAAGCTCCAGAAATTTCAGATAATAAGGCTATAAAAAGCATTTGGATTTTTATGCAAAAATATTTTGGATATATTAACTTTAGTTTTGGATTTAGTATATGCCATAAAATGAATCTGTACATAGAATTTATTCTGAAAGTAGTAACCATTGACTAGGCACTATTTTAATAGCTATTCATTTCCAATAAAAAGAGAATCCTATGGGCTTAATAAACACAAAAATATTATTGAATCATAGTGTGGCTAATTAGTTTTGTGAATTTAAAGTGCTGTGTTTACATATAAAAACTAATTACTGATTATATGCAGCCTTGAATCAAATTTTTTTTTTCACATGCTATTCTGATGATTGTAAACCTAAATTTACCAGAGGTTGGAGGCATTTTCCTGGCATTCAGCTTTCAAGAATTCAGGTAGTAAATAATTTTATTATTCACCATATAGATATCATTTTCCCCTCAGGTATAATCTCTCACAAATATTATCTCAAATTTTTAAGAAACACCTTATGTTTATCTCTTGCCAGAATTTTATACCATGAAGTCTAATCTAATTTTGATGTATGATACATTAGCTGTAGTGTTTTAATTAACACTAGTAGGATTCTGACAATTACTTCTCAGAGCATTCAGCTAGCTAACTTTAAATTCTACCCATATGTTCTAGATTTATTATGAATTAAACCACAAACAATTTAATAAAAAAAGAAATTATATATTTGTATATTACTTCTAATGAAAATGAAAAAATATGAAACTAACAAAATAAATAAACATGACTGTTTCACCAAAAAATAAATACACACACAATACTATTTGAAAGACTGGCATTTATTTTAAGCAATATACAGCAATCTTTAAAAGGTGGAGTTACCCTGCCTTACATCTTCTTTCCCCTCAAAGAACCACTGCATAATACTATGCCACTATGACTTCAGTTTCTTGTTTATTATTTGTCATAGTTAGAACAAATAACAAGAATGAGTTTTTACTGTCCCTCTCCTTTCTCTAGCTTTGCTTGGAATCTCCCCAGATGCATACTTTATCTAGGATTTTAGTCAACTTTAAAAGTTTAATCATACAATATTTCAAGTGAAGAGAGAGAGAGAGAGACAGAGAGAGAGAAGGCAATTCTTTAATATTAATTCAGTGTTAATGTCACTACCTTGGGATATACATTTACCTTAGCCAAATATCTCAAAAAGTCAAATGTGTCTTTTTTGGTCCTTTAGTAATATTATTTTCCTCATTATGTGACAACCTATCCCTTTTGTATACACCTTTGTTATTAATCATTTAACACTATAATCCCATATTTTCTCTGAGTCTTTACTTTTATACAATTTCACACACAGAAAACAATATGTAAAGGGTCTACTATCATTTCATTATTCTTGTTTGCATGTAATTAATAAAGTAAAATTAATACATACACAGAGTATATTATATAATGTTTCTACTAACAATTTTAATTTCTTATACCTTTGAATGTTTTATACTGTTAATCATCAGCTTTTTGATTTAGTTTAAATGGTTCCTTTAGCAATTTCTCTATTGCAGGCCTGGTAATGGTTAATTTCCTAGCTTCTGTTTGGCTAGGAAAGTTTTTTTTTTCTCCCTCATTTTTGAAAGATAGCATTGCTCAGTAAAGTATTCTTAGTTAACAGTTGGTTTAAGGTGTTTTTTTTTTTGTTTTTTTTTTGCTTTTTTTTCTTCACTTTGAATATATATTTCCAATCTTCTGGTCTGCAAGATTTTTTTCAAAGAAATCCACTGACCTGCATATTGTGGCCCCTTTGTGATGTGTTTGTTATTTTTGCTGCTCTCAGAATTTTTTTTGCCTTTGATTTTTGGTAGTTTGATTATTACATGTGTTAGTCAACTTCTCTTTGAGTTGCATTTGATTGGAGACCTCTGCACTTCCTGTACCTGTATGTTGACATCTTTCTTCACATTAGGGAAGTTTACAGCCATTATTTATTTCAATATTCTAGCCATTTTCTCTTTCTTTTCCTTCTTTAATAGGTTATTCACAGGTTTGATCTCTTGATGGCATAAGTAATAGAGTCATATTCAGAAGGCCCTAGGTCTATAATGGTGGTACAATTTTTTCGTTATAATGAGAGTTAAAAGAATGAACTATTAGTAACAATTATAGTTAAAATAACTTGTCAATGGATGTATATTAAAAAGTAATATAAGTTCTAACATCAAAAACAAAATGTGTGTGGCGGATAAAAGTGTAGAGTGATATGTAATCAAAGCTAAGTTTTTATCAACTTAAAATAGACTGTCATAAGTATAAGAAATTTCATGTAAGTCTTATGGTAACCACAAAGTTCTATAGTAGACACATTCACCAAAAGTAGAAATAGAAAAGATTAAAAGATACCACTTTTAAGAAAAACATCAAAACACAAATAAAGACAGCAAGAGAAGAAGAAATAACTTAAAAATTTGCAAAAGCACCAGAAAACAATTAACAAATTGACAGTAGTAAGTCCTTACCAATCAATAATTATTTTAAATTTAAATTAATGAAGTTTTCCAATAAAAAGTTGTAGAATAACTGAATGGATTTTTTAAAATGCAGGGTCTTACTATGTGCTTCATACAAGAGATTCACCTTCCTTTTAAAGACACACATTGACTGAAAGTGAAGGAATGTAAGATACATTCCAGGTAAATGGAAACCATAAGAGAGCAGGGATAGCTATATCAGAAAACAACAGACTTTAAGTTTTGTAAAACTGTAAAAAATTGTAAAAAGAGACAAAGAAGAATATCTTATAATGGTAAAAGTGTCAATTCATTAAGAGTTATAATAATTGTAAATATATAAGCACCCAACCTCAGAACACCAAAATATATTAAAGGATCCTAAGGGAGACATAGAATGTAATATAATAATAGATGAGTTGACTATCGCACAGTAATGGAAAGATCATCCAGATAGAATGTTAGTAAGAAAATATTGGACCTGAACAACACTTTAGACCAAATGGATGTAACAGAATGGAGAACATTCCATCCAACAACAGAATACAAATTCTTCTTAAGCACATATGGAGCCTTTTCTAGGATAGGTCATATGTTAGGCCACAAAATAAGTCTTAGAAAATTTAAGAAGACCAAATGGTATAAAATACCTCTTCTGACAATAATTGTGTGAAACAGAAATAAGTAACAGGAGGAGTTCCAGAATATTCACAAATACGTGAAAGGTAAACAACAAGCTCTTGAACAACCCATGGATTAATGAATAATTTAAAAGGAAAAAAATTGAGACAAATAAAAATGGGAACAAAACATACCAAAATTTATGGATATAGCAAAAGCAGTTTTAAGAGAAAAGTTTATAGCAATAAATGCCTTCATCCAAAAAGAAGAAAGGTTTAAAATAAACAAATAATTTTGCACCTCAAGAAATAGTAAAAGAAGAACAAACCAATCCCAAGGTCAGCAGAGAAAATAAGAAATAAATATTAGACCAGAAATAAATGAAATATAGACTGGTAAAGCAATATAAAAGATTAAAATAAGTGAGTGTTTTGAAAGACAGACAAAATAGACAAATTTTTAGCTAGATATTTTAAAAAAGAAGACTCAAATATATAACATCAGAGGTAAAAAAGGAGGCATTGCAACTAATATCACAGAAATATAAAGGATTATAAAGAGTGTAATGAATAACTAATGCCAATAAATCTGATAATATACAAAAAATGAATAAATTCCTGGAAACATAAAACCTAGCAATTCTGAATCATAAAGAAATAGAAAATCTCAAGAGGCTAATAATGAATAAGATTACATCAGTAATAAGAAGTCTCCCATCAAAGGAAAATCTGGGACACAATGGCTCCACTGCTGAATTCTATTAAACATTTAAAGAAGAAGTAATAGCAACTCTTTTCAAACTCTCCAGAAAAATTGAAGAGGAGAGAATATTTCCAAACTCATTCTATGAAGCCGGCATTACCCTGACAGCAAAAAGAGAAAAGGACACAACAAAAAATAAAACTATGGGCTAATATTCCCGATGAACATAGTTTCAAAAGTCTTCAACAAAATATTAGCAAATCAAATTCAACAACACATTACAAGGATAATTCACCATAAACAAGTGTGATTTGTCCCTGGGATACAAGGATGTTTCAACATACACAAATCAGCAAGTGTTATATATCACATTAACAGAATGAATGACAAAAACTGTATAGTCATTTCACGAGTTGAAGTAAATGAATTTTACAAAATTCAACATCCTTTTATGATAAAAACTCTCAACAGATTAGGTAGGAAAAGAATGTAGCTCAACATAATAAAGGCCATATAATGTAAATCCACAGCTAGCATTATACTCAATGGTGAAAAATTGAAACTCTTTCCGTTACTATCTGGAACAAGACAAGTATGCACACTCTTACCACTTCTATTCAACATAGTATTAGAAGTTCTTGCCAGATTAATTGGGAAAGAAAAAGTAAAAAAAGACATCCAAATAAAAAAGAAGTGAAATTTTTGGTCATTGCAGATGATATGATCTTATACATAGAAAATCCTGAAGACTCTACCATAAAAGTGTTAGGACTAATGAACATATTCATCAAAATGGTAGAATACAAAATCAACACACAAAAATCAATAGCATTTCTATACATAAATAGCAAACTATCTGAAAAGGAAATCAGGAAAACAATTCAATTTACAATAGTTTCAAAAAATACTTATGGATAAATTTGACCAACTAGGTGAAAGACTTGTACACTAAAAACTTTAAAACCTTATTGAAAGAAATTAAAGAAGACATAAATAGATGGAAAGATATTCTATGTTCATGAATTGGAAGAATTAATATTGTTAAAATGTCAGTAATACCCAAAGCAATCCACAGATTTAATGCAATTCCTATGAAAAATGACATTGGAGTGTTCATAAGAATTGCATTCAATCTGTAGATCCAACACTTCCTTATAGAAACAGAAAAGATTCTAAAAGTTATATAGAACTGTAATAAAACCCAAATAGCTAAGGCAAATCATGAGGAAAATGAACAAAACTTAAAGCATTACACCACATAATTTTAAACTATACTACAAAGTGGTGCTAATTTAAATTGCATGGTATTGTCATAAAAATAGACTCATCAATAAATGTAGTAGAATACAGAGTCCAGAATTCAACCCTAACATGTGTAATCAATTGATTTTCCACAGAGGTGCCAAGTATACATGCTAGGAAAAGGACAGTCACTTTAATAAATTATACCGCATAACTGTATATCCATATGCAAAATAATAAAATTGGACCCCTATCTCAAATCAATTACAAAAATCAACTCAAAATGGATTAAAGATTAACACATATAATCTGAAACTCTAAATATATTAAAAGAAAACATAAAGATAAAACTATGAGACATTGATCTGGGCAAACATTTTTTAGATTTGACCCCAAAAGTTCAGGAAACAAAAGCAAAAATAGACAAATGGGATTACAGTTTTTAAAAAGCTTCTACAAAAACAAATAAAGCAATTAATAAACAGACAAACTACAGATTGGGAGAAAATATTTTCAAGCCATCCTACTGATAAGGGGTTAATATCCAAAGTGTATATATATGTAACTTAAACTACTCTATACAAATGAAACAAATAATTCAGCTAAAACTGGGTAAGGGACATGAATCAATATTTCTTAAAAGAAAACATACAAATGGCCACAGGTATATGAAAAAAAATCCTCAATGCCACAGATCATTAAGAAAATGCCAAGTAAAATCACAATGAGCTATTATATCACACTTGTTTGGCTACTATAAAAAACACAAAAGATAAGTGCTGAAGAGGATGGGGCAAAAAGGGAACGCTTGCACACACTTTCCTGGGAATGTAAATTAGAACAGTCATTACAAAAACTTTAAAGAGGTTTCTCAAAAAACTGAAAATAAAATTACTCTATGATCCAGCAATCCCACTTCTGAGTATCTACCCCAAAGATCTGAAATCAGCATGTTGAAGAGATGTCTGTTTTCCCATGCTTATTGCAGCACTATTCACCATAATCAAGTTATGGAATCAATCTAAGTATCCATCACTAGACGTATAGATAAAGACAATGAGGCATATATACACAATGGGATAGTATTTAGCATTAAAAAAGAAAGAAATGTTGTCATTTGCAACAACATGGATGGAATTGGAGAACATTATTCTAAATGAGATAAGCCAGGCATGCAAAACCACATATTGTATGTTCTCACTTATATGTGAAAACTAAAATGATTAAATTCAAAGAAGCAAAGATGGTGATTACCAGAGGCTGAGGTCATGGGGGGATGGGTAGATGATGGTCAATAGATAAAGAGTCTCAGACAGGAGGAATAAGTATTTTTTCTTTGGAAGATATTGCATAGCATGGTGAACCTAGTAAATGATATTTTATTGGACATCTCAAAATCACTAAGGGAGTAAATTTCAAATGTTCTCACCACCAAAAAGGATAATTTTTAGGTGATGGATACATTAATTGGTTTGATTTCATTACTGGACATTGTGTTTTTAAATTACAACATCACATTATACCACATAAATATATTCAACTATAATTCTTCAATTTAGAATTTAAAAATCAGAAAATTATATTTTACTAAGATATATCGATGTTTCTTCAACAACCGTTCTCACTTTCGTGAAGTCAATATTTAGACAGTGATTTGGCTTTTCAAATGCTGGAAATTTCTCAGTAAAATTTATAAGATCAATGTGATAAATGAATGATTTTCTATATTTATAAGCCTTTTGCCTCATTGAGAATATGTCTCATGATATTATAATTTGATAGATAAAACATATTAGAAATATATTAGCATGGTTTCCAGTGTAAAACACTTCACTGTAATCAATCCTGTGTTTAGTAGATCCTTAAAAATTTTAACTAATCAGTTCTACTTGCCTGATAAGCATATCTCTTTCTTTAAAGTTAAACTTTTGGGAGAAACTAAGATAATATGTTTTTTCTGATTTTTCAGACAATATATTTTCAGATAATATAATTTTCTGATTTTTAAATTCTAAATTGAAGAATTATAGTTGAATATATTTTTGTGGTACAATGTGATATTGTAATTTAAAAACACAATGTCCAGTAATGAAATCAAACCAATTAATGTATCCATCACCTAAAAATTATCCTTTTTGGTGGTGAGAACATTTGAAATTTACTCTCTTAGTAATAGGTACAAATATTTTTATGAGTAATAATTATAATTGGTACTGAAAACATTTTATTGAAATGTTTTGATTGCCTCTGAAATAAGTGCTTCTTTCATATAACAAAGTAAGAAAGGATCTGATATCTTGAGAAAATGCAAACTTTAAAAATGTGATAGATTTGGCTAGATAAAATACCTTGTGATACAAAAAACAACATTTAGTCTGCAAACTAGGAGAACCTATTTGCAATAAATATAATAGAAGTGTCATTTATTTCCAGAATAAGTATAAGTAAAGATGTTTACATATTCATTTGAAAGTGTATATATATAGGAGATATATATATATCCTAAAAGAAAGACAGCTTACAGAAAAATAAACTCAAATTCTCTAACAGAATTTTATAATGAACTTTTTTCTCTTTTTATGTAGTTTGCCCAAGGTTCTCAAGCTATATGTGCAAATTTGACACTCTAAAGCAGATTTTAAAAATAGGGGGAAGGAAAGTCTGTATTTGAGACAGTCTATTATTTACAACAAAGTCATAAAAATCTTCATATGGAAAATAAAAGGGTAGTGAAAATTAGTAAAAGTATTGATTTGCTGAACATGCTGCTTGCTATGGAATACAAACTTTCAGAGCAACTTCATAGTTCAAGAGTACCAAAGCTAAATGGAGCCAGACAAATACTAGCTAGAGAACAACCGTAGCTAGCTAGCTGCTCTGATTGCAGATGCAGAAAAGGAGACTGCTTTGGGGCAAACCTGCAGTCCAAATTTTGTCAGTGGTTACAAATGGTCATTGAGAGGAGCACTGGACACCCATCAAGAGCTGGTGCTAAAAGTGCCACACAAATGAAGAGCTGAAACTGAGGTCATAGGCTGCTGATCAAAGGAAATATTATCAATATTAACTGAAGATGAGAGATCCTCAGCAACAGCAGCAGACCTTCCAGAAAATTAGGAGGTCCCCATGAGAGTCTGATCTAGACAACTGCCAAATCCATGAAGTTTTATTCAAATCAACTATTCCTGTTTCTTATTTTCTTTCCACCACTATGAACCTTAATTACTGAAATAAGAGGAGTGTGTGTGTGTGTGTGTGTGTGTGTGTGTGTGTGTGTGTGTGTTTATGTGTTTATGTTTTGAGATGGTGTGATGGTATCTCACTCTGTTGCCCAGGCTGGAGTGCAGTGGCTAATGTTTGCATTTTTTAGTAGAGATGGAGTTTAGCCATGTTGGCTAGGCTGGTCTCAAACTCCTGAACTCGGGTGATCCGCTCACCTCGGCCTACCAAAGTGCTGGAATTATAGGTGTGAGCCATAATGCCCAGCCGAAATAAGAGTTTTTTGAAACTAGAAGAGACAAAGGTACAATTATTATATAAAAGTTAAGGGACTTGCCCTAGGTCAAGGCATTGTTTTATGTTTATCCAGGGATAGGGAAAAAGGAACCATACTTGGATGTTTTACAAGCATTTGGGAGTAAAGAACAAAATCGCTTCATCAATGCACCATACAGAATTCTGATTTTTCATTAAAAATATTGCAAACATATAAAATATCTATTAACATACTATTAATATATATTCAAATAAATATATATTAAACTAAAAATAAGATTTTAATTCATAAATGTCAAATTTGTACTAAACTATAGTCTTGCAATATCAAGTGTTGGCAAGAATTTGGACAAGTGAGACCTCTCAAATACTACCCTTGCTATAGTATAAGTTGTTAGTAGCTAGTAAAATTCATATCCATGCATAAATACCAGACTAAGCAATTCTGCATATGCATGTATGCTAGAGGATATTCCACATGTGTAAAAGGAGACATTTTACAAAAATGTTTACTACAATCCTCTTTAGGAGCAAATACAATGGTCTAGTGGAATGGTAAATTACAAAACAGAGGATAGGAAACTACATCATAGTTTAAAGTAATTATTTAGGTATATGTATATCTCTTTAAAGAGAATATAGAAACATAATGTTTAAACAGAATATAGTTTCAGAAAATTCTTTAAACAGAATATAGAAATATAATTTACCAAGACATATGAAAAATTAAACATTTTAAAAGACACAAGTAATGTTTATTATACTAGTGAATTTATTTATGTTAATGCAAGTATAAATATAAACATAAAGGAATTTAAAGACATATGATAAACTCATAATAGTGTCCTCCTGGCATGGTGTGCTGGTCAAAATGTCTTTGACTATATTTTTTCTGGCTCACTGGATTAGATGTATGTTTTATAAAGTATTTTTATGTCTGCCCACCAAATGTGTATAGGCTTATCAATCACATCTATTTCTTATTATATTCTTAACATCAAATCAAAATATAGATGCACTCAGTTATTCTGAAGCACAAGGATTTTTAATATTTTAAATAACAATGAACATCTAAGGTTCCATAAGCAATACATAAAATATTACTCAATGATTTTAAACTCATTTTCCTATTAATTTTTACTTTTTGGTGAATAGATGTAGTATTTTTTATCATATATTAATACAATACACTAAATATATTTAAGATATGTTTCATGTATGTGTGTGTTAGAGGTATACATTTTTCAAAGTACATCACTACATCTTCAGCCCTCATCAAATTTAGAGGCATTATTCCTCTCATTAATCCTACTAACCAGTATGATACCTAAGAAAATTTAACAATATGACACTGATCTTTACATTATTTAGGACTGCAAAGATTTCTTTGTTTTTTTCAGTCAAGTAATCAAAATATATTCCTTCTAAATTAATAATACTCTTAAAACCATAGTTTCTATGTTAACTTTCTATTGTTCTAGACAGTTTAACCACAAAAGAGAATGTTTTCTTATTCTAATTCCACTGGTATAGAAAATGAACAGAGTCATTCAGAACCATACAATGTATCAAAGAGAACATCAGCAGTGTATTGATTTAATGGAATTCAGTGCTTATTTGTTATTCACTCAACGTAGGAAGAACAAGTTACTAATAGGACTGTTTTTTTTTATTTCTGTACATTTTTATTTGTTTTACAAAATGATTTGCGAGTTGAAAGTAAAGTAACAAGAAAAGTGAAATCTAAGTCTAACAAAAATTAAAATGTAACATAAATAAACTTTATTTTTCTATTATTCTTTCACTGGTTTATTTGTTTTCAGTATAATGCTCCCGTGCTTAATTACTTCAAAGTGTCTCAAATTATCACTCTTATTAGTAGTCCTTTGTCTTGTCTATGCAATTTTTACTTCCATAGCCAAATACCAGGTTAACACTTGGAATTCAGACAGTAAGCATACTTTATACAATCAGTCAGTAAAAATACAGTTAGATTCTGCTTGATAGAAGCAACCTTACTTATAACTACACTACATGAATATGTCAGTTTGTGTCCCAAACAAAATTATTACCAGGCTTGCTGGTAACTAAATTTAGCTATAAAAAATGTTAACCATGGTTTATTCTTTCTCATATAATTTCTCTGGTTCCTCAACTGACTGTAGTAAAGATATACAGACAACTAGCTATCTAGGAAATTTTTAACCTTATGATACATTTTTGGGCAGCATCATGGTAGGCTATAATATAAAGCACCAAATCCAGCTTAAAGAAGTAATCATTCATAAAAATTCAGCTAAGTGAAGCCACTCCCTATATAAGACCATATGTCTAACAAATTCTAATTTATCCAATTCTCAATTACATCTTTTTATCAGGAACAGGAACAGAGTTATTTTTAATGAGAAGGTAAAAGAAAAAAAAAAGAAAGACTTTGATTTTTCTCTTTTTTTGATTCGTCTACTGCTTTCTTTTATTCTTCTAGTGGCCACTTGGTATTCATGCATTATTCTTGCAAATTTATAGATGGACTGAAGTGCTCTCCAATTTTTGGCACAAATAAAGTTGATTATATTCATAGGTATTCTTCACAACACCCAGAATCCAAGCATCATACATAAGTTGAATACTGAATTATACAAATCATTTTTGCAAAGACAAATAGAGTTGTCCACTGAATTGCTTCAGTGGTTCCCTGGCTGCCCAGCAGTGAACTAACAGGAATCAAATATTTCTCTCCACAATAGATGAAGGGTTTCTGTGTCCTAGCTTTCCACAGTTACCTATATAGTTTCAGTTGACATACCAAAAATGGGAATGTGTCTTTACTAAGCAACATTACTACTTGGATTTCTGCTCCAGTTTGCAAGACTGTTTTATTAACACATAAAAAACCCACATATAAAAAGAATGGCAGAGAGTGAGGTCACTCTTTTGCAGTGTAATCCATGATATATCAATTACATTCTCAGCCAGGTAAACATATCTATATGATGCTGAAGGAATTGGCAACTCCATGCTTCTTCTAGCTGCAGGACTTTTTCATATTTCTAGCCTGTGCTCTGAAACTCTTCCATGCTGTTTGCTAAATCAACCATAATCAACAAAAGCCCCAAATAATTGTCTGCCTACCATTTTCTGATTAAACTATGAAGCAGGTTGGGTCAAGGTGAATCTTCCCAGTTTTAACTTGCTAATCATACCTTTATACCAAGAGAGGCCTGAAAAAAATATTTGAAGACAGAAGGGACTATTTAATTGTTTTGGATGAAAATTTAAAAATACATGGAGCTAGAATTATAAATATATCCAGGTGGAAGAAGGTAAAACACATAAAATTCAAATAATGTTTTAAATTTCCACATGAACTCTTCTCATTTTTAGCTGTGTACACAGATTTGCTCTCACCAAAGATATTTAGGACCTCCATTTTAATCCTCCCCCCAACGGAATGTTGTGCACAGATTTTGGAATCTAAAAAACTTGGATTTATATTTCTGTTATCTTACTAATAATTTAACCTTTATAAAATCACTTAAGTTTTCTGAGTCATTGAACACATATCATCAAAGTAAGGATGACAAAGACAACCTAACAAATCTATTTTAAGGGTAAAATGAGAAAGTATATATGATATTTCTGTACACAGCCACTTCATAAGGATTGGTAATCTTTCTTCTGTACACTGAAATTAATTAGTGCTGGTTAAAATTTTGCCATTTCATCTCCTATGGTTCCTAAACAAATGCAAATCAAGCAGCATTCTTGTGCCTGGTTTATATTTTACATACTCATGTGATTTACCATCTCTGCCAAGGGCACTTTCTTTGTGACAATCTGAATTATTGACCACACAGGAAAAGACTCTGAGTAGTACTGGGGGCCAAATTCTGCCATCTGATATGCATTGAAGCTTAACTCTGAAAAGCAGAATAAGTTAAACTTTTCATAGACTGGCAGCAGCATTTGTAGATGATTTATAGTCTGCCAATACCTTATCATCCATAAAAGTGTTTCTTTACAGCTATATATCCCTGGAATTTTTTATAGCATTTATCTCATGGGAATTTTTTTCTTATATTTTGTTTTAAAGTCTATTTAATGACTTTGTATTTATGTTTATGGTTAAAGGATAGAGTGCTTGAAAAATAAAACAGTTTTTTTAAAACTTGGGTATGAATTTAGAAAACAATTTTGTATGTGGAGTTAAATGTATACCTTATTTTCTCACCCTTGATTACCCTCTTTATCTGAAATAATACAATTTATTCTCTCACTTTCTGACCACCATATCATTTCATTCCAGCTCTCTCACTGAGCTTTGCTCCACAAATGGATGGTTTAGCCTTAAAGACCAAAATACCTTAGGATTTTCTCTCCATCAATCAGCCTGAGGGAGGCTAATTTTCCTCTTTCTGCAGACTATATTCCATGATCCCGTATTCTCTAATCACTGAACAGAAACTTGAGGTTTGATTGAATTTCCTAGTCACTTTTCATGAACCCTCCATTTAGGCAGATCAGAGAAATTCTACAAACATGGCAACCAACCTCTCTGGGCTTCCATGGTAACTGCCAAGGTCCATTGGCATTTTGCACTCTCATTTTCCTAAACATTATTTTAAATTCACATCTTGGAATATTTCAAACATGTATAAAGTAACCCAAATACCATATTGAACTCCAGTGTATCTATCATCCCCCCTTAACAAATATTGAACATCTGCCGTTTGTTTTATTTAAACTCTGCACATGCAGTAGTTCCCGATTCTCATTTCTTTAAGTGAAGTTACTATAAATTGAAAGGCACAGATCTTAACAGTTCCATTTTGATGAATAAATACTCATGCAATGCACATCCATCTCAATACATAGTATGGTTACTTTATACCAGAAAGTTTCCCCATGTCCCTTCTCATTTAATTCCTTTTGTACAGAGTTAACCAGTGTTCTGATGTTTTTTCAACACAGATTAGTTTTGTACAGATTATATTAGGTTAATCGCATTAACTTGCTGTTAAAATCTACCTTCTCCAAGTCAGCATGCATCTATGAGATACATCATTGTTGTTGCATGTGTGTTTATTTCCAAAATAGTATGTACATATGTGAATATTATTTTGAGTGTTTCTTTGAGGGTGTTTTCTGATGAGACTGATGTGTAAAGTAGACTGAGTAAAGCAGATTAATTTAACCAACCCAATTAATTTATTAATTAAATCAATTAATCAGTCTATTGCTCAAACCATCAATAATTCAATATTAATTTAATCAATTTATTAATTTAATTGATTAATCTAATTCAATATACTTAATTTGATTTAAATAATTAAGCAGACTGAGTAAAGTAGATGGCCCTTCCTAATATGGTTGGACCTCGTCCAATCAGTTGAAGGCCTGAACAGATAAAAAGGGTGATCCTTTCCAAAGTAAAAGTGAATTCTGGCTGTGGGCCTTCGGACTCCAACTAGGACATAAGCTCTGCACATTTTGAACTTGTCATTTTTAAATGCCAATAATCAGGTAAGCTAATTCCTTGTAATAAATCTCTCTTTCCCCCACATATATATGTGTGCCTCTGTGTATTTGATATGTAGATATCCTATTGATTTTGTTTCCTGGAAACCTCTGACTAATCCAATGTCTTTTGGTGAGTAGAAGTGCTTAAATTGGTTCAAGTCTAAACTTTTATCTCTGGTTTTTCCTCTGTCCAGTTTGAGAAATCTTTCTTTGCATACACCTAAGTCTGAAAGTATTTTTATGTTTACCTCTTAATACTGTGGTTGTAATTAATATTTAGATGCATGATCTAAAGTTAACATTTCTGTTTGGTATGAAGTACGTATCAAAGTTTATCTTTTCACTATGGGGATACTAGCTATTCCAAAATCATTTGCTGAAAGCACTTGGCTTTCCTCATTAGGTTGCTCTACAGCATTTTTCAGATTTCAAATGACTGCATAAAGGTGATGCTATTTCTTAGCTATCTTTTCTGTTACATTGATATTCTTTATTCTTATGACAATATTACAATATCTTTATTATTGTTTATTTGTAGTGATTCTTAAACTCAAGTAATGTAAGGCTCCCATGTTGGTCTTCTTTTTCAAAATTACTTTGGCACTCTTTGGTCTCTTGCATTATTATACATATTCATAAGTCACTTTAAATTTGTCGATTTCTATTAAAAGATAAGCCTTCTGTGACTATAATTTGCATGGTGTTAAATTCATAAAACAACTAGGAAACAATTTACATTGAAATACCAAGTCTCCCAATTCATAAACATGATAAAGGTCTTCATTATAAATCATTGTTTTCTGAGCAAGTTTTTATAGTTTTCTGTGTAGAGGTTTTACATGAGTTTTATGAAATGTATTTCTAAGTGTTTGTTTTTTAAAATGCCATAGAGTTTTTATTAAATTTTATTTACATTTGTTTAAATTTTAAAATTATTTTAAAATTACTGCTACAATTAAAAATGAGTAGTTTATGTTTTCTGACTTGATGTCTTAGAGTTTGATTTTAAGATCTCAGTATTTTTTATTAAACAAGTATGCCTTTTGTAAATGAGGACACTTATTTCTTCCTTTCTCACCTTTATGCTCTTTGCTTATTTTTCTTGCCTGATTGCAATGGCTAGGATTTCTCATATAGTATTAAATAAAGGTGGTAAGAGTAGGCTTCCTTGCCTCATTCCTAACTTTAGGTACAAAGAATTCAATTTTATACCATTTGGGGTAACAACAATAACCAAAAATAGAACATCTGATATTCCAAAACTCTCTCTGATCATTGCCAGCAAGTAATTATACTTCACTGAGAAAATAGAAGCCAATAATAACGAGCTCTGTGCTCTCTGTTCTTACAACTACAAACACATGTTTTTTACTCTCTCACCTCAGCCCTTTCCCATTACAAAGAGAGAAGTTTCTCTCATACAGTCCAATTATTATGCTATAAAATACATACCTTTCAGTTTCTTAAGACTGCTTCTCCTAATTATTCATTTTATTTTTAGTATCTTCCTCTCTGTTGGTGATGTCAACATTTACAGGTCTTCAATTATTCTCCACTCCCTACCTCCACATATTTCACACATAAGAATAAGGAAGTTATTTAAATCTTGCTTCCCCTCCAGATATGTTCTATATTATTTTCACCAATAGCATTGAAGTTTTTAAACATAACATCCGTACTTGTGATATCACTCCCTGACCTCCCACTTAACCTTCTAAACCTGTACAGTCAGCCTTCCATATCTGAAGATTTCACATCTGTATATTCAACTGACTGAAAACATAGTTAGGCCTACAACAGTTGCATCTATATTGAACACGTATAGACTTTTTCCTTCTCATTCCCTAAACAATACAGTATGACAACTATTTACATAGCATTTACATTATAGTATTTACATAGCATTACATTACATTATTAGATATCATAGTAATATAGAGATGATCTAAAGTATGAGAGGGAATATGCATAGGTTGTATGCAAATATATCATTTTATATAAGAGTCTTGAGCACTTGTGGACTTCAATATCCACAGGGATTCTGTAATCAACCCCTTACAAACACTGACGAATGGCTATATTTGTAATCATGTGTTAAACATCTACAATTCATTCCAAGTTACCTCAGATGAAATATCATTTAAACTGAATTAATCATCTTTATCATAGTAGCTCCTCCAGAAACTCCTTAAGTTAAATACTCAAAATGGAAACCTAGGAATTATTCTGGCATCTTCTTTCTTTTTCACTTCTTCCCTATGTTCAAGTAATTACTAAACCATCATTATCGTACCTCATAGGTGTCTTTCAATTCCTTTCCAATGTTTCACTCAGTACTAATTAATGTTCTCCAGTCCACATTACCAAAAAAATTAAAAAGCCCTTTAGCTAATCTTCTGTCTTTCAGGAGAGACCAAGGACAATCCTTCTTCCAAGGAATGTGTAAGAAGGGGACAGGTGCCTATCCCAAATCCACCCCTCCTTCCCCTTTTATTTCAAAAGCTCGCTTTTTCTCAGGGTGGTAATTTGTTTGCTCACCCACAGAGCTTGGGACATCATAGAACAAATTTCTGGCCAATATGAGTAAGAAACATTGTATGAGACTTCTAGGAAGTCTCTTACTGATAAGTGGTGATAAGTGGTTCAGTCCTTTTCTTCTCTCGTGATTCCTTTTTTTTTTTTTTTTTTTGAGACAGAGTCTCGCTCTGTCACCCAGGCTAGAGTGCAGTTGTGCGATCTCGGCTCACTGCAGCCTCCACCTCCCAGGTTCAAGCGATTCTCCTGCCTCAGCCTCCCGAGTAGCTGGGACTACAGGTGTGTGCCACCACGCCCAGCTAATTTTTGTATTTTTAGTAGAGACAGGGTTTCACCATATTGGCCAGGCTGGTCTCGAACTCCTGACCTAGTTATCTGCCTGCCTTGGCCTCCCAAAGTGGTGGGATTACAGGCATGAGCCACCGTGCCTGGCCTTCCCTGATTCTTTAAAGGATGATATTGTGGCTAGAATTACAACACCGTCTTGAATCAGTACATCAAGAACCATGTTTGTAGCATGCCAGACTGAAGAGATGTAGAGGACTAGAACTCACCCTCTTAATAAAATTCCCATAAAAACTTGGCAATAAAAACGTTCAAATAATATAAAGATATTTTAAAATACATATTTTAATGTAAATATATAATATATATTTATATAATTATACATTATATTATTTATATATAGTATTTAAAATGAAAATATATATTTGTATATGATATACATCATATATCTGATATATAGTAAATAACAGATATTTAATATATTTGCTTTTTGTTCAATAAAAGACCTTCAGAGGTTTAGGCCAGTATGGTCTAGTTTCTTAGACATAGCTATACTAAATAGCAATTATTACATTCATTCAATTTCATTTAACATGTTATAAGCCAGAATAATTTGATCATGTCATTCTTCTTATTAGAACTTCTAAAAGGCATCTAATTAGTATAAGATTAGAGCCAAATAGTTTATTTTATTTTTATTTATTTTTTTTAAGATGGAGTCTCGCTCTGTTGCCCAGACCGGCGAGCAGTGGCGCCATCTCACCTCACTGCAAACTCCACCTCTCGGGTTCAAGTGATTCTCCTGCCTCAGCCTCCAGAGTAGCTGGAATTACAGGCACAGGCCACCACACCCTAGAGCCAAACCTTTTAATGTGGCAAACTGGACACTTTTTAATCTGGACTCTGCTTTGTTCTCTGGCCTCCTTTTTTGAGACAACTCTCCATTTATTTTCTTATATTAAACAATGCTTGACAATTTAAAGATCTTCTAGTGTTTGGTTTCTTAACATTCAGGCCTTCACATAATACATTCTCTGCCCTTCTTCACTTCTTTCGCCAAGATTATTTTTAACCTCCTAATTATCCCTCAGGGTTTATTTTTAGTATTACATCATGTGTAACAAATCAATACTTCTCTGAGCTCTCGGGGGTCTAGGGAGTGTTCCACTTCTGTACTACCAAGTGAGAAGTTTTTACTCCATCGTAGTTATTATAACCCCGAATTGAAATTTCCTGCACCTCTCTTTCTTCTTTTTGATAGCTACCCTTGGAATATATATTTTATTTTATTTTATTCACTTTATAATTTCCATTTTTATTGTACATTCAGGGGGTACATATGCAGGTTTGCTACATTCACATAAACAGCACTTTGAAAGCTGATCAAAGGAAGGTGTTTGTTGAATTTGAGGTAGAAATAAAGATATAGCAAAGCTTCCACTTTTTTTCATTGGAAATTAAAACATCACCAGAACTTTCAATTTTAATAGAAATTTAAAAACAAAGGGTAACAATTAAAATGACTATAGAGAAGTAACAGAGCATTCTATCTTTTCAAACTTTTAAAGAGCTTTTTGTTGTCCTTCAGGAGGATATTTTTGCTGCATATTCATGCACCTTAACATCTGTGCCATTTTATTTTGAATATTTGACAGAGAAATTATTCAACAGGTACCCCAGCTGTCAAAGCATGCCATTTGTGATGCTTCAACAAGCAGCACAAACTCTTCAAACTCTGTTGCACCTGAGCAAGGGAAAACCTCCACTGGGAACTACTGCCTTACATGTTTCAAAGCATACATAAGACACTTAGACTTTTCAGCATCAGGTCTCCTGTATTTCTGCAAAATTGGTCTCTGCTGATCACCTCCCTCTTGACAACAATATGATTGATACTGTTTACTGGCTTCTCAAAAGGTCTTTAAACACTGTCTCGTCTTTGACGTCTCACTTATCCTCGGTGACTTACTTGTCAGTTATTTATCCCATGTGTTAATTATGTCTTCATTTAATGGTGACCTTTTGAGGAGTTTCCTGTGCTTGATGTATATATTTTTAATATCATAGAAAGACTAGTAGAGATAGGAAAAAGTGAAAGGAAAAAAGATATAAGAACAATTTTAAGTTACTTCTGGAAGTACACCTCACGCACCTTTGCTATATAAGAAAATTTATTCATATAAGTTCCCCCTCATTTTATAGAAAACATTATTTCAAATAATGTTGTAGCATTTAAGATATAATACAAGGGAATGTCACTCATTTTCTAATTCTCTGAACCTATTATTTGTCCTCTATAACTTGCCACCATTTGTGGCTCCTTATTCTTTCTCAAACCATAAAACTTGAAACATTCATCAAGATCAGCTTGCCATGTTTATACACTCATCAAATCCTATTCAATCAATTAAATGTACTCATTCAGACAATACTTATTAAGTCCTTACCACATGGCATCAACTTTGATATATGGCGAGATGGAAGGATAATTTAAATCTGCATAATTCCTGACAACATAGATCTTATGGACTAGTTTGAGGGACCAACATTAATCAAATAATCTAACAGAAAAAGTTCAGTAATACAACAGGTATATGAAGGAGAATTTTTAGTGCACCTAGTGCATATAATGAAACTCTGCTTATGAAGTGGTACCTTATACTTAAATTTAAAGAAAATTAGCTTTATTGAATTATTCCACAATGTGTACCTAGAATAAAACATCACATGACTGGGCACAGTGGCTCATGCTTGTAATCCCAGCACTTTGGGATGCCCAGGTGGGAGAATCACTTGAGATCAGGAGTTCAAGACCAGCTTAGGCAACATGATGAAACCCCGTCTCTATTAAAAATGCAAACATTAGCCAGGCATGATGGTGCATACCTGTAATCCCAACTACTTGGGAGGCTGAGGCAGGAGAATCACTTGAACCTGGGAGGCGGAGGCACCACTGCATTCCAGCCTGGACAACAAAGCGAGACTCTGTCTCAGAAAAAAAAAAATCACGTTGAACTCCATAAATACATATAATTATTGTTTTTCAGTCAAACATTTTAAAAAGAATAGGCCTTAAGCAGATAAAGAGAGGTTTGAAATGTTTCATGTAACATGTGTCATGTTATTCCTGATGGAAAGGCTCTGTGGCCAGGGGTGGGTGTTAGGTTTGAGATAATGATAGATGGCAGTGTGGAGAATGAGACTGGAAACTATTTCAAAACTAGTCTGGATAATTTTAGGGGGGACTTTTCTATGTCAAACCTTATAAGACAAAATAAAGAGACTGGTTATTAGTATATAAGCTATTTGAAACCAATAATCTACTTTAAGCAGAAGATGGGAAATGAGAAATTGACATGATCAGTCAATCTCTGATTGAAGATCACTCAGCTGCATGGAAAAAAAAAAAGACTGGAAGGAAGCAGTGGAAATGGGGAGATGACTTCAGATACTACTGAGAAAGCACAATCTCTAACAAACACAGGACGATGGTGTGAAGATCTTTATTGTTATCTAAATTGTACAACTAAGGAAAAGATTAGAAAGAAATGGGTTTAATGGGATGAAAAATCTTAAAATTTCTGGATGCATTGATTTGAAGATGCCTCAGAGAACGTCAGTGGGTGAAGTCAAATAGTTAGATAGATAAATAAACCGGTGCTTAGGAATTCTAGGCTGAGGATATATTTTGAGTTAACTGCATATGAGGGATAATTAAACCCATGATGCAGATAAAATTTAATTAATGTGAAAGGAGGAAAAGACCTAAGGTTGAAATGTGATGACTTTTAGTACATAAAGTCTGACGAGAAAACATTGAAATTAGAAAGCAAAGCAAACAGAGAAAAATAAAATCAGAAAATAATGCCATGAAAGGCAAAGAAAAAGAGTATTTGAAAAGAAACTGGCCAAGAAAAAGAAGGCATGTGTCTAAGCAAGTACTTGTATAAAAATATTCATATCAGTATTTTACCCAAAAAAACTAGAAACCACCCAAATATCTACAGAACAGTTAAGCACATTATAAAATACCACTCAGCAAAAAAGTGACACATTAATGACATATGAAACAACATAGGTAAAAATCAAAAGCATAGTACTAAATGAAAGAAGGCAGAGACAAAACAATGAATTATTCCATCTATGAGATATTCTAGAGAAAGATAAAATAATAATGAAATAAAGCACATTAATGCTTCTCTGGGGCTCAAGGCCAGGGAGGGTAGAGGAGTGAAGAAGATTTACTGCAAAGGTTGACAAGTGAACTTTTTGGAGTTACGGAAATATTCTGTGTCTTCATTATCATAGAGTGGAATTGGTCAATTTTTTTAGGTGAATTATGATTCAATAAAACCAAGAGATCGAGAGAGCCATGGGTCAACAAAATCAAAAGCTTTTGAAAGGTCTGGTTTAGACTAAAAAATTTAGACTAAAAATATTTATTGACTTAAACACTGTGGACATAAGTTTTTATTAAAATAATTGCAGTGGAAGTTAAGACAACAGTGATTCTTTGTAATGATAAATAATTTCTGATGACTGAAGCAACAAAAACAATAACTTTTCTAAAATTTAAGACAATCAATTAATGAACTTTATTTTTAGTCAATTCCCAACAAATACATGTACTGCTTTTTTGTAAGTAAGATAAAATCCATTGAAAAGAATTAAACATTTAATTTGTATTTACAAGAACACAATAGTATGGGTTAAAATTTTAGGTTTCAAAGGATAGTTAAGTATCATTATTATACTTATAATTTTGTTATGTCAAATGTAATTTGAAGTAGCAAGGCTATTTTCTGATTTTAAAATTGTTTGTTTATTTTTATAAAGTTAAAGTAGTATGTTACCTATGAGAGAAAGTAAAACTGTTAAGGTCATTAAAAAATTGTGATTGTGTTATACGTATACCCATATTTAATAAGATAAACCATTAATGTCAGTTTATAAATGTAGTTATTTTTCAAGGCATAAATTTTATACCACCACCCCCAATCATGAATTTCCAAAGAAAAAAACACAGTTTATATTTAAGGATTGCACCATAAAAAATATCTTTATAAATATATAATTTGTTGCGGGAAGTCAGGGACCCCGACTGGGGTCTCTGGAGCTGAGGCAGAAGAACATAAATTGTGAAGGTTGCATGGACATTTATCAGTTCCCAAAATTAATACTTTTATAATTTCTTATGCCTCTCTTTACTGCAATCTCTGAACATAAATTGTGAAGATTTCATGCACATTTATCACTTCCCCAATCAATACTCTTATAATTTCTTATGCCTGTCTTTAATCTCTTAATCCTGTTATCTTCATAAGCTGAGAATGTATGTCACCTCAGGATCACTATTGTACAAATTGATCGTAAAATATGTGTGTTTGAACAATATGAAATTAATGCACCCTGAAAAAGAACAGCATAACAGTGATTTTCAGGGAACAAGGGAAGATAACCATAAGGTCTGACTGCCTGTGGGGTCAGGCAGAATACAGCCATATTTTTCTTCTTGCAGAGAGCCCATAGACAGATGTGTGAGTAGGAGAAATATCACTGAATTCTTTTCCCAGCAAGGAATATTAATAATTGAGACCCTGGGGAAGGAATGCATTCCTGGGGGTAGGTCTATAGATGGCTGCTCTGGGAGTGTCTGTCTTATGTGGTGGAGATAAGGACTGAAATATGCCCTGGTCTCCTGCAGTACCCTCAGGCTTACTAGGGTTGGGAAATTCCAGCCTGGTAAATTCTAGTCAGACCAGTTGTCTGCTCTCGAACCCTGTTTCCTGTTAAAATGTTTATCAAGACAATGCGTGCACAGCGAGACATAGGCCCTCATCAGTAATTCTAATTTTGCCTTGTCTTGTGATCTTTATTGCCCTTTGAAGCATGTGATCCTTGTGACCTACTCCCTGTTCGTACACCCCCTCTTCTTTTAAAATCCCTAATAAAAACTTGCTGGTTTTGCGGCTTGAAGTCACCATCACGGTCCTACCAATATGTGATGACACCCCCGGAGGCCCAGCTGTAAAATTTCTCTCTTTGTACGCTTTCTTTTTATTTCTCAGACCAGCCAACACTTAGGGAAAATAGAAAGAAACTACATTGAAATATTGGAAGCTGGTTCCCCCAATAATAATTGATCAACTATTTCATTATATTAGACTAACCAGGCTACAATGTTTTGCTTTCTTTCATTGGCAAATCTTCCTTCCAGTAAATGATACAATAAATATGAGGGAATTTACTCCTGATGGGATGGCCGTAATGGAGAGGAACCAGTGAAATTCTATCTTTGTTCTAATGGGCAGGGGTGGGGAAGGGTGCCTAATATGAAGAAGTGGGGCAGTCAATGTGCACACTTGAGCTTCTTCCAAGACAGCTGTGATTCAGGGCTTTATCCCTTAATATTCCCCCCAAAAAATTGGTGTTGGACAACAGCCAGGCCCTGGTCCTAGAGGCATTCGCCTCCTCCTCCTCCTCCTCCTCCTTCTTCCTCTTCTTCCCCTTCCCCTCCTCCTCCTCCTCCTTCTTCTTCTTCTTCCCCTTCCTATTTTTTTTAGCATGGTTTTTATTTTGCTTTGTTTTGACCTGCTTCCATCACAGAAGTTTTCAATTATGTCCACACTAAGAATGGGCATGGAAATGGCTACAATCCACTACTTTAAGATTAGAGGAGAGAGATAAGAGCTTTGGCAATTGGCTCACTTTACCATTGCTATCGTGTGTGTTGTGTGTGTGTGTTTCTGTAGCCTGACATTAGTAAGAATTTGCAGATCGCCTATGGCAACTTAGGATAGTCTTACTGTAAGTTAAGTAAACTCATAGCTAACAAATAGCAATGATAAATCATCTCACACTGTGTTACTAGACATAACATCTGAAGAACAAGAATAATCCTACCAATATTACAGATATAATTTATGTAAATATTTTTTAGATATCTTCAGTATTTTAATTTAACTGAAAATAAAGATCAAACACCTAAAATAGTTTTGTGCGCAAATACACTTCAAATGTATAAGTGGCTTTAAGGTGTAAATGTTTGTTTGCACATTTAAGCACCTATATCAAAGTATTTCAGATGATTTTTGAGCATTTGATATATTACACTTGAAAATGCATCATTTTTTCTAAATATATATGTTTAAAATATATTGATAAAATGTAAATTCATTTTAAATATACACTTTGACAATCAAGTTTAGAGATCATTTTCTTCATCCTAACCCTATATCACTGAGGAAACTAGGGTACATAAAAGCATGAAGCACATACCAATTTGCATGATAGATATTGAATAACCTATACTTTCCTATTCATTCCGTAATTGAACTTTCATTAGTTAGGCTGATTGGGTGATTTAAGAATTTGCCTAAAGTATTGTTAGCTCACAGCCTAACAACACTTTAAGGGCCAGAAAATCCAGCTTGGAAGCAAAGCCCAACATTTTGCAAGAAACTAACCCAGTGAACACATCAAAGCCTTGGGCCATAAAACAAAACACTGCAAATTGCACCATCCATACCCCTGAGACTGGGCACTGCACTCTGCCTCTGTAAGAGATGGTGCCACTGGCTCTGGAAACTGGAAGAACTCCTATGACCCATCAACAAAATAACTTCTGCATGATTAAGCCTCCCATATGTCATTAGATCCAGATTCATCATTCAGAGCAGGTCCATCTGACTAGTGTAACATGTATCTGATGCTGAGGCTGTAGCTTTTGGGGAAACTGCACAAGACAGAATGTGGAGATTTCAACTTCTACAGAGAGAAGGAGACTCATACAAGATTCCTTTAACATGGGAAAGGGGTTTAAGGTGTTGGTGTCCCAAATCAAAAAAAGAAAATTATCATAAACATTAACAGTTATTTTCTAGAAGCAAAGACTATTATATATTCTCTCTATGTACTGACAATTACTTCTATTTGTTCAAAGCTTTTCTGGTACAATACATAAGGATTAATTAATGCCCATGGTTTGTGGCCCAGTTGACACTCTTTAATTATGAGGTAGCAGTTCATAACTTATGAGTACATTACTTAAAAATTGTGAGGCTCTAAATCTTACTAGTGTGGCTCATTATAATGTTAGAACTTCAGTAACCTCAGCCAAGGGCAAAAATTAAACAGGAATTTTAAGTACATATTTCCATAAAACCTCCAGGTTTATATCTAGGAGCAGTAAAGAATATCTTGGACTTGTCAAGACATTCTGAAAAGGCTTGATCTCCACTGTCAGACACTGCTAGGGGACAGAGGGACTATTTGAAGGATTATTTTTATAAACAGACCTGGAGTCAGGCTTACATTTGGATTCTGTCCATTCCACCAGCATATGTAATTCTCTGGAGCTCTGTCTCCTCTTATGGAAAGTGGAGATAATAATTCCAGATTTAAAGGTTTGCATATTAAGAATATGATGATGGTGGTGATGATAATGATGATGGTTGTGATGGAGTAAATAATTTGGTAAAAGTTCTCAAAGAAAAACCTATAAACATAATGTGGTAAGTATGCTTTTTCTTCCCTTCCCTTTAAAAAAAAATTTTCATATATTTAAGGGGTACAAGTGCAGATTTCTTACATACATGTATTTCACAGTGGTGAAGTTTTGGCTTTTCCTTTCAACATTTCAGATAGATTTCATAATTTTGATTGACTTCCAAATACATCTAATCTCTCCTCTTCCTCCTCTCATTCAGTCCACATACACTAGGATCCCAATTGTTTGGAATACAAGGATAGGATATCGTGGGCATGGGCTGCCTTTATGATGGGAATACTTTCTGTATTCCAGTACATCCCTCCCAGGAATACGTTCTCCATCATGATAGTCAAGGGACAGTAAGAAGAATAGGGGCATGTAACTATTTAAATGATCTTAAATATTGACCTTTCTCTCTTGGGTGTCTCTGTGTTGCAGACGACAATTTCTGACCATTGATGCCAATATTTTTAGGAGTTCATAATACCAGTAGGTTATGTAAAGCTTTGCAGGCTGTGACCCACATAAATTACATCCAGATGGAAATGAAAGGAAACTAATATCCAGATGGTATTCTGCTCAATTAGATATATACCCTTACACTTCATGGTATCTGTTTGAAAGAGGTACCTTTTTCTAATTTTTACAAAGTCCACCTATGGGCTACCAGTATCCCTGGGTATGTGTACATTTTTTGAAGCCTCAGCAGGGATTTCTCACTGTATTGTTGTTGTTATTATTGTTATTATTTTCAAATCAGAGAATCCTTCTTCATATAGCTTGGATACTTGTCCCTACCCAAATCTCATATTAAATTGCAATTCCCCATGTTGGAGGTGAGCCTGGTGGAGGATGATTGAATCATGGGGCAGATTTCTCATGAATGGTTTAGATCATCCCCTTGCTGCTGCCCAGACAATAGGGAGTGACTTACAGGACCTGATAGTTTAAAAATGCGTGGCATCTTGCTCTCTCTCTCACCTTGCTCCTGCTTTTTCCAAGTGAAGTTCCTGTTTTCCCTTTGTCTTCCATGATAATTGTAAGCTTACTGAGGCCTCCTCAGAAGCAGAACAGATGTCAGCACCAGGCTTCCTGTAAAGCCTGCAGAACCATGAGCCAATTAAACCTCTTTTGTTTAAAAATTACTGTCTGAGATATTTCTTAATAGCAATTCAAGAATGGCCTAATACACATATCTACTCTTTGCTCACTCTGGAAGTACACATCGCAACTTTTGACTGCTAAGGTTTTCTCACTTAGTCCTCCAGATTGGGAGAAACCTAAAGAGAGCTCAAATCCATTAACTCTTCCCTTTGTCCACTTGACCCATAAGAAATTTGCATTCCTAATCACTGCAAATAGTGCAGCGCAAGCTAAGCAATTGAACCTCTTTCTCTCATGTTATCTCTCAGATTTTCAGCTAACCAGCTCATCTAGAATCTCACATGGAATCTCAGACTCCCTTTCTTATAGAAACTTACAATTTCTACAATTGTTTTTTAAAACTTTTTCCGTTGGGAGGCCGAGGTGGGCAGATCACAAGGTCAGCAGATCCAGGCCATCCTGGCTAACACGGTGAAACCCCGTCTCTACTAAAAATACAAAAAATTAGCCGGGCGTGGTGGCGGGCGCTTGTAGTCCCAGCTACTCTGGAGGCTGAGGCAGGAGAATGGCGTGAACCCGGGAGGTGGAGTTTGCAGTGAGCCAAGATCGCGCCTCGCACTCCAGCCTGGGCGACAGAGTGAGACTCTGTCTCAAAACAAACAAACAAACAAACTTTTCCCCCTGTTCACTGGACCAAGAGGAAAAGGGTGGAAAAGAACATTTTACTTTTCTTTTACAGGAGGAAATAAAAAGGGACTGATCTCTCACAACAAGGATTGCAACTCACCCAAAAGCCAAAGGCACCCATGAATCTCTTCCCACTTCCCTTCAGTCTTTTACTTACATAAACTGAGAGACAACACTGGAATAGATAACTATAGATTTTGCCATCACTAATTCTTCTGTCTTTTAGAACGATTGAGAGAAGGAATCCATACTCTGTGGTTAGCAATTTTCTTCATACTTAAGTTTTGGTTTTTAAGTTAAAGACCAAAAAAAATTTCCAATAGATAGTACATAGTAAATGTTCAATAATGTTCATGAAAACTGAATCTGAATATCTTTAGTTTACAGAATAAAGTTACGTTTTTATGATATTAATGATGGACATTCCATGTCTAATATCTATGTTTAAAGTATACATGGCAAATAACACAAGCTTACATATTATATTTTATTTATGACTAAATGGAAACTTTGAACCACCTAATTTGGTGACTGCAAGCTACTCTAGAAATTACCTAGTTGAACTACCTATTCCAAAACCCCCGAAATTTCTGATTCTTAGAAAGGTTAATAGGAGAATATACCTAAGTTTTAAAGTGTGTTACCTCAATTAAATTTTGAGCCAAGCTTGGAATCTGAATATATGTGTGCATGTGCATACATACATACATATATATTTGTTTTGTTGCTTCTCCACTTACTGATTCTCTGATTTCTGAACACTTCTTTTATCTCTTTGTACCTATTTCCTCACCCATGAAAAAGTATTCATAATAGCAATCAATTAGTGAACACGCATTAAACACAAAATAAGATAATAGAATTATATTATAACTCACTTAAGGTATATAGTCTATGGACAATATAGTACCTAAAATTTGTGTCACATATCATAGTTTACAGAATGTTTTCACATGTGTTCTCTCAATATCTCATTTAATCTTATACAATCCTTCAATGCAGTTCTGCAGCTTCTGTGCCATTGCTGCATTATAGCACACTTCATACACTTACTCACTGTGCGTCAATAAAATACAGACAGAGCATATCACCGCATAGCATTTATGCAGGATCTTAGTACGGATGTTTAAGTGTGGGCTCTATCATTAACTACCTAACATATATGTGTATACGCTACTGCATATGCTTAATCATGACTAGCCATTTGATAAATTGCTTTTATATTATAAACTATTGTTCCCACTGGTTAAACTATTCCAAATGCCTTTCTATCTGTAATGAAACTTTTACTAATCGAACGTTTTATTTTTGCTATACATAGAGCATGTTATTATACTGTATATATTATTCAAATTACAATACATCCTAACTTAACATCATCAATAGGTTCTTGGAAACTATGACTTTAAGCAAAACAATGTACAGCACGTCTTTGAATAACATTTCGGTCAACATAGTTACAATTTTGTTGAGAAAAAAATGGTTTTATTATATGTCATTTTGTTTAAAGTCACAGTTTCTGAGAACCTACAATGATCTTGAGGAAATATAATAGTATTTCAAATATTTATATCTGAATGCCCAAATTTATTGTAAATCTCTTATGGGCAAAAATGGTAAAAAGTAGTATATATTAGAATATCATATATTAGTGTGGACAGAAAATTGGGCTAAGGGCCAGAAGGCCTGTGATCTAGCTGATATACCCATTATTTAGTTACTACATGACCATCAGTTAGTCCCAGTGTCTGTTGTCTTGTTTGATCTGCCAGCCAATGCCAGTATATTGTATATCCGACATTGAGGTTTCTGGATTGCTTTTACTTTTTCTGTGTCTTATTTAATTTTTCTATAATAGGAGGAGAATATCTTGAAAATAAGATTACAAATATTGAAATGTAAACATAAAATGTAAGATGTCTAACATGGTGACTATTCCATGAAATGTGCTTTGGTAATATTTTCTTCTTATAGTTTTTCTGTCTCTCCTTCTCTTTGGTTTTAATCTCTTACAATATCTAGGCATATTAAAAACACCTTTTTTATCCATTAGCTTGATCAACACTTTCATTTCTTATTGAAACAGTAGAAAGAAATACTAAAACATCATCCAAAATTCTGTTTGTCTCAGTGTGTATATGTGTGTGTGTACATGTGTGTGTGTCTGTGTATGTATATTATACATGATGCATCACCTTTGTTCATAATAAATAAACACAATTACTTGCTCATGTTTTACAAACACTCTTTGGTATATTCTATGCTTCCAGAAGAAGATAGTATCCATTAGTTTAAACAAAACAGCAACTCATCCTTTGACTACAAATTGGTAGTACCCACATAATCAATTAATTTTCTGACCAGCCTTTAGGATATCAACCACAACATGTAATTAACTAGGTGGAAGTAGGGACTGCTGTCTTGAAGAATTACATATAACCTGAGGACAACAGAAAAAATAATACTCATGGTATGAATTATGTTATTTAATTACATTGTAATATCATCAGCTTGAAAGACTGTAGTTCTCAATTTGGAGGGTGAGTAAATTGGCTTTCATCTTCAACTAAGTGGAACATGATTGTAGATGTAGCCAGAGAAATGATGAAATAAGAAATTAATTAACATAAATGAAAAAAATCCTCTTGTGTCTGTACTAATAAAATTTCCTCAGTGTTGAATGTGTTTCTCTTCCCAGCCCACCCAGAAGCATCTGGGGCCTACAGTGTTTTTAGCTCTGTCCCACCCATGATATTGTACACATGTATGTCTGACATGAAACCCTTCTCCCATTGACTGAGCTAACAGAATTGAGAATGAGTTAGAAAGAGAGAGAGAAGAATCCAGCGAGGAAGAATGAGAGAGGCAGTAAGAGAGAGATGTCTGTGCGCAGTGGCACTACTTCATAATAGAACACAATAACCATTTATAGTGCAGATATCCTTAAAACTTCACACTAAAATTGATATGCCAGCTGTGAAATACAACTCTGCTGTGGGTAATTTAAAAAAAAAAAATCTTAACAGATTTAACAAAAAGGAAAAAAAGAAAGCAAGCATATGAGTGAATTTATCCCCAGGGATTGAATTGTTCCTAGGAACAGAATGTTGTGAGAAAAATCACTGGCTGGCCAGTGTGTCATGCTTTAAGCATAAAAGGAAACAGACCAGAGGCATGGTGAGATGGGCTGTTTCTTCCAGGACAGTCTGAACTCATTGGTAGGAGTAAAAGGTGCTCAGGCTCACATTTCACTGAATCCTATCTACCCAACCCCACTGCCAACCCAACACACACTGGCTTCAAGAGGTTATATTAAATGTATCTTTAGATTTTAAAATGTTCACCTAATTCTAAATTGACCAGGTGCTTTTATTGTCTTGTTTTAGAAGAAGAGGGTGGTTTGTGTTTCTTTATAACCTTTGTAAGGTTGACTGTGTAAATATATTATCTCAGCTTAGATTCCATTCAGGATGGTGCTTACTTTTAGATCCAACTGGATGTACTAGAGAACAGAGAGGCATCACACACCATGATGGAAGTATAAGGAATGGCTTCTCCCAGCAGAGTGCTGAAGAATGTCAGACAGCAGGACAGGCAAAAGTCCGCCAAGTCCTTATAGAATTCACAGCCAGGCTGTCAGTGTTTCCAAATGGGGAAACATGGCACCTCCTACATTTTCTAGATAGTATCTTTTTACAAATAGGCTCAGAGATAATGACAATAATATTGACTAACAATTTTGGACTCAATGTTTCAGGCAGTCTTCCAAGCAGGTTATTCAGGTTTATCTTTTTAAAAAAAATTAATTTCTATTAAGTAATTGCCATTTTTTGTTTCCTTTCTGTAGTTTAGGAAATAGAGGTACAATGTCTTCTAAAATGAATGAGTAAAATGAGTCTTCTTATTCCATTGAGAATAAACAATGTGAAAAGTATGTGTATGACAATGAAAAAGTAGAATATAAATTGAAGTATAACATTAAAAAATTCCTCCTAACCATAAACATGAAATGGAAAATAAATGATTTTTTAAAATAGGGACATGATAATAAAGAATCATTATTGTCTTAAACCTACCTGTCACGGAAAAACACAAAGATCAAATCAAATAATATATTTAAAGATGTAGAATTGTTTCAAGATTTATTCCTAAAAATTTAGTTTGGAATCATGAATATTATAGTATCCCAAAGAACAATACCAGTTGGTACTTTCATAAGTGGATTATTCATCTGGATAGATTGTATTTCTGACCCTTCCTTCCTTCCATTCAAGTTTATTTATTTATTTATACAAAAATGTATTTTATAATGCACAACAACCTCCAAGACATTCTAGCTATAAGTGGCAAAAGTGTTCTAGCAGTGAATCTAGATGTTTAAGAAGAAACGGAAAAATGGTTTGCTCTTGCCTCAGGCACAAGGGAAAGCTTATTTTTGCCAGATTATTTAATTCCATGCATGGCCAGGGGCCTTTCACCATGGCTTTTGATTTAGCTCCTCAAATTTATTTATTTATTTACAAATAATTTCAACTTTTCTTGTATTAGATTAAAGGGTACATGTGCATATTTGTTACGTGTGTATATTGCATGATGCTGGAGTTTGGGGTACAAATGATCCCATAATTTAGGTAGGGAGCATAGTACCAAACAGGTGGTTTTTTCACCCCCTTCCTCCCTCCCCCATCTGATATTCCTCAGTGTCTATTGTTTCCATTTTTATAGCTATGGGCATTCAACATTTAGTTCCCACTTACATATGAGAACATGTAACATTTGGTTTACTTTTCTTGAGTTAATTCACTTAGGATAACGGCCTTCAGATGCATCCATGTTGCTGCAAAATACATAATTTTGTTCTTTTTATGGCTGCATGGTATTCCATGGTGTATCATTAGTACCACATTTTCTTTATCCAATTCAAAACTGATGGGCACTTCGCTGATTCCATGTTTTTGCTCTTGTGAATAGTACCATGATGAACACTCAAATACCTGTGTCCTTTTGGTAGAACAATTTATTTTCCTTTGAGTATATACCCAGTAATGGGATTTCTGGGTCAATGGTAGTTCTCTATTAAGTTCTTTGAGAAATCTCCATACTGCTTTCTACAGTGACTGAACAAATTTACATTTCCATCAACAGTGTATAAACATTATCTTTTCTCCACAGCCTCTGTTATTTAACCGGCATCTGTTATTTTTTGACTTTTTAATAATAGTTCATCCTGACTGGTGTGAGTTGATATCTCATTGTGTTTTGACTTCCATTTCTCTGATGATTAGTGAAGTGAAACATTTTTTCATGTTTGTTGACTGCTTGTATATTTTATTTCTAGAAGTATCTATTCATGTCCATTTCTTCTGCTCCTGTTTTGTTTTAATTTAAAAGCCATATCTTCCTCATCCATCTCCTTCGCCTGTTTCTCAGTTTTGCCACCTTCGTGGCTGGACATCACACCTGTCACCCTTTATTCCTTCCATAACAGCTCTTCTTTTAAAATGCATATTCAGTTTAGATGTCACAAACTTTACAGGTTTTTTTTCTTGAAAGAATAATTATTACTATCAATTAGAGATGAGTTTTTCATTCTTGACCGATGTGCAATATTCTGTTATAGGTTAAATTTTTGGCTTTCTTAATAAACAACAAAACAAAAATGAAAAAGAACTAAAAATAATTAGAATAATACTTAAAAAAAAACAAGACTTGAGTGTTTTATTTAATGCATACACTCCAGTTTAAACAGAACCTACCACTCCCTAATATTTTACACCTGGCAGCTTTATCTATTTCTTTTATATACCTAGTGCATTAGTACTCTCATTAATTAAAATCATTTTTACTCTAAACCAAAAGAAACATGCCCTGCTCTGAAAAGAGGAACAGGGCAGGGTGGTAGGAGAGTGTCATTTTGTATTTTGGCACACATCATGGGTGCCAACAATGAACTTAGAACACCTGAGGCTGTCTTGTAACTTGAAGTCTCATTCTGAAACTACCCAGAGCTAAGGGAAATGGATTCATCTTTGCCCCATGAAACTCAAGTTAATTACAATCTGTGCCTTAAAGCTGACTTCTCGAGACACAGAAAGTAATCAACACATACTTGATTTTGCCAAATAGCTACTTCATCCTGAACACAATCTTTTGTCCCACAGAAACATTGCTAATGATGGAATCTTCAGAAAATTATCAGAAATTCGTTATTCCACATTTCTGAAGATTTGATCCTTAAGTCACGTTAGGGCTAGGGTTTGGATTTTCATTTAAAGAAATGATAAAAAAAAATTAACATACACAAAATTATTGAACTGGAATTGAACCCTGACTATAGAGAGATGACCTAGTCATGAGACCTTTTTTTTTTTTTTTTTAAATAAAGAAAAATGGTTTATTTGGCTCACGGCTCTGCAGGCTGCACAGGAAGCGTAGTGGATGTGTGTTCATGAGACCTTCTCAAGGGACAAGGAGAATGATGCTGAGAGAATCAGAGAGATGCTAGCAGTGACCTGCTTTGGAGCTGGCATGCAACTTGCTGAAAGTGTGTGCCTAATGATGCCAGTTTGGCCTTATAATGAGGGTGTCCAGTTCTAGTTTAGAAGTCAGGGTTCAAGGAATGTGAATTATCCATCTTGTATTCTGTGCAATAAATTTGAGGTCATAATCACAGGTTATGAATGCCTCAATATTCTGCTTCTGAAATCACAAACCTCTGACTAAAGATGAGAAAATTATGTCGTATTTTCTTTTCTTTCAAAAGAAATGGGCACTGAAATATTTATACTACAACTATTGCCTTTTCAGCCAAGTTTGGAAATTTTACGTATGATAATGACAACCAAATTTGTAACATATTTCATACATATATGTCGAAGAATATTTTAACAAAATGTAAATACATTATCTAAAGAAAATAAAAACAAAAGCAATCCCTCTCTGAACAGTAGTATGAATAAACCTGACTCCCAAACTTCCTTTCACTTCTCCATATATAAATCATGGGAAGATAAAAACTCAAATTAATCCCACCTGCCTTGTTAGTGAAGTATGACACATATCTTTGACCACTTGCACAAGATTTCTGTGACCAAATCATATTAACCATAACCAACAATTTACTGTATATGTTCCTCATTCCAGAACTTATGTAGCCATCTATTTTCAGCATATGCCTTTTATTTGATTTTTAGTGGAAGGAATATCTTTTCTGGGCCATTTATTTTCTACTGAGAGCTCATAAACTAGCTGGCCAGCAGATCCTCTACAGAGTAAAGGAGTGGCATTACTGGGTCAGACTCATGGTCCATAAACACCAGTATTTATTATGAAAATCTGCTTTGAAAGACCTGAAATAAGGAGCCATCACTGTCCTTTTCTGAAAACTATCGTAGAGCTCAAGACTATCCAAGCTTGTCTTAAGAGTCTTTTGGGCTCTGTCAATCACATGTGTGTTCAGTACTTTTAGAATTCTTTCATTTTTCCCTGCCAGTACCTGTTCTCAAAATAACAGATGATTCTTGCAAGACATATTAATAAAGGATAGTAGGGAATTGAGCCTTTAGTTGCAAAACACATAATGTCCCTGTCTTTTTCTGTGAAAGAGCATCCTATTTAAGACTGGCTATAAAAGAGACTGCTTCCTCTTCAAAGAGATTTCAATTTCCACAGAAGTCGGTAGTCCACTTAGCTTCATGCTGTAATTCAATCTCCTGCTTAAATTCTTGCCTTTTAAAGGGGTTCACAAACAATCTTAGTTTCTTAGTTCTCCTTCAAAATATGGCGTTTCTTTTCCTTTGTTTAAGTCTTCCCAGGCTTTTGGCTTTTGATTTGGCTTTTTCCCTGATTCTCACTTTCACTCCACTCTTCTACTGACTCTGTGGCTTCTTTTGACTCTGCCTCTGTCATTACTTTGCCTAGGTTTTTAGGGATCTCTCACAAGAAATGCTCCGCTTTGCCACCCCACTGGATACATCCATGCTCACATGGAATTAGCCTTTCTGGAACTAGCATTGATTTATGTAAAGAATGCTTGTTTTTCTGTGTAGTCACAAGTACCATGCATAATGAAAATACAGGAGGGCATCAACAATGAGAGAAGTTTGTGTTTAGAGTGATCTTGACTATAAAATTGGAAACAAATGATAAGTCAATTTATGAAAACAATAATCTTATTTATGAAGTGGAGGTATATTGTTGTGTTATTTTGTAAAGCATGGAGGATGCTTTTGTAAAGCAAGGACTTGGAGGATAGAGAGACCTCCACCACGGTGATATGTGCCAATCTGGAGATGTTCCTTAATACCTCCAGAACTCAGTTTCTTCAACTGTGAAATAGAGATGCTAGTATCTATCTCTCAGGGTCATTAATAAGTTGTCCATGCCAAGTGACTGACATAAAATACTGTTTAGGTAGATTACTAGTCTCAGCACCAAGGATATTATAATAATAAATTTTCAAATAGTAATGCCTAAAACATATTTGTTGATGTAATAAAAAAGATTATATTGAGAGTCCCAGTCAAGTTATTTTGACTAAAAAAATCATGAATAAAATTGAATGAAGTATATGGCTAATAAGAATGACAGGGAAGATATGAAAGACTACCCTTCATAAAATTAAATTAGGTGAATCTCTGGGACTGTGGGTTATTATTGAGGAAATCTGCTGAGGAGTTACTAGACTGGAAAGCATGGCCATGGCATTTTTTGGCAACTTCCATCAAGGGAAGAGTCTACTGGCTTATGTCTTGAATTACCATGCCCTCAAGACTTGCTTTGGGCAAAAGATACTGGCAAAAATAACCTAGTGTAAGTTCCAAAGCTTCAGCATCAAGAGGAACTATTGCTGGGGTCTGCACCCTCTTGAAATGCTGACATGACATTGCCATTTAAACAAGTCAGTCTGTCCCCCTAGAAAATAAGAGGCTATATAGAGAAATGAAGGTGTCCCAGAGCATGTTCAACACCAACTGCCAGACGTGTGAAGGATCTTTCAGCACAGCCATCTTTCAACTCAATACGGCGACATGAGCATATACAGATTAAAAGCAGGAGAAATCTGCCCAACCAAACCACGAAATCAGGAGAAATGATAAGACTGTTGTTGTAAACTACTAAACTGTGAAGTCGTTTTCATGCAGCAATAGATAACTGAATCACTAGTGATGAATAATTTTAAAATAATTAGCAATAGTTTCTTAGAAAACATTCTAAGTAAAGCTAAATATATAGAATCTTTGTTTCACACATTTTTTCCACAAAGTTGTCCCAGGTATTTTATTTTATTTTATTTTTGAGATGGATTTTCATTCTTGTGGCCCGGGCTGGAGTGCAGTGGCATGATCTCGGCTCAGTGTAACCTTCGTCTCCTGGGTTCAAGCGATTCTCCCACCTCAGCCTCCCAAGTAGCTGGTATTACAGGCATGCGCCACCATGCCTGCTCAATTTTTTTTTTTTTTTAAATTTTTAGTGAAGACAGGGTTTCACCATGTTGTTCAGGCCTGTCTCAAACTCCTGACCTCAGGTTATCCACCCACCTCAGCCTCCCAAAGTGCTGGGATTACAGGCCTGAGCCACTGCGCTGTCCCAGGTATTTTAGAGAAGTCTAGCTGACGGAAACCTTATAATTACAAAAATAAAAAGATTATCATAGAACTATAAAGTTAGGGAAAAAAATTGCCTCATATCCAAAGATCTGTGCTTTAGTGATTTCTCTTATTAGAAATTATTCCATGTGGTACAACATCACCTAAACTGAAATTCCTATTGGCCTTGACAGCTAAATACCAGTGTGTCCCTTTGGGATCTATTATAATCCCATTTTAAAACTATAAGATACTTAGAAACAGATCTTAGTTTAACAGTGGTTTCTTTTCTTTTCTTTCTTTTGTTTTTTCTGTGCGGCTTTCTGTGAGTTTTGCTTAAAGTGATACCTCATGAATATTGTGATTGTTTTGTTCTTTATAAATCTGAGAACATAGGCAGATAAAGAGAGAAAGAGACAGTTGGAGATAGAGAAAGAAAGAGATAAAAGAAAGATATAACTTAAGTTACTTAAGGCTGGTTTCAAAATGTTTCCAAATGTCCTGGAATATAATTAGGAAGAAAATCCCTTTTATTCTCAATAGAGAATTGAAGCTGTATACAGTTGTTAGAAGTGAAGAAATTATCTACTCCCTTTTAGCTGTTTCACCCCTATAATCAATAACATTATGGATATGGTGGGAGTCAGAGAATCAGAATAAGTTAAGGGAGAATACATTCAATCCAGTTTAAAATGTTCATATTGATGATGGTATTTAATACATAAAAATATGTTCAAAATGTCTTTTACTAGAACAGCTCCTGGCTATTTTCTAAAACTGATGAATTTCATTGAAGTGACCTTAGTTAATAATTTCCACAGTTTCTTTTTTCAAATTTATTAAGAAACTTGACAACCTTGAGGGTTTACAAAATATTATACACCATCTTTTTAAAATGTAAACTGAGTTGGTCTAGGTGTTGTGGCTCACACCTGTAATCTCAGCACTTTGACAGACCAAGGAAGGAAGATCGTTTGAGCCCAGGAATTCGAGACCAGCCTGAGTAACATGGTGAGACCCTCTCTCTACAAAAAGTAAAAACAATTACCCGGGAATGGTGGTGAGTGCCTGTAGTCCTAGCTACTTGGGAGGCTGAGTTGGGAGGATCCCTTGAGCCCCAGAGGTCAAGGCTGCAGTAAGCCATGATTGTGTCACTGCAGCTGAGTCTGGGCGACATAAGACCCTGTCTCAAAATAAATAAATAAATAAATAGATGAGATGCAAACTGAGTAAAATTTGCTTCTTTTAATGTACAGTTGTACAAATTTTGTCAAGCAAATAAAGTCTTGTTATCCATTGCTACAATCAAGATACAAAACTTCCCTCATGTTTTTCTTTGTAGTGAACACCAACCACTCAATGCAGCAAACACTGTCTGTTTTTCCCCCTGTAGTTTTGCCTTTTACAGAAAGAACCACACATTTTAATTACAGAGCTTTTATCACATAGCGATGATCACTCTTTAATAAGATAAAACATTATTTTTCACAAGTGCTGACTGAGTTGCCTGTGGAGGAAGAATTTTCCTTTATATCTCCATCAAGCTGTGATTTTTTAGACTGGGGTTGCAAAACCTTTGTTGAGGATTACTTTTTAAGACAAAAGAATCATCTAACTTTGGAATAGAACCTTTGGGGGTCGAAAGGAAACTTTAAAAGCTAAAGGCAACAACAGCCAGTGAGTCAAACACACTTAAAACATAGGCCATCTACCGACTTTGTATAAATTTTACCTTTCCTCATTTTAAAGAGCAAAAAGGAAAGAAGAGAGGAAATAGAATAACAGGAGGAAGCACAATAAAAATGTATGTCGATATTTACTATGTATTCATTTATTCAGCCAATATTTAGTGAAGCATTTACTATGATGCCAAGGACTGTTCTAACTGCTGAGGCGAAAGCAATGGATTAACAGAAACAAGATGTTTTCCCTTACACAGTTTATATTCTGGTAGAAAAAAAGACAATAAATATGTAGGCAAATAATTTATGTATTACTATAGATTGTTTTATATACTATTATGCAGGTTTGAGACCCTCTAAAAGCTTATAAAGAGAAGTATTTGAGGGCAATTAGTTTATGTGGGGGATGTTCCTATGAAGAAGGGTAGGTGATTGAGAAAGTGAGATAGGAAGACAACCAGTAAATAATGTTATCAAAAACCTGAATCCCTCTTGAGAATCTTGGAAGAATTTGTAAAATGTACCTTATAGAGAGTCTAATCCAAAGGTGAGATAGCAAATGTTTCTACCTACTACATTTTTTTCAAATGTCTTACTTTTTGTCTTCAGACTAAAGAATATCTACTGATCTATCTTCACGTTCATTATATTTTCTGCTATCTCCCATTTACTGTTGAACCCATTAAGCAGATATTTATTTCAATGCTAAAAGTGTATTTTTCAACTCTAGAATTGTACTTTCCAACTCTAAAATATTCATTTTTTAAAAAATGTCTATTTCTCTATTGAGATTTTTAATTTGTTAAGTCATTGTAAACCTATTTTTCTTTAATTTTTCCAATGTGGTGCCGTTGAACACTTTGAACATATTTATAACAACTGCTTTGATATGTCTGTATGCTCAATCCAATATATGGTTTACTAGAAGTCAGTTTCTATTGAATTTTTTTCCTTAGTTTTGGTCATTTATTTTACATTATTTATTCATTTTATATGTTAGTGATCAGCTGATGATTATTTAGAAAGATATTGTGCTTAGAAACCTCAGCACTGTGTTTCTGTTGAAGAGTTCATATGTAAACTTCAGTCAGTTTTCCAATCTGCTTTAGCTTTATATAGAAAGTTCTTTCAATTCTCCTTGCACATGAGTGGAGTTTTCTAGTCAGTCAGGCAAACAAATATGAAAAGCTATTTTGTGGAGCTCTCATTTCCAGGCTTTCCCCATTAAACTTCAGGCTGATCTTCCACTTGCCCCAACTGCAACTGTGACTTTAGGCTAGCAGGGCTGTGCCTTTTCTTAATCATTTCCTATAAGTTCGCAAATTTTACTGGCAATGTCACCAAGTGCGAGTTTCCAGTCATCACCCCAAATGGAGTCCATCCCCTCTGGCAGCCAGGTGCCTGATTTCTGTGGCCAGGTGCACACTTGTAACACCACCATTCTTGCTGCCTGAATTGAGTGGGATTTATTGGGGCAGTACCAGGAAAAAATGCCGCAGACTTCCCTATTCCTAACAAAAAATTGCTAGCAGTTTTTATGAAAGCTTGCTCCTGAATTTATTGTTTATCTCATCATCTGCAGAGACATGGCATGGTTGTTTACAACCATTTCACCAATATATTCTTTTTTGCAGGATTTGCCGACTTTTAAAGATCACTATAGCTTGACGTTTCTTAATAAGAAACTAGAATATTATTTTATTTTACTAACCTCTTATTTAACATCGTCCTTATCCATTTAATCACAACAGCTATTGTTTTGTGCCTTCTTTAATCCACTTGCTTTCAAACTGCAAATTTACTCATTTATTTCTTATAAATTACCTCCAATGACAGAATTTATACAAATAAATTAATTACTATTGTTTTTGGATTCGATGAAGATTATTTGTAGCATTTAAAAATCATCTGCGAGGAAGAAAAAGCAGATATAATTGCGACGCAAAGCAACCTGGCCAGGTGAACATATCTTGAAGTATGGTGAGACACACTAATTAAAACGGAGAATGTTCTTTTCAATATGATACCGCGTGAACTAAGAAAAAAAAATATATACATATGTATCATACCACATATATTGTGTGTGTTTGTGTGTATGTATTAGCAAAGCTTATCAAAGAAGAAAACTGCAAAACATTGAAAAAATATTGTTAAATGCTTCTATATATTAAAACCTGCAAAAATAATAATATAAAAAAATAACAAAATGAGAGAATTATGGTGAGAAGTACTTGCAAAAATCAGATTGGCTAACACTTAGACCAAAACAAAAAGTAAAACAATTAGCTAGAAATATTTCAATGCCTCTAAAATGATGAAATATAATACAATTAGAAAATCAAGTCTTCACAAGAGAAACAGAAAGTAAAATGTGAATATCTGGGGGAAAGTAAAGAAGACAAAAGTGGGTTAAAATCCTAAAAGTATGCTAAAACAAAAATAACAAACTTCATAGAGGCTTCTAAATAGGGCAATGCATCATTTTTCCAGAATATGTTTAGTCACAATTACTTTTAGAAGCATCTAAAAAAAAACAAGATTTTATAGCCTTTTTGAGTAACTGAATCTAGTGGTATAATAAGAATCAGGATCACGTTCTGTAAATAAAAATTTTAAACTGCAATAAAAAAGTTGTTATCTCTAGTTAACTATGTCTTACATAAAATTTTAGAATGGCTATTTTCTAAATATTTTCAAAGTTATATCTGTCTAAATTGTTACACATTTTATTCATTTAAATTAAAATATTATTGATATAGGTGATCACTGTGCTACTCTGCAGTATGGTAAAGTAGTCTAGATCAGGAATTGGGAAACTTTCTCTGTAAAGGGAAAGATGGTAAATATTTTAGACTTTGCTGCCAAAGAAGCAAAATTGAGCAACTGTTCTTACTCAAAAGCTCATGGTGTTTTAAAAGTTGTATATTAAGCATTTTAAAATGTAAAAACTTTTTAGCACATATATCCTATAAAAAGAGGTGACAGTCCATAGTTTTCTGACTTCTGACTTAGGTTTCTTTGGAACATACAATGACAGAGGGCAGGAAAGTCAACAGAGCCCTGGTACAAAACGTTAAATCTATATTCTTGTCCTAGGTATGAACTGTTTCTGATCGTCTTTTCAGATCGTAGTAAAAAAATAGTGCACTCTCCAATCTGTAATTGCATACTATTTGTCAGAAACCATCTTAATCTGCTTTAATAAAGATATTATACCTGTCATGGCAGCTGCAGTTGAATCTACTTCTTGAGAGAGTTCATAGTAGTCTACTTTTTTCTTCCCAGATCAATTTGATTTCTGCAGGGTCCAGAATTGTGTATTAAATGTATATATAATTGGGGGTATGATGGGGGCTACCATCTCTGCATCCTTTATAGCCTAAAGGATAGCACTACCTTGCCTCTGTATAATATTATTTTTTATTTAATGTAATGGGTCAGAAAAAGGAAAAGTTTCCACTTGGCCTTCCTGAACATGATAATTCATAACCCACAATAACATAAGGATTACATTAGACACCAAGTGTAATCCCAATTATACATTTTAGGATTGGGTAAATACCACCGTGTGGGTGTGCAGACCTAGTGGACATCTGCAAGCTTAACTATGCCAGAACTTCATTTATTAGCAGAATCCTACATATACCCATTCTAACAGGAGCCATGGTGACATTTTGGTTCTCTGAGTATCAATGTCAACTTGGACCCTATATCCAGTGGTCTTTGAAATGCCTGGGTCTGTTTTCCCAAGTGAACAGCTATAAATATATTTGCAGAAGGGCAGAGGAATGGCAGGTTCCATTTTTTCTAGAGAAGACTATTCCTCTTCATTCACAGGTCTCCAAGTGTGAAAACTGAAAAAAGGAAATCGGAAAAAGGATTGTAACATTTCACTAGGGTGACTCCCCTTAGCCTCCTGGCATTTCATCATTGATTTCTTCCTGTAGTGGAATTTAGTTGCACACTCATTGGCTGGCCATCTCTTTTTCCCTTTTGGACTATTGTGTCTTTTCAAACATCTTTATAACATTCTGTAGGCCAGACCCTTTTTCTGTCACCTCGATCCATTCCCCCACTTTATAATAATTGTGTCCACGAAAAGGTTTCAGGCATTAGCTACTGACACCTGGCTTCTAGAAATTCAAGGTTCTGTGATTCTCATTGTCATCAGTGAGCCTGCTAATGTCATGACCTCTTCTACCATCAACCCTGGCTTATGAGAAAAGTCAAAAGGGAATATTTTAATCATGTTTCAGTTCCTTATTCCTGTTTTCTTCCAGTATTCTTTCTTGAGTCCTGAACAACACTCCAATCCTCTGCCAAGGAATCAGTGTAGATCCATACCACTGAGCCATCACTCCTCCACAAACAGGTGTACTGCTCACTAGAAAAATTTTCTTTCACCTACTGTCCTTCAGAGACACATTTTAAATAAATCTGATCTTCAGGAGCAGTTATTTTATTCTCATGCCATCATACCATGCATACTCATTGTAATTCATGTTTAACATATCTTTTTATGTCAATTTGTCATAGGAAACACCTCATGATAACACAGTGTACATTGAAGGACAGCTGAAAACACAGCAGATATAAGTAGCATGGGAATCTGAGACACATGCTTATGCCTCTTTTTTACTTACAAGGGGGACCTCAATGTGTTCTTAAAAATTGTAAACAATCCAATATAGGAATAAAAGCATGAGTACAGAAGGCACTGTAGCAGGAGTGGGTCCCTAGGCATTTGGTCCACTTCTTCATGTAGCTTATTTGTGCCTTCAGAACCTGCTTAGGCCAGGTCAGATAATATTACTTCCAACTGATGATGGAGTGTTACCATGTAGCCCCTTTATATCATGGTGGGCCAGATAACACACAGTTCATGATGAGCAGCTCAAGTTTCAGGGTGACTTGTTGGCTCAGAATCAAGGGTTCAGTCTCTACTAAGATCCAGAAGCAAGCCAAAAGCTGTCTCTCAAAAAGAGAATAGTTATCTGAAAATAATGGTAGGGCTTTGCTCTAAAATGCTAAAGGTCTACACTTTCCAAATGTTACAAAGAGATTCCTTATCTGCCACTGACATATAAAGCACCATTTAATCTGCAGATCATATGGTTCTAGTGACAGAGTAGCCTGGATGCATTTCATAATCATCTCTTTTTATGGGCCCCCTCAAAACTAGCAGCGTTTTAGGTCATTTACTAAATGGGCTAGTAACACACCCAAATGAAGAACATGTTGCCCCCAAAATCAAAAGAAGATTATCATGGTGGATGGGAGGCAAGACTAGATTGCAGCTTCAGACAGAGCAGCATGCAGAAGCTCACATTTATTAATTTTAGCTCCAGATCAACTGCAGGAACAAACCAGCAATTCTGAGAGGGCCCACACACCCTCTGAAGGAAGCAGACTGGTCCTGCAGGACCCAGGAGGCACCCCAAATACTGCAAGTGCCCCAACTGTGGAAGTTGGAAAGGGACACCCTTCTCTCCCGATCACACACCACCACTGGAGAAGCTGAAGGTCTGTTTGTGGGAGATGTTTCTGACTTTACCTGGAGCTGAGTCAATTTAGAGAGCCAAGCAAAATACAGATGAGAGGAAGCAGCAGAAAGACCCTGGGGGCTCACTGCACCCCCTAGCAGCCCATTCCTGCCTGGCACCACAGGTATCCATCAGGAGGGTGACCAGAGAAGCAAGGGGTAAAACTCCACAAAGAGAAGGAAATCTCTAGCTGAACTTTGTAACAATTTGAACAGGGCAAGAAGCCTCCTGGCCACAACTCATGGGAGGGCGAAAATCTGGTGTGCAGACTCCACAGGTGGGGGAAGAACCAAACCCTTTTCTTTTGCAGTTGGGAAGAGGATTGTCCAGGGCAAGTTTTCAAGCCCATCACGCCCTCCGCCAGGAAACAGACTCTGTGCTGTTGGAGGGGACACGGTGGGAGTGAGACAGGCCCCTTGGTTTGCATGGGAGCTGGGTGAGACCTGTGACTGCTGGCTTTCCCCCACTTCCCTGACAACCCACATGACTCAGCAGAGGCAGCCATAATCCTCCTAAGGTACACAACTCTAGTGACCTGGGAATCTCACACGCATTCCTCACTGCAGCTGCAACAAGACCCACCCAAGGACAGTCTGAGCTCAGATACACCTAGCCCCACACCCACCTGATGGTCCTTCCCTACCCACCCTGGCAGTGGAAGACAAAGGACATATAGACTTGGTAGTTCTAGGGTCCCTCCCACTGCCAGTCCCTCTCCATATTACTACAGCTGATGCTTTCTGGAAAGTGCCACCTCCTGGCAGGAGGCCAACCAGGACAAAAATAGAGCATTGAACCACCAAAGCTAAGAACCCTCATGGAGTCCATTGCACACTCCAGCCACCTCCACCAGAACAGACGCTGGTATCCATGGCTGAGAGACACATAGATGATTCACATCACAGGACTCTGTGGAGACAACTCCCGGTACCAGCCCAGAGCTGGGTAGACTTACTGGGTAGCTAGACCCAGAAGAGAGACAACAGTCACTGCAGTTCAGCTCACAGGAAGCCACATCCATAGGAAAATGGGGAGAGTACTACATCAAGGCAACACCCCATGGTACAAAAGAATCTGAACAACAGCCTTTAGCTCTAGACCTTCCCCCTGACAAAGCCTACCCAAATGAGAAGGAACCAGAAAACAAACCCTGGTAATATGACAAAACAAAGCTCTTCAACATACCCCAAAAGATCATACTAGTTCACCAGCAATGGATCCAAACCAAGAAGAAATCCCTGATTTACCTGAGAAAGAATTCAGGAGGTTAGTTATTCTGCTAATCAGGGAGGGACTGGAGAAAAGTGAAGCCCAGTGCAAAGAAATCCAAAAAATGATACAAGAAGTGAAGGGAGAACTACTCAAGGAAATAGCTTAAAGAAAAAACAATAAAAAATTCAGGAAACTGTAGACACACTGAGAAATCTGAAATGCTCTGGAAAGTCTCAGTAATAGAATTCAACAGGTAAAAGAAAGAAATTCAGAGCATGAAGACAAGTTCTTTGAATTCAGTCCAACAAAGACAAAGAGAAAAGAATAAGAAAATATGAACAAAGCCTCCAAGAAGTCTGGGATTATGTTAAACAACCAAACCTAAGAACAATCAGTGTTCCTGAGGAAGAAGAGAATTCTAAAAGCTTGGAAAACATATTAGGGGGAATAATTGAGGAAAATTCCTTGGCCTTGCTAGAGACCTAGACATCCAAGAAGCACAAAGAACACCTGGAAAATTCATCACAAAAACATCATCGCTTAGACACATTGTCATCAGGATATCCAAAGTTAAGACAAAAGAAAGAATCTTAAGAGCTGTGAGACAAAAGCATCAGGTAACATAACATATTAACAGTAGATTTCTCAGCAGAAACCCTACAAGCTAGAAGGGAGTGGGGCCCTATCTTCAGCCTCCTAAAACAAAACAATTGTCAGCAAATAATTTTGTATCCAGTGAAACTAAGTATAATATATGAAGGAAAGATATACTCCTTTTCAGACAAACAAATGCTGAGAGAATTTGCCATTACCATGCCACCACTGCAAGAACTGCTAAAAGGAGCTCTAAATCTTGAAACAAATCCTGGAAACACATCAAAACAGAACCTCTTTAAAGCGTAAATCACACAGGAGCTATAAAACAAAAATATATGTTAAAAAGTAAAAACAAAAAAGAAAGAAATTTCAAGAGCAATAAAGAGCATGATGAATGCACCAGTACCTCACATTTAAATACTAACATTGAATGTAAATGGCCTAAGTGCTCCAATTAAAAGATACGGAACCACAGTATGGATAAGAACTCACCAACCAACCATCTGCTGCCTTCATGAGACTCATCAAACGCATAAGGACTCACATAAACTTAAAGTAAAGGGGTAGAAAAAGGCATTTTATGAAAACGGACACCAAAAGTGAACGGGGGTAGCTATTCTTATATCAGACAAAACAAACTTTGAAGTAACAGCAGTTAAAAGAGACAAAGAAGGACATTAGATAATGGTAAAAGGCCTTGCCCAAGAGGAAAATATCACGATCCCAAACACATAGGCACCTAACACTGGAGCTCTTAAAATTATACAACAATTACTAATAGGCCTAAGAAATGAGATAGACAGTGACACAATAATAGTGGGGGACTTCAATACTCTGCTGACAGCACTAGACAGGTCATCAAGACAGAAAGTCAATAAGGAAACAATGTATTTAAACTATACCTTGGAACAAATGGACTTAACGGATATATACAGAACATTTCATCCAACAACTGCAGAATAAACATTCTATTCAACAGCACATGGAATTTTCTCTGAGATAGACCATATGACAGGCCATAAAACGAGCCTTAATAAATTTAAGAAAACTGAAATTATATCAAGCACTTTTTCAGACCACAGTGGAATAAAACTGAAAATCAACTCCAAAAAGAACCTTCAGAGCCATGCAAATACATGGAAATTAAACAACCTGCTCCTGAATGAACATTGTGTCATAAACAAAATCAAGATGAAAGTTAAAAAATTATTTGAATTGAATAACAATAATGACACAACCTAACAAAACCTTTGCGATACAGTGAAGGCAGTCCTAAGAGGAAAATTCATAGCCCTAAGCAACTACATCAAAAAGACTGAAAGAGCACAAACTGACATTCTAAGGTCACACCTCAGGGAATTAGAGAAACAAGAGCACACCAAACCCAAACCCAGCAGAAGAAAAGAAATTACCAAGATCAGAGCAGAACTAACTGAAATTAAGACATAAAAGACAATACAAAAGATAAATAAAACAAAAAATTGGTTCTATATAAAGACAAATAAAATATACACCACTAGCAAGATTAACCAACAAAAAAAGAGAGAAAATCCAAATAACCTAATTAAGAAAAAAAAAAAGGGAGTTCCGTTACAACTGACACTGCTGAAACACAAAAGATTATTCAAGGCTACTATGAATGCCTTTATGCACATAAACTAGAAAACCTAGAAGAGATGGATAAATTCCTGGAAAAATACAACCCTCCTAGCTCAAATCAGGAAGAATTAGATACCCTGAAGAGACCAATAACAAGGAGTGAGATTGAAATGGTAACTTAATGGGTGCAGCACACCAACATGGCACATGTATACACATATGTAACAAACCTGCACGTTGTGCACATGTACCCTAGAACTTAAAGTATAATGAAAAAAATATATATATATATAAATTACCAAAAAATAAAGTCCAGGACCAGATGATTCACAGCAGAATTATACCAGACATTCAAAGAAGAATTGGTACCAATCCTTTTGACACTATTCCACAAGACAGAGAAAGACGGAACCCACCCTAATTCATTTTATGAAGCCAGCATCACCCTAATACCAAAACCAGGAAAGGATATAACCGAAAAAGAAAACTACAGACTGATATCCTTGATGAACATAAATGCTAAAATCCTTAACAAAATACTAGCTAACTGAATCCAACAATATATCAAAAAGATAATCTACCATGATCAAGTGGGTTTCATATCAGTGATGCAGGGAATGTTTAGCATATGCAAGTCAATAAATGTAATACACCACATAAACAGAATTAAACACAAAAATCACATGATCATCTCAATAGGTGCAGATAAAGCATTCGACAAAATTCAGCATTTCTTTATGATTAAAACTCTCATAAAATAGGCATACAAGGGACATAACTTTTTGTTATAAAAGCCATCTATGACAAACCAATAGCCATCGGAATACTGAATGGGGAAAAGTTGAAAGCATTCCCTCTCAGAAATGGAACAAGACAAGGATGCCCACTCTCACCACTCCTCTTCAACATAGTACTGGAAGTCCTAGCCAGAGCAATCAGACAATAGAAAGAAATAAGAGGCACCCAAATCGGTAAAGAGGAAGTCAAATTGTTACTGTTTGCTGACAATATGATCGTTTACCTTGAAAACCCTAAGGACTCCTCCAGAAATCTCCTAGAACTGATAAAAGAATTCAGCAAAGTTTCCAGATACAAGATTAATGTACACAAATCAGTAGCTCTTCTATACACCAAAAGCAACCAAACTGAGAATCAAATGAAGAACGCAACCCCTTTTACAACAGCTGCAAAAAACAAAAACAAAACAAACAAAACAAACAAACAAAAAAACCACTTAGGAATATACCTAACCAAGGAGTCGAAAGGCCTCTACAAGGAAAACTACAAAGCACTGCTGAAAGGAATCACAGATGTCACAAACAAATGGAAACACATTCCATGCTCATGGATTGGGTAGAATTAATATACTGAAAATGACCATACTGCCAAAAGCAATCTACAAATTCAACACAATCCCCATCAAAATACCAACATCATTCTTCATCGAATTAGAAAAAAACAATTATAAAATTCATATGGAACCAAAAAAGAGCCTGCATACCCATAGCAAGACTAAGCAAAAAGATCAAATCTGGGGACGTCACACTACCTGATTTCAAACTATACTAGAAAGCCATGCTCACCAAAGCAGTGTGGTACTGGTATAAAAATGGGCACGTAGACCAATGGAACAGAATACAGAACCCAGAAATAAACCCAAAAACTTACAGCCAACTGATCTTCTACAAAGCAAACAAAAGCATAAAGTGGGGAAAGGACACCCTTTTCTTTTTTTTTTTTAATTATACTTTAAGTTCTAGGGTACATATGCACAACGTGCAGGTTTGTTACATATGTATACATGTGCCATGTTGCTGTGCTGCACCCATTAACTCATCATTTACATTAGGTATATCTCCAAATGCTATCCCTCCCCCCTCCCCCCCACCACACGACAGGCCCCGGTGTGTGATGTCCCCCTTCCTGTGTCCATGTGTTCTCATTGTCCAATTCCCACCTATGAGTGAGAACATGCAGTGTTTGGTTTTCTGTCCTTGCAATAGTTTGCTCAGAATGATGGTTTCCAGCTTCATCCATGTCCCTACAAAGGACATAAACTCATCCTTTTTTATGGCTGCATAGTATTCCATGGTGTATATGTGCCACATTTTTTTAATCCAGTCTATCATTGATGGGCATTTGGGTTGGTTCCAAGTCTTTGCTATTGTGAATAGTGCTGCAATAAACATACACGTGCATGTGTCTTTATAGCAGCATGATTTATAATCCTTTGGGTTTATACCCAGTAATGGGATAGCTGGGTCAAATGGTATTTCTCATTCTGGATCCCTGAGGAATCGCCACACTGTCTTCCACAATGGTTGAACTAGTTTACAGTTCCACCAACAGTGTAAAAGTGTTCCTATTTCTCCACATCCTCCCCAGCACCTGTTGTTTCCTGACTTTTTAATGATCACCATTCTAACTGGTGTGAGATGGTATCTCATTGTGCTTTTGATTTGCATTTCTCTGATGGCCAGTGATGATGAGCACTTTTCCATGTGTCTGTCGGCTGCATAAATGTCTTCTTTTGAGAAGTGTCTGTTCATATCCTTCACCCACTTTTTGATGGGGTTGTTTGTTTTTTTCTTGTAAATTTGTTTGAGTTCTTTGTAGATTCTGGATATTAGCCCTTTGTCAGATGAGTAGATCGCAAAAATTTTCTCCCATTCTGTAGGTTGCCTGTTCACTCTGATGGTAGTTTCTTTTGCTGTGCAGAAGCTCTTTAATTTAATTAGATCCCATTTGTCAATTTTGGCTTTTGTTGCCATTGCTTTTGGTGTTTTAGATATGAAGTCCTTGCCCATGCCTATGTCCTGAATGGTATTGCCTAGGTTTTCTTCTAGGGTTTTTATGGCTTTAGGTCTGAGATTTAAGTCTTTAATCCATCTTGAATTAATTTTTGTATAAGGTATAAGGAAGGGATCCAGTTTCAGCTTTCTACATATGGCTAGCCAGTTTTCCCAGCACCATTTATTAAATAGGGAATCATTTTCACAATATTGATTCTTCCCATCCATGAGCATGGAATATTCTTCCATTTGTTTGAGGACACCCTTTTCAACAAATGGTGCTGGGATAATTGGCTAGCCACATGTAGGAGAATAAAACTGGATCCTCATCTCTCACCTTATACAAAAATCAACTCAAGATGGGTTAAAGACTTAAACCTAAGACGTGAAACTGTAAAATTTCTAGAAGATAACATTGGAAAAACCCTTCTAGATATTGGCTTAGGCAAGGATTTCAGGACCAAGAACCCAAAAGCAAATGCAGTAAAACAAAGATCAATAGCTGAGGTCTAATTAAACTAAAGAGCTTTTGCATGGCAAAAGGAACAGTCAGCAGAATAAACAGACAACCCACAGAGTGGGAGAAAATCTTCACAATCTATACATCTGGCAAAGGACTAATATCCAGAATCTACAATGAACTCAAACAAATCAGTTAGAACAAAACAAAAATCCTATCAAAAAGTGGGCTAAGGAAATGAATAGACAATTCTCAAAAGAAAATGTATAAATGACCAACAAACATATGAAAAAATGCTCAACATAACTAATGATCAGAGAAATGTAAATCAAAACCACAATGTGATACCACCTTACTCCTGCAAGAATGGCCACAAAAAAAAAAAATCAAAAAACAGTAGATGTTGGCGTGGATGTGGTAAACATGGAACACTTCTACACCGCTGGTGGGAATGTAAACTAGTACAGCCACTATGGAAAACAGTGTGGAGATTCCTTAAAGAACTAAAAGTAGAATTACCATTTGTTCCAGCAATCCCACTACTGGGTATCTACCCAGAGGAAAAGAAGTCATCATCTGAAAAAGATACTTGCATATGCATGTTTATAGGGGCACAATTCACAATAGCAAAATCGTGGAACCAACCCAAATGCCCATCAATCAATGAGTAGACAAAGAAAGTGTGAGATATATATATATATATATATATATATATATATATATATATATACACACACACACACACATATATATATCTCACTATACACACATACAATGGAATGTATATTTTATTATATTATCCATATAGTGATATAGTGTGTTCATAGGTATATATGTATATATATCCACATATATATACACATATATGTATATATATCACTATACACACATACACACATAATGGAATACTACGCAGCCATAAAAAGAATGAATTAACAGCATTTGCAGTGACATGGATGAGATTGGAGACTATTATTCAAAGTGAAATAACTCAGGAATGGAAAACCAAACATCGTATTTTCTCACTGATATGTGTGAGCTAAGCTATGAAGACACAAAGGCATAAGAATGATACAATGAACTTTGGGGACTTGCAGGGAAGAGTAGAAGGGGAACAGGGTATACAAGTCTACAAATATGGTGCAATGTGTTCTGCTTGGATGATGGATGCATCAAAATCTCACAAATCACCACGAAAGAAATAACTCACTCATGTAACCAAATACTGCCTGTACCCCAATAACTTATGGGAAAAAATATATATTTAAAAAAAATCAAAAGAATCCCACTTGGCATTGTACCTCTTTGTTGGTTGTAAAAGGAGCCAGACGCAACAAATTTATCCTTTATCTTAAAAGGGTGATACCTCACACCACAAGACCTCCAAAATTTCACTGAGTTAGAAGATCCCTGAATTTTAGTTGAATTTATTTCCCACCCTTTGATATGCAAATGTCCTATCAATAAGAGTAGTTGCTACTTCTTATTCCCTTAGTCCAATTGGCATAAGCTCATCAAGGTAATGGATCAGTGTGATATATTATGGAAGAGACAGGTGATCAAGATCCCTGAGAACTAAATTATGACATAGGAATGGAGAGTTGATATTCCCCTGAGATAGGACAATGAAGGTGTATCTTTAGCCTTGACAGCTGAAAGCAAACTACGTCTATTGTTCTTTATGGAACAGGGTAAAGAAAAGCATCTTCTAGGTCAATAGCTGCATACCAGGTGTCAGGGGACGTGTTAATTTTCTCAAGCAATGAAACCACATCTGGTACAGTAGCAGTAATTGCAGTCCCTACTTGGTTAAGGTTACGCTAACCAATCATTCTCCAAGATTCATCTGTCTTATGGACTGGTCAAATAGGATAGTTAAATGAGCATGATGCGCATGTGGTGGGAATCAACACCCCTGCATCTTTTATTTCCTTGCTGGTGGTGCTAATCTCCTCAAGCTCTCTAAGAATATGGTATTGCTTTTGACTTATTATTTTTATAGGGGGAAGCAGTTCTAGCAGCTTTCACTTTGTCTTTCTCACTATAACAGTCCTCACTTTGTAAGTCATTGGTCAGGGAGCCAGTGTGGGGACTCTACCAGCTGCTAAGCATGTCTATTATAATTGTGCATCTAGGACTGGAAAAATGACCACAGGATGTGTTCAGGGACCCATTGTGCTTGAGACAGAACTCCATTGATCATCTTATATGGTTTGGCTCTGTGTCCCCATTCAAATCTCATATTGAATTGTAATCCCCAATGTTGAGGGAGGGATGATCTGGTGGGAGGTGATTGGATCATGGGGGCGGATTTCTCTCTTGCTGTTCTCATGATGATGAATGTGTTCTCATGATATCTGGTTGTTTGAAAGTGTGTAGCACTTCCCCCCTTCACTGGCTCTCTCCTGCCTCCATATGACGATATGCTTACATCCCCTTCATCTTCTGCCATGACTGTAAGTTTTCTGAGGCCCCCTCAAACATGCCTCCTGTACAGCCTGCACAACTGTGAATCAATTAAGCCTCTTTTCTTTATAAAATACTCAGTCTCAGGTAGTTCTTTTTAGCATTGTGAGAATGAACTAATATATCATCTGATCTCTGTAAGCATCTACTCTGACTGGAGGGCCACAGTGACATTTTGGGTTTCCAGGAATGATTGTCTGATTAGTGCCAGTGTCAAGTAATACCCCAAAATAGCAGATTATCTCCTTTTCATCAGTGAAGAGTTGCCCTGGTAAAAAGCCATAGGTCCCATTGGGGATGAGTGGGAGAAACATTAACAGTATAAATCTTCAAATTTTGTAACAGAGTCCTTTCTTGAGGATATCTGGCCTCCCCTTCATTCAAGGAGTTCTTAGTCTGCAACCTGACTCAAGTCTGGAAATTGATTGAGGGTATATGACATCTGTTTTTATTATTCAAGTTAGACTTTTGTTCACTTGACCTAGAATCTTTCTGCTTATGTACACTAAGTAAGAATATAATAGGTTCCTATCCTACTTCTAGGAGCACAATGATTAACTAACAAATGCCATAGGTCTGCTCCAGTCAGATTATTCTGTTTAATGCTTTGACTCTGTCATCTTCAAACTGGAGAACTGGGAAAGCAAGTGGTGCCATTTAGTCCTAGTCCAAAGGCCTGAGAACTGGGAGCTCCTATGTCCAAAGGCAGAAAAAGAGGAATGTATCACTGAAACAGAGAAAGGGAATTTGCCCTTCCTCTGCCTTTTAGTTATATTCAGGCCCTCAACAGATTGGATGACACCTAATCAAATTGGCGAGGACACTCTTCTTTACCCAGTCTAATAATTCAAATGTCATTCTCTTCTGAAAACACCCTCACAGACACACTGGGAAATAATCTTTAACTAGCTATTTAGACATTTTCTTATTCCAGTCAAGTTAACACACAAAATTAACTATCACAATAAGTATCTGTTTTAGGACTACTTTTTTAAGAGAGAGAGAGAGACAGGGTTTTGCTCTGTTGACCAGGCTGGAGTGCAGTGACATGATCATGGTTTACTGCATCCTTGACCTCCTGGTCTCAAGCAATCCTCCCACCTCAGCCTCCAAGTAGCTGGGACAACAGGTGTACACCACCATACCTGGATAATTTTTTAAAAATTTTTCTGTAGAGATGAGAGCTTGGTATATTGTCTAGGCAGGTCTTGAATTCCTGGCCTTAAACAATTTTTCTACTTTGGCTTCCCAAAATGTGGAGATTGCACCCATGAGTCACCACTCCAGGCTAGGACTACTCTTAATATCAAGAACTTGATAGCAAGTCAGAGGCTAACTAAAATTTAGAAACAATTTGAGGTAAAACAAACTCCTGAGAGTATATGTGTATAATTCTCCGTGTAAATATATGTATATAATATGTATGTATATAATGTATATAATCAGGGAACTGATTATATGCATTATGTAAACACTGAGAAACCAAGTAGGAAACATATGGATACGTTGAGAAATAAAACCAATTATCCGAGTGTATTAGTCCATTTTCATACTGCTATGAAGAACTGCCGGAGACTTGGTAATTTATAAAGGAAAGAGGTTTAATTGACTCACAGTTCCTCATGGCTGGGGAGGCCTCAGGAGACTTACAATTATGGTGAAAGGTGAAGGGGTGCAAGGCATCTTCTTCACAAGGCGTCAAGAAGAAGTGCCAAGGGAAGGGGGAGAAGCCCCTTATAAAACCATCAGATGTCATGAGAATTCACTCACTATTGTGAGAACAGCATGGAGGAAACTGCCCCGATGATTCAATTACCTCCATCTGGTTCCCCCCTTGACACGTGGAGATTATAGGGATTACAATTTGAGGTGAAATTTGGGTGGGGACACAGAACCAAACCATATCACTGAGCTATCATTGAACTTAATGTTCTTTATCCCTTTCCAGAAATGTTATGTCGAATTTTTTAGGCTATTCTTTCACTGTAAAGAATACATGAGACTGGGTAATTTATAAGAAAAGAGGTTTAATTGGCTCACAGTACAGGAATCATAGCAGGCTGTACAGGAATCATAACAACATCTGCTTCTGGAGAGTCCTCAGGAAGCTTCCAATCATGGCAGAAAGCAAAGGGGTAGCAGGCACATCACATGGTAAATGCAGGAGCAAGAGAGAGAGAGATGGGAGGTAGCATACACTTTAAGCAACCATATCTCACAAGAATTCACTCACTATGGCAAGGACAGCACCAAGGAGCTGGTGCTAAGTCATTGATGAGAAATCCGCCCCATGATTCACTCACCTCCTACCAGGCCCCACCTCCAACAAGGGGATTAAATTTTAATAGAAGATTTGGGTAAGGACAAGTATCAAAACTATAAAACTATATCAAGCGTTGTTTATTAGAATAATTTTTAAGTGGACTTCATGACAATATTTCAAAAATGCATAGATTTATATGCCTTGTCTCATAAAGCAATGACTTAATAAGCTTTTTTTTTTTTTTTTTTTGAGACGGAGTCTCGCTCTGTCGCCCAGGCTGGAATGCAGTGGCACGATCTCGGCTCACTGCAGGCTCCGCCTCCTGGGTTCACGCCATTCTCCTGCCTCAGCCTCCCGAGTAGCTGGGATTACAGACGCCCACCACCAAGCCTGTCTAATTTTTTGTATTTTTAGTAGAGACGGGGTTTCACCGTGTTAGCCAGGATGGTCTCGATCTCCCGACCTCGTGATCTGCCTGCCTTGGCTTCTCAAAGTGCTGGGATTACAGGCGTGAGCAACTGCGCCCGGCCAAAAAGCTTTTTAAGAAATTCTGTAGAAAAAAATATTTTTTAACATTAGGTTTTATCTTAATGCATATCCAGTCCTGACATATCTTTATTTTGAATAAACTTTCAAATTTACAGAACTTGACTTTCTCTGACCAAATCTGTCTGAAAAATTGATATAAAATAACGAATGGAAATATATATATATATAAAATATATGTATATAGAGTATGTAGAGAAAATATATAGAGATAACATGTATGGAATATAGAGAGACTATATATACACTTTTCATGCTTACATATTTACATGTATATGTTTGTACATAATATATACTTACATACTTAATATATACTTGTATATAATATATAAACTTCTTCTTTCAAAGTGCTACCTCATGTGTCTTAGTTATTTGCATACTACTTTACATTTAAATTAGCATCTCATTGCCAAACTGGCTATTTGGAACTTTTACATTCAAACCCATTGTAAGCTATCATTAATGCATTTACAGAACACTAGCTAGCAATGACACCTTGATAAATTGTAATTGGCATTAGCTAATTTTCTTTTGTAAGAGCTGTAACATCTAGGAACTTAAGGATATTGATCTTTAGAACAATGATCCATGTCACAAGTACCTTCATGTATCACATCTTCATTTTCATTAACAACATTAGTAAACACTTTAATACTTTCTAACATCAACAGGATGGTATGATAGAGCCATGTAAATAATTCGAGATTTTGGGGGAACGTGAGAAGTATTTCACATCTACTCTAATGATTACACAAAAGCTTTTATATTACAGGCGTCATATAATTAGATCACAATGTACACTGGATATCTACAGATGCAACTTCAACCTGTAAAATTGATGGCTCCTTCTTACTGTGACCTACAAATATAAGTACATCATATGTTTTTCCAAATGTAAATTGATGTGTAAAGTATATGTGTCATATCTTGAAACAACTCTTCCCAATTCTGAGTGTGAATAAGCCCATAATGATATACTTTTCTTCCTAGAAAATGATTTTTCATCATAGGCAATCCAAGTGTGTTAAATCATTTCAGTACATACATCTCAGATATCTGTAGAGATTCAATTTTTTACACATCTTTATTTTTACCTGTTCTCCATCTAGAATATTTATGGAAATTCAGTTTATGGTTCACTATACTTTGAAATTGTTTAAATGCCTCAACTGACCTGACAGAATCCAAGGTAGGCAAAGCAGAAATAGAAAAGAGAAATGCATGATACATAAAACAGTATGCTGAATGTCTGACTACAAAATTCTTCACAGCTTCTCTATTCAGATGCTGCTGGTAAAGCAAAAGTGGTGCCGACATTACATAATATTTATTTCTTTATATATCCTTAAATTTTATCTTGAAGTTATCACTATTAAGCAAGATTGAATAATAATAAATATACAATAAAATTTCCCACTGTTTTTTACTTATGTACATGTACAGTATATGGACAGCCTAAATAGAAAGACTGATTACCTGAAAGCTGATTACCTGAGTTCAACTATTACTTGTATCACTTTGAGCAAGTTCCTTATCCTCTGTTGACTTTATTTTCTTCATATGCAAACTGGGGATAATAGTCCGTTATGAAGATTTTGAGTTAATATATTCAAGGCCCTAAATAAATGCCTAGAATATAATCATAGGCCTGGCACAGTGGCAGTATCTCATGCCTATAATCCCAGCACTTTGGAAGGCTGAGATGGGAGGATTTCTTGAGCCCAGGAGCTTGTGATCAGCCTAGGCAACATAGAGAGTCCCTGTTTCTACAAAAAACAGATTAAAATTTAAAAAATTAGCCAGGTACAGTGGACATAAGTGTAGTCCCAGCTACCTAGGGGGCTGAGGTGGGACGATCCCTTGAGCTAAGGAAGTAGAGGTTGCAGTGGGCTGTGATCGTGCCATTGCACTCCAGTCTAGGTGACAGAGTGAGAACCTGTGTCAAAAATAAAATAAAATAAAATAAAATAAAATAAAATAAATCACATTGAGTTTTTAAAACATTGCTACAGGCCAGGCACAGTGGCTCACACCTGTAATTCCAGCACTTTGGGAGATCAAGGCAGGAGCATCCCTTGAGCACAGGAATTCAAGACCAATCTGAGGAACATAGCAAGGCTCTGTCTCCACAAATAATTTAAAAATTAGCTAGTATGGTGGCACATGCCTCCAGTCCCAGCTACTTGGAAGGTGAAGGTAGGAGGATTGCTTGAGCCCAGGAGGTCAAGGCTGTAGTGAGTGGTGATCACACCACTGCACACCAGCCTGGGCAACAGAGTGAGACCTTGTCAAAAAAAAAAAAAACAAAAAAAAAAAAAAAAAAAAAAAAAAAAAAAACTACTACATTCCCTTCCATGAATCTCTTGAAGTTTGCTTGTCTTGATCAAAAGAAAGCAGTATATTTGATGGTGTATCTATTTGTATGCTGAAGCACTTGATGTGGTGTTAAATTTTAATTTGCATCATTACTTTATTAAGCTTTAGTGTCATTTTATTTCTTTATTTTATTTATAAATTATTTGGTATGTTATTACAGTGTGTGCACTGGAAAGAAAAACATTAAATATACCAAGTTTTTATATAGAAACATTTCAGGATTTTCTAGTGAAAGACTTATGTCTTCCTTGATTCATGAAACCAAACTTTATTTTAAATGACAAGTTAGATGTAAGAAAAAACAACTAGAAATTTACAGTCCTAAGTATATCCAGTGTTTACTGAACCACATCAATATTTTCTCTCTTGTAGGGTGTGGACATGGTGATATATTAAAATAGATGTTTATTGTATTCATAAATTTACTCAACAATTTGAAATACAGCAGTTATTTTAAAAGAATAAACACAAGTAAAAAGCTAAATGTATTCCTCAAAGATGTTGAGAATCTACTAATTTAGGAGTACAATGTTTAGCTCTTACATATTTTTAATTTTTAAAAATATACTTAACTTGTTCTAAAAGTGTTTGGCAAGTATGACTATATTGGTTTTAGTTACTTATATGGAAAATTAAATAATTTATCTATTTAACAAGATCATTTTTTCTGTTCTAATATTCTATCAGAAAATAATAATGACACTCACATTTCGATGTCTTCTAATCTCCCTATGGCAACTGGTTTGACCTCACTATTTGGAAGCTCTTAGTGAATATTACTCACTGGGAAATACAAAGTTCAGACAATGATATTGTATTGCCACATTTCCACTGGATATATTTTTTGGATTAGTGATAAAAACCACTATGTCAAATAATGTCTCTTCATAAAACTTCATTTTTGGCTATCTATATTTCACATGACATTTGAAGTGTATATATATATATATACACATATATAAGTAGCTATATATATATGTGTATGAGTGTGTGTATATATGTATAAATATATGTATGTATGTGTGTATGTGTATATACACTAGTTATATATACAATGCTCTATATATAGTGTATATATATATAAAACCAGTATATAACCAGTATATATATATATATATACACAGTAGTACGTCAAAGTTCAGACAATGAGATTGTATTGCTACATTTGCACTGGACATATTTTTTGGATTAGTGATAAAAACTACTATGTCAAATAATGTCTCTTCATAAAACTTAATTTTTGGCTATCTATATTTCATGTGACATCTGAAGTGTATATATATATATATATACACATATATAAGTAGCTACATATGTATGTGTATGAGTGTGTGTATATATGTATATATATGTATGTATGTATGTGTGTATGTGTATATACACTAGTTATATATACAATGCTCTATATATAGTGTGTGTATATATAACCTATATATATATAAAAGCAGTATATAACCAGTGTATATATATATACATATTTATAGAGCATTGTATATATAACTAGTGTATATATATATATACACTATACATAGAGCATTGTATATATAACTAGCGTATATACACACACACACACACACACAGTAGTATGTCAAAGTTCAGACAATGAGATTGTATTGCCACATTTGCACTGGACATATTTTTTGGATTAGTGATAAAAACCACTATGTCAAATAATGTCTCTTCATAAAACTTCATTTTTGGCTATCTATATTTCACATGACATTTGAAGTGTATATATATACACATATATAAGTAGCTATATATATATGTGTATGAGTGTGTGTATATATGTATATATATATGTATGTGTGTATGTGTATATACACTAGTTATATATACAATGCTCTATGTATAGTGTATATATATATATACACTAGTTATATATACAATGCTCTCTATATATAGTGTGTATATATATATACAATGCTCTCTATATAGTGTGTATATATATATATAAAACCAGTATATAACCAGTATATATATATATATATACACACACACAGTATTATGTATACTAGTTATTATATATAATATAATATATATACTGTATATATACACACACATATATTTTATATATATATATAAAAAACTAGTACACCATTTTGGCATTCCACCTTGACATAATGAATTAGAATGAAGGAATGAATTGGGGAAGTTAGAAGATTTACTCATCTACTCCAGATCTTCACCTTGCTTATTTTGAGAGAGGCAAACTTTCCATAAGAGAAAGGTCTTTGGGAGGCCAAGGTGGACAGACCACGAGGTCAGGAGTTTGAGACCATCCTGGTTAACACGGTGAAACCTCGTCTCTACTAAAAATACAAAAAATTAGCCGGGCTTGGTGGCGGGCACCTGTAGTCCCAGCTACTTGGGAGGCTGAGGCGTGAGAATGGCCTGAACCCAGGAGGCGGAGCTTGCAGTGAGCCAAGATCACACCACTGCACTCCAGCCTGGGCGGCAGAGCCAGACTCTGTCTCAAAAAAAAAAAAAAAAAAAAAAAAGAGAAAGGCAATAGGTCTTTATGTTGTTGTCATATTTCTCATATTTTATGCAAGGAAAAATAAAATGGTAAATTATACAAGTAGATATATCACAGCAAATTCCCCAAAATTGCTCACATTTTCTAAACTAAATATTCCAAGTTCTTGACAAGTTCTTGACAATTGCCCAAATTCTCAAAAATTGTCCACATATTACAGATTTTCCCAATTGCCATGCCACTATTTATACAAATATTTTTAATATTGATTATCCCCCTTCTTACTTCTGCTTCCTCCCTCTCTTCCTTCCTTTTCTCCTTTATTTCTTCCTTTCTTTTTTCCTTCTCTCCCTCCTTCCCTCCTTCCTTCCTTCCTTTCTTCCTTCCTTCCTTCCCTCCTTCCTATCTTCCTCCCTTCCTTCCTATCTTCCTTCCTTCCTTTTTAAAATAAACTGGGCTTTATTCAGAGCTTAATCTTCAGATTGTGTTCTGAATTTTCATTGACAAAGGACACATCTCTATTCCTGCTCACATTTGCCACATCTTTAACTTCATACTACATTTAGTTCTCAATTTCCACTGAGAGCTTGATAACAGCTGTTTAAATATTTTTATTTCTATTTGTTTTTGCCTTCCATTAGCAACTTATAAGGTATAGAATACTATAATAACATGAATAATAATCCCCCTAAAATCTACATCCTGAAAACCAGAACTTGTGAACATGCTACCTTTCTGGGGCAAAAAAAGACTTTGGAAATGTGGTTAAGTTAAGAATGTTGAGATGGGAAAATTATCCTGGATTGTCTGCGTTGCCCAATGTAATCACAAGGGTGCTTTTAACAGGGAGGCAGGAGGGGATCAGAATCAGAGTGATATGTAAGGATAGAAGCAGATGCCATAGAGGAGAGAAGATACTATAGTGTAGGCTTTGAAGATAGAGGAAGGATCCATGAGCCAAGAAATGCACATGATCTATAAAAGCTGGGAAAAGCAAAGAAACAGATTCTCCCCTACAGCTTCCAGAAAGAACACCATCTGAAGAATCCATTTTAGGCTTCTGAACTCCAGAACAGTAAGATAATAAATTTTTATTGTTTTCAACCACGTTAGTGGTAACATGTTACAGCAGTAATAGGAAAGTAATACAGGCACAAATGAGCATTGAACACAATATTGCTAATGAGCTACTGTAATTGTTAACTTATGTGTCAAATTGACTAAGCTAAGGGATACCCAGATAGCTGGTGAAATACTATTTCTGGATGTGTCTCTGAGAGTGTTTCTGAAAGAATTTAGGACTTAAATCAGTACACTGAATAAAGAAGAGCCCCCACCTGCCCTTACCAATGTGGGCAGGCACCATGCAACCCTTTGAAAGCAAGGACAAAACAACAAGTTGAGTGAATCCTCCATTCCTTAGAGTAGGACATCCACCTTCTCCTGCTCTTGGACATCGGACATCTACAATAGTCTATCCAAGGTTTCACTGTCAGCAGTTTCAATTCCCTGTGGCAAACCACGATCCAAAAATATGCAATGTAAAATCCAGTAATAAAAACAATTCATACTTTATTTTTTTGAGATGTCGCCCAGGCTGGATTTCAGTGGCGTGATCTCGACTCACTCTCCGTCTTCTGGGTTCAAGTGATTCTCCTGCCTCAGCCATCCAAATAGCTGCGATTACAGGCAGGCACCACCACAGTCAACTAATTTGTTTTGTATTTTTAGTAGAGATGGGGTTTCACCATGTTGGCCAGGCTGGTCTCGAACTCCTGACCTCAAGTGATCAGCCCATCTCGGCCTCCCAAAGTGCTGGGATTACAGGCATGAGCCACTGCGCCCGGCCAATTCATAAGTTTTAACTTGCATGACTTTCTGAGTAGTGTGATAAAGTGCTGTAGCAGCCCATTTTGTACTGCCTGGGATGATAATCCTTCCCTTTCCTCGCATATCTACTTTGTACAAGCTACCTGCTGATTAGTCACTAAATAGCTAGCTCACTTATCAGTTCAATTGTCACAGTATTGTTGTGCTTCTCTTCGAGTAACCCTTATTTTACTTAATAATGGCTTCAAAGTCCAAGAGTAGGGATGCTAGCATATTGTTAAAATTGTTCTAATTTATTATTATTGCTGTTAATCTCATACTGTGCCTAATTCATAAGTTAGATTTTATCATAGACCTATATATATGAGAAAAAAATAGTATATAAAGAGTTTGGTACTATCAACAGTTTCAGACGTCCACTCAGATAAGGGGGGACTAATGTACACCAGTAGCCCTTTCAGTTCTCAGGCCTTTGGACTCAAGCTGAATTATGCCACCAATTTTCCTGGGTCTCCAGCTTGCAGATTGCATATTGTGGGATTTCTTGGCCTCCACAACTGAGTGAGCTAATTCTCATAATAAATCTCCTTCTCTTTCTCTGTCTCTCTCTGTCTGTCTTTCTCTCTCTCTGTGTGTGTGTGTCTCTCTCTCTCTATATATATATACACGTATATATGAATGTGTGTATTTACATATATATAAAAGTATATATATATATACTTCTGGTAAGTGTATATATGTATTATATATATATATCTGTATATAGTATACAACTATGCTCTCCCCTCCCTTTTTCTAATTATAGTCACATTTATTTTCCATATGTTTAATATTTTATCACTTCCCTGTCTCCCCTATCACTGATATCTCAAAATTCCAACCCTATGGTTTCTTTCGTTTACTTACAAATGCTAGGGAATTGAGAAACGCCAAAAGAATGAGAATTGGGAAATGCCAAAAGAAATGACCCCTGCTAATCCACAACATAAAAACCAAACCAAAAATAAATTTTAAAAGTATATAAGAGAAAAATTATTTGTGTCTGTATGTGTGTGTGTGTGTGTGTGTGTGTGTGTGCGTGTGTCATAGCTTTGGCTAAAGTTTTTCAGGGAGATGGCATATGTAACAATATTTCTTTAAAAAACCTGATCACTAGTCATATTATCTGACATAGATGCACTCTATAGAATCTGCTCCTATTCAACCGTTGATTAATGCCTTGTAAATTTTGAAGAATGATAATAAAAATTCTAATTTAAAAGAGGGACACGATATTTATTATAATATAATAATATATACAATAAGAATTCTAATAATAATATTTTTAAATACTAAGCACATGAAGTAGTTTGTATTTATTATCTCACTTCTGGTCACAATCATCTGGAATAAGTTCTGCTAGTAACATTGATAAAAGAAGCAATTGAAGCATAGTTGCTTAAATTCAAATCCACTTAAATTTTGCATGTTTTTGCTATGTTGATGAAAAGTTGTCAGGAATATGTTTGTAGTTCTGTTTCTATGTTACTGAATGACTGTTAATATATCTAACCCTTAACCAAGACTAAACGCGTTAATTTAAAATTCACATTTTTTAAAGTAATGGGTTCAGAAGTATTTAACTTGTCCATGCAGTAATTGTCTATTTTAATTATCCCTTACATTTCTAATGATAAAGCTTGTTTTCAGTTTAACAAACGAGATCATGTTATTTACTGCCAGTACATGACATTTAATAGAATGTGGTGAAGATGAAACTGACATAGCCTAGGGAAAAGGGGAAGAGGCAAAGGAACTATTCAAACATGCTGCCTCCTAAGGAAAAATAAACAAACAAAAAACTAGATATTTTATTTTGAGACAAGTTTTAACTAGATCACAGTAGCTTGCTATTATTTTATGATTGATTTAAAATATAATTTATGATCAAAGCTATAGATGTTGTGATTGAAGAGAAACACACTAGAGTACAGTAAGTGAGGGAGCCCACTCACATGCATCACTTCCTGCAAGCTTCTATTCCTGCCTTGTCTGTTCATCAACATTACCTACAGTAGCTGCCAAACAAATGCATTTCCACAGGGAATTTGTCATCTGTTTTTGTTAATGTTTTGCCTGTTGATTTTACTGAGTTGGCAGCCATGCTAGACACTGACTTCCAATTATTTTTTTATGACAACTGAAAAAAATAGATGTAAGCTGTCAGTTCACAACCATCACTCTATTATTACAAACCACTTTAGCTACGGACCTCCTTGAATTCATTCCCCAGCCTTCAGGCAGGATTATGTAATTCTTAAAAAGTAGCCCAAGATCTATTGGATATTTATTCTGTTTCAAAAGGCCCAGGGAAAGACTGCTGAGCTATTTGGCATTCCTTTCAATGCCATATGGCAATTTGATTGTTTTTATTATTTTATGATGTTAGTAAATATTTCTTAGGTATATTGGCTTTTCATCAGTGGTGATAGAAATAGGTAGGATGAGAAGAATAAATTACACTTAAAAAGCACTAATTAGCACAATTGCAAAAATAATTAGAAAATTAAATGTTGAAGTAAAAATCATATGACAGTTTAAGAAAGATATTTTGCTTCATCACAGAAGCTGGATAGGATAGGTGGCTGAATTTGAGTCACCAATGCCACACACCAGTTAGCTATAAACATAACTCGGAAAAATCCAACACGGTACAATTTATCCAAGGATTACAATAGGATAGATGCAATTTACTCAACCTCTATTTTAACTATTAAAATAAAAAATACAACCAGCGCCCCAAATCATGGGCTAATAAATTCTTATTACTACAAACATTTAAACATACGTTTAGCCCTACAGACACTGAAGTCCTGTTTCTTGTACTATGGTTGGTGTTAGAATTATGTTATTATATATATTATGTGGTCTAATGGCCTGTAGTAGATTGCCTGAAGGGTTCCAGTTCTTCAGCATCACTTTATCTATGTCTTTTCTCATGTGACTTTGCTGTTCCTCCACTAAATAAGTGGAGGATGTTTCACCACTTCTTCACTTTAGGTTTAACCATGTTACTTGCTATGACCAACCAATGGAATGCTATCAGATAGCAAAAGTGCACATGCAGTCAGGTTATGTCTGCGTGACTCTGATATCTTCATAAGAAGACCTTCCTGGGTAGCTGCTGCTTCAAGTCCAGGACAAAAGAATGGGCGCACATAAAGCCTCACTTCAGAGAAAAGCTCACCTAGACTCATTTCTTGAAGTAGAGCCATCTAGTCACGTCCAGCTGACCCCTGCTAATCCACAAACTCATGGGACAAATGAGCTAACGTGACAAAGAGTTTGTAGTTTGCATTGGGATATATTTTGTGGTAATGGATAACTGATGCACTGCTTTGCAACGATTTCTGCCTATTACTGGACTAGTTATAATCTTAGTATCTAGTTTGCACTTAATATTTGTTGAATAAATTAATTAACTAAAATATTACGTGACTATCCCAGAGTATATCAGTGACTGTGTTCTTCCAGAAGAAAATTTTTAATCATGATTCAGCAACAACATTAGAACTATAATAAAACTGTTGATTTTTATGTGTTCTGATTAAATTATTAGACAATTTATATTCACATCTATGTTTGACAAAAATCATCCAAGCATGTAAAAGCAGGGCACAGTGTTCAAAGTTTATTTTTTAATTGTGTTTTTATTGTTCAGTTACATTATCAGTACAGTTTACAGTTACTTTTCACTGGCTCCTTTTTGTATTTGATTTTAGAATGTGCTTTTTGTGTCCTGTTTAAGAAATACTCCCCTGACCTCATGGGTATATTTTCCTAGATTATCTTCTAGAGGATATATTGATTTGCTTTTACATATTGATCAATAATCCTCTTGATGTTGACTTTTGAGAAATTTTAGGTAGGGGTCAAATTGAATATTTATTTCCAAATAACCCCAGGACAAATTATTGAAAAGACCACATTTTCTATTTTTCAATGCTCGGAAATGTCACCTGTGCTTCAAACAAGTATTCTTTAGTTTCAGGTATCAACTTAGGGATTTTCTATGCTATTCATTTGATTTGTTTGCTTATATGTGAGCCAGTAAGACTCATGTTAGTTACTGTACATTTATGATTTATTTTTATATAGGATCCATTCAGGAAACAGGGTGAATTTATCATAAAGATTTGTTAAGTAAAATATCATTAACAAATAAAAGAGATGAAAAGAGTTCCAGAAGATCTAAAAATAGCAAATGCAGAAAGCAGCTACAACTTCCAGGCTAAAGAAGTAGCAGAGGAGATGGTGGCGAAAAAGATGGTAGAGTGCTAGCTGAGTGCTGCCATGTAGGGAAAAAAGAAAAAAATGGAACAATAAAAACAAAAGCAATAATAGCAACAACCAAAATAAGAAACACAAATACCAGTAAAAGCCAGGGAAACACCTTCTCCTGCTCTGGCTTTGGAAGTATCCCTTTAGCACCCAATATCATCAAAACCTAATATCAAGTCAGCTGACAAAAACGAAATATTTATGGGCTCCAGCTAGTGTCACAAATCAGGAAAAGATGGGTAGATTTGAAGCTGAGAGACAGTAAATTGGTAACGAACACAGTCTTGGTAACTGGTAGGGCAATTCCTATCAACTTGCTCTTATTCAAGGTTGTTTTGTATGTATTTGGATTTTTGCATTTTTATATACATTTTTAAATCTGGTTGTTGATGTCCACACTTAAAAAGAAAACATTTGAATTTTAATTAGAAACTCATTGAAAATATTGATTTGGGACCACTGACATCTTTAAACCTTGAATCTTATTGAAACCTGATATTTTCCCTTTGTTATCTTTGATTTATCCCAAATGTGCAATTATATCTATGTGTATGTCTATATATAATATATATGTATGTACATACAATAGTTTTGTTAGCTTTATTCCAGTGATTTTAGTTATAACATTTTATAATTAAAATTTGAGATTGTTTCTGGTATATAAAAATGCAACTTAATTTTTCAACCTTGCCAGATTTATTTTGTTAACTTAATAACTTATTCTGAAAACCCTTACAGTTTTCCAAGTTCATAGCCATATAATCTGGAGCTGATGACAGGTCTATTTCTTCCTTTATAGCAGCAGTCCCCAACCTTTTTGGCACTGGGGACCAGTTTTATGGAAGACAATTTTTAAATGGACCGGGGTTGGGGTGGATGGTTTCAGGATGATTCATGCACATTACATTTATTGTGCACTATATTTCTATTATTATTACATTGTAATATATGATGAAATAATTATACAACTCACCATAATGTAGAATCAGTGGGAGCCCTGAGCTTGGTTTCCTACAACTAGACAGTCCCATTTGGGGTGATGAGAGACAGTAACAGATCATAAGGCATTGGATTCTCATAAGGAGTGATGCAACCTAGATCCCTCACATGGGCAGTACACAAGAGGGTTCATGCTCCTATGAGAATCCAATGCCACTGCTGACCTGAGAGGAGGCAGAGCTCAGGTGGTAATCCTTTCTTGCCCCACCATTCACCTCTTGCTGTGTGGCCCGTTTTCTAACAGGACACGGATAAGTACCGTGCTTTAAGCTGGGGACTCCTGCTTTATATATATATATTTTTCTTGCTTTATTGCAGTGGCTAGGACATAGCTGTGCAGTGTTAAATATAAATGGTAACAGTAGATACTGCAATGAACTTTGATCTCACTGCTATAATTCAGCCTGGTCAACAGAGCAAGATCTTCTCTTAAGACAAAACAAAACAAAGGTGCACGTTCAAGTCTTTCTTTCCATTTTAACTGATATTTGTTTTATTATGTCTTTGTAGGGATTTTTTAATACTCTGAATGTAATCTTTTTCAAAGGCATTATGAACATTTTTTCCCAGTCTGTGGCTTGACTTCTCACTTTAACAGTGTCTTTGGATGAACAGAAAATTATAATTTGTATGATGTTGTCCAAGTTGTTAATCACTTTTATGTTAAGTGCTTTACTTGCTTTCAATCTGCACATCTTTGCCTAATCTTTATTCACAAATATATTGACCTGACTTTTCTTCCAAAACCTTTAAAGTTTTAACTTTCATATAGTTTATTTTATGTTTCTTTTGTTTGGGGTTCTTTGAACTTATTAAGTTTATATGTTTATAATTTTCATCAAATTTGGAAAATCTGTCATAATTGGTATTACAAATCATTTTTTTCTGTCCCCCTAAAAAGTTGGGAACTCCAGCTACATATATAATAAATTGCTTCAAATCATATAGTTTTCTGTGTTTTTTAAGCTTAATTTTTTGTTAATTTTATGCCATGTATTTTATATTTTAGGCATTGTAGTTTCTATCCCTTGATTTAAAACAAAAACCTTCTATTAATCTTAATATGCTCCATATTTCTTCTAGATCAGACCTTAGCCAACTATAGTCCATAGAATAAACACAGTCCACAGCCCTTTTTTTAAGAAAAAGCCATATTTGTTTTTATCTATTTATCTATCTGTTTGTCTAATCTATGCTACGACAGCAAAGCTAATAGTTTAATAGTTGTGAAAGTTGTTAACCCTCTTATTTTATGTGGTTCTTTCCAGAAAAAAATACTTATCCCTGCTTTAGATTCTTGAACATATAGAATACAGTTATCACAATTATTTCAGTGTCCTTTCTACCAATTCTATTACCTGTATGATTTTATATGGTTTTGATTAATTAATGAATCAAATTTTCTCACTTCTTTGCATGCATTACAAATTCTGAAATGATGCTACATATTGGGGTTTGACCTAGTTTGGTACTGGTTGTTTTTAGATTCTTGTTAATATTTTTTAGATTTGTTCTGGAAAAAAGTTTACTGTCTTATTAAGAGTTCTATTTCTTTAGGCTTATTTCTTCAGTTTTACTTTTTTTAAGCCTTGCTTTGTAAGCAGGTATCACTGAATACTGAGGCAAAACCTTTCTGAGCCCTCTACCTACACCTGTGAAGATGAAGATTTCCATTCTGGTTGGTGGGAATAGGAACTATCTCTACCCCTGAGAACCCCATCTATGCTCACATTCTTTCGGTGGTTCTTTCCCTGGCTTCAGAGAATTTCTCACATGCATACACTGCTCAATACTCCATTAAAGACTTGAGTTACACTCTCTACACAGTGTCTTTGGCCTCCCCAAACTCCAGGTTCTGCCTGGCTTCCACTTCCTGCACCTCAGCCTGAAAATTATCTCCAGGCAATGAGCTGTACCTATTGCAGGCCTCACTTTGTTTTCTGTCTCTCAGAGATCACTGTCTTTGATGTCTGATATTCCCATCTTGAAGATTGTTGTTTGCTGTATTTTATTCAATTTCTTAGTAGTTTCAGATAAGAAGGCAAAACTCTGTTATTCCATCTTGAATAGTAGTAAGTAATTGTTAAAGTTTTTTTTTTGCTGTGTATAAGTTTCCTAGTTAGCTATTAATTTCCTTTATCTGTTTATAATAATCAATCCTTGATTTTTAGACTTTCATTGATACTGTTGAGAAGTCAGTTTGTTTGTTTGAAGATAATTTACCTTTGTTCCTTCTGCTTTTAAGATATCCTGTTGTTTTCTTTTAATCGGAAGTTTAACCCAGATGTGTCTAGGTGTGCTTTTCTTACATCTTCTAAACTCTCATGTATTTTTTGTCTTTCCTTATTTTTTTCTGTATATTATTTTCTGAAGGCTAAGTAATTATTTCAAGTTTGCCTAACCTCATATTAAAATATTTCACTGAGATATCACTTTCAGTAATTATATTTTCATTTTCATCGTTTTAGGTTCTAAAATTCCCAAACGTTTTTTGGTCAATATTTTACATATGTTTTCAAAGCAATGTGTGATGGATCTATTAGCTAAATATATACTGCATCTGCCTTACTTTTTCATATTTTGCTTGTATGTCTATTGTTTTGATTTTTATGTGTCTTTTAGTTTGTAATTCAGTGTCAAGTATTGAATGGAAATAGATGTGGAAATAATTTGCAGTCTACAATATTTCTTTCTTTCAGCATAAAGTTCTCAATAATTTTTATAACAATGAACTATTGAAAGTCTTACGAACCCATAAATTTATCAGATTAATCTTTTAAAATATGCATTATAAGTTACATAGATTTATAGAGGGAACAAATTTTATTGAAATAGTTATTAACATATGTATTAGTTCATTTTCATTCTGCTGATAAAGAGATAGCCAAGACTGGGAAGAAAAATAGGTTTAATGGACTTACAGTTCCATGTTGCTGGGGAGGCCTCACAATCATGGAGGAAGGCAAGAAGGATCAAGTCACATCTTAGATAGATGGCAGAAAGCAAAGAGAGAGCTTGTGCAGGGAAACTCCCCCTTATAAAATCATCAGATCTCATGAGACTTATTCACTATCATAAGAACAGCATGGGAAATACCCGCTCCCATAATTCAATTATCTCCCACCAGGTCCCTCCCACAGCACGTGGGAATATGGGAGTACAGTTCAAGATGAGATTTGGGTGGGGACACAGCGTCAAACCGTATCAACACATTAACAAAATTATACTAATACATATTTTGATTAATATGCTTATTTAATATAAAAATAACTGTCATTCTAATAACTACTCTAAATAAACTAATGATGTGCATAAGTATTACGTATAGATATCTCCAACACTATTATGGACACAGGGAGGGGAATGACACATACTGGCGCCTGTCAGGGCGGGTGGCAGGGGGAGGGAGAGCATCAGGAAAAATTCTTAGTACATACTGGGCTTAATACCTAGGTGATGGGTAGATAGGTGCAGCAAGCCACCATGGCACACTTTTACCTATGTAACAAACCTGCACATCCTGTACATGTACCCCAGAACTTATATAAAATAGAACAATAGTATGGATACATGTACATTTTTCATCGGTGACAAAGTCTCATGTACTGCAAATAATATAGTTTTTTCTACCTATATTCTTAATGGAAGAAAACTATCAATTCAAGTTAGAGATTTTAGTGAGAACAAATATTCCATGTTTGCTCATCTGTATTGATTTCCTAGGTAGGGCTGCTAAAATAAAATATCACAAACAACATGGCTTAAAACAACAAAAATGTATTATCTCACTTCTGGGGCCAAAAGTCTAAAATCAGTGTGTTGGCAGAGCCACATTTCCTCTATAGGAACTAGGAGAAGATCTGTTCTAAGTCTCTCTCCTAGCTTCTGATAGTCTCAGGCATTCCTTGATTTGTAGATGCCTGTCTTCTCACAATGTCTTACCCCTGTGTTTATGTCAAAATTTCCCCTTTTAGATGAGGTTGTCAGACATATTGGATTAGGGGCCCACTGTCTTCCAGTATGATCTCATCTTAACAGGTTACATCTCAAATGACCCTAGTTTCAAATAAGATCACATTCAGAAGTACTAGGGTCTGGAACTTGAACATATGGATTTTGGAGGGACACACTTCAACTCATAATATTATTCAGATTCATTTTCCTCAGGTTAGGGATCTTTTTATAGAGAAGAGTTACATTAGCTTCCACCATGTGTCTGCTCTGGCGATCTATATAACCACAACCCACTTTTGTGAATTGAGTTATTTCAAAGTCAGTATTCAATCTTTGTGAGAGTTGGTATCATCCATTGTATCCCTCTGATATAAACTTTCAGGATTGAAACCAAATCCTTGGGATTTAGGAAGGCAGCCATTTCTTCTGCAGTCCATTTTTGCACCACTATTTCCTAGTGGCTGTCAAAGAAGTTTCTTAGCTGCTCAGCTTCTTCTGAATTTAGCAGCTGCTTTTAGAAAAAGCAAAATCCAAATTCAAGTCTTACATTTCAGTTTTCTACTTGATCTTGACCCATCAATTCTTCACTGTTTCATTCTGTTTTTGATTTTTGATAATTTGCTATATCAGAAGCATTTTTTCTAGTTATTCTATTTACAGAAAAAGAAATCTTCTCATAGACAGCTATTTTGTTGAAAGTTAAATGTAAATATAAGTATATAGATATATACATACATGCATTAAATTTATATATACATATTTGTATATAATTCAAAAATATATGTAAATATATGTATATACATCAGCAAAAGTAACTGTTTTTCATTGTTCAGCATTTTAATTCTTATAGCCAACTGCATTGTTTTGATCTTTGGGACTTTTTGTAGCTGATCATTCATATAACTGATCACATTTTTTTCTTACTAAGATGGCTCCTAGAAAATGAAAAGTCACAATGTAGACAATAGGACCTAATCATATTTTCTTTTTATTTGTTAATTTATAATATTCATACATATTTATGGAGTACATGTGCTATTTTGTTACATGCATAGAATGTGTAATGATGAAATCACAGCATTTAGGATATCCATCAACTTGAGTATCATTTCTTGTGTTGGGAACATTTTAATTCCTCTCTTCTAGTGATCATCTATTCACATGAACTTTTATCTTACCTCTGACATATTATATTTTATATACATGTTTATATATATATGTATGTATGTGTGTGCGTGTATATATATCTATATATAGAATGCCTTTAGGAAAATATCTGATAATCAGGTTATCTGAGATATTTTGATAAAGGCATGAAAAACTTAAAATCACATCACAGTAAATGAGGTATTATCACCTCAAGTATTTATCCATTGTGTTACATACAATCCAATTATACTCTTTTAGTTATTTTAAAATGTATAATTAAATTATTTTCTACCACAGTCAGACTGTGCTAGCATGTGAAGTTTGTCTTTCTGTGCCTGGCTTATTTCACTTAACATAATGACCTGCAGTTCCATCCATGTTGTTGCAAATGACAAGATCTCATTGTTTGTTATGGCTGAATAGAAGTTCATCATGCATATGTACCACATTTTCTTTACGCATTCATCTGCTAATGAATAGTTAGGTTGCATCCAAATCTTGGCTTATTGTGAATAGTGCTGCAACAAACATGGGAGTGCAGGTATCTCCTCAGTACACTGATTTCCTCTCTTTTGGGTGTGTACCTGAAAGTGAGATTACTGGATCAAGTGGTAGCCTTATCTGTAGTTTTTTGATGTACTTCCAAACTGTTCTCCATAGTAACTGCACTAATTTACATTTCTGCCAACAGTGTATAAGAGTTCCCTTCTCTCCACATCTTCACCAGCATTTGTTATTGCCTGTCTTTTTGATAAAAGCCCTTTTAACAGGGGTGAGATGATATCTCATTGAAGCTTTGATTTGCATTTCTCTGATAATCAATGATGTTGAGCACTTTTCATGTACTCATTTGCCATTTCTATGTCTTCTTTTGGAAAAAAGATCAGATCTTTTACCCATTTTTTTATTAATATTATTAAATTTTCTCCCATAGAGTTGTTTGAGTTCCTTATATATTCTGGTTATTAATCCCTTGTCAGACTGGTACTGGGTGGATATTTTCTCCCATTCTGTGTGTTGTCTCTTCACTTCATTGATTGTTTCCTTTGCTGCAAAGAAGCTTTTTAACTTGATGTGATCCCATTTGTCTAGTTTTGCTTTGGTTGCTTGTGCTTGTGGGCTATTACTCACAAAATCTTTGCTCCATCCAATGTCCTGAAGAGTGTCCCTACTGTTTTCTTATAATAGTTTCATAGTTTGATGTCTTAGATTTGAGACTTTATTTTTATTTGAATTTTGGATATGACAGGAGATAGTGGTCTACTTTCATTCTTCTGCATATAGATATCTAGTTTTCCCAGCACTGTATATGGAAGCGACTGTCCTTTCCTCAATGTATGTTCTTGGCACTTTTTTGTCAAAAATCAGTTCACTGTAGATGTATCAACTTATTTCTGGGTTCTCTATTATTTTCAATGGGTCTATGTGTCTGATTTTTTGCTAATACCATGCTGTTTTTGTTACTATAACTCTGTAGTACAATTTGGAATCAGGTAATTTGATTCTTCCAGTTGTGTTCTTTTTGCATAGGATAGCTTTGGCTACTCTGTGTCTTTTTGGGTTGCCTATAAATTTTAAGGTTCTTTTTTCTATTTATCTGAAGAATATCATCGATATTTTGATAAGGATTGAAATAAATCAGTACATTCCTTTGAGAAGAATGGTCATTTTAACAGTATTGAGTCTTCTAGTCCATGATCATGGAAAATCTTTCCATTTTTGTATACTCTTTAATTTCTTGCATCAATGTTTTATAGTTTTCATTGTAAAGATTTTTCACTTCTTTAGTTAATTCCTAGATATTTTATTGTATTTGTGGCTATTGTAAATTTAGATTTGATTTGCTAGTATTTTGTTGCGGATTTTTGCATCAGTATTTATCAGTGATATTGGCCTGTAGTTTTCTAAATGTATTTTGGTTTTGTTATCAGAGCAATATTGACCACTTAAACTGAGTTTGGAAGTAGTTCCTCCCCGTCTATTTTTTGCAATAGTTTGAGTAGGATTGATGCTAGTTATCCTTTAAATGTTGGTAAAACTTAGCAGTGAAGTCTTCAGGTCCTGGGCTTTTATTTGCTGAAAGACTTTTTTATTACACTTACATCTTGTTACTTGTTGTTAGTCTCTTCAGGTTTTTTTTTTCCTTCATGGTTCAATTTTGGTGTTTGTCTAGGAATTTACATATTTCTTCTAGATTTTCCAATTTATTGACATATAGTTGCTTATAGTAGCCACTAATAATACGTTGAAATTCTGTGATATCAGTTATAATGTCCCTTTTTCCTCTCTGATTTTATTCATTTGAATCTTTTCTCTTTTTTTCTTTAGTCTGGTTAATGGCTTTTCAATTAGGTTTATAAAAAAAAATAAATAAATAAAAATAAAAATAAATGATTCATTGATTTTTTGTATTGCTTTCCTCATTTCAATTTAGTTTCTTTCTGCTCTGATTTTTATTTCTTTTCTTCTAATAATTTTGGGATTGATTTGCTCTCACTTTTCTAGTTCTGTAAGACAACATCATTAGGTTGTTTACTTGAAGTTTCTCTCTCTCTCTCTCTCTCTCTCTCTCTCTCTCTCTCTCTATATATATATATATATATATATATATGCCTTGAGATAGTCTTCTATATGTATATAATATCTATAAACTTCCCTCTTAATACTGTTTGGCTATATCCCATAGGTTTTGGTATGTTGTGTTTCCATTATCATTCGTTTCAATAAATTTTTCAATTTTCTTCTTAATCTCTTCATTGACCCACTGGTCATTCAGGAGCATTTTGTTTAATTTTCATGTGTTTGTATAGTTTCCAAAATTCCTCTTGTCATTGATTTCTAGTTTTACTCCATTGTGTTCAGAAAAGATGCTTGTTATTATTTCAAATATTGAATGTTTTAAGACTTGTTTTGTGACCTAACATATGGTATCCTTGAGAAGGATTCATGTGCTGAGGAAAAGAATGTTTATTCTGCAGCCATTGGAAGAACTGTTCTGTACACATATATTAGGTTCATTTGGTCTATAATGCAGACAAAATTCAATGATTCTTTGTTGATTTTCTGCCTGGAAGATACGTTCAGTGCTCCAAGTGGGGTGTTGAGGTCTCCAGCTATTACTGTACTGGGGTCTATCACCCCCTTTAGCTCTAACAATAGTTGCTTTATATTTCTGGATGCTACAGTATTGGGTGCATATATATTTAAATTTTTTACATCCGTTTACTGAATTCACCCCTTTATCATTATATAGTGACTTTCTTTGTCTCTTACTATCATTTTTGTCTTGAAATCTCTTTTGTCCAATATAAGTATGGCTACTCCTGCTCTTTTTTTGTTTCAATTGGCATGAGATATCTTTTTCTATCCCTGTATTTTTAGTCTATATGTGTCTTAATAGGTAGTGTGTTTCTTGTAGGCAAAAGGTCATTGAGTTTGACTTTTCAATCCATTTAGCCACCCTATGTGTTTTTATTGCAGAGTTTAGTCCATTTTATATTTATTGTTATTATTGATAAATAAGGACTTGACCCTGCCATTTTATTATTTGTTTTCTCATTGTTTTTGGTCTTCTCTTTCTTCTTTCCTTCCTTCCTGCCTTCTGTTTAATTAATGCGATTTTCTTTGGTGGTATGATTTAATTTCTTGCTTTTTATATTTTCTGTATCCATTGTACATTTTTCAATTTCAGGTTACTATGGAGGCTTGCAAATCCTATCTCATAACCCATTATTTTATGCTGATAATAACAACACTATGTACACAAAAAAAGAAGCAAAACAAAACAAAAAAACTCTACACCTTAACCTTGTCCCCCAACTTAACTTTTTGTTTTCTCTATTTATACGTTATTATACTGTCCATGTTTTATAAAGTTGTTATAATTATTAATTTTGATTGGTTCATCATTTAGTCTTTTTACTTAAGATGAGAAGTTTGCTCACCACAGTGACAGTGCTATTCTATTACTTACTAATTACTAGTGAGTATTATACCTTCAGATGTCTTCTTATTGCTCATTAACATCCTTTTGTTTCTGACTGAACTACCTCCTTTAGCATTTCTTGCAGGGCAATTCTGGTGTTGATGAAACCCCTCAGCTTTTATTTCTCTGGGAAAGTATTTCTTTCTCCTTCATGTTTGAAGAATATTTTTGCTGAATGTGCTATTCTAGGGTAAAAGTTTTTTGTTTTTTGTTTTTCCTTTAGCACTTTAAATATGTCATGCCTCTCTCTCCTGGCCTGTAAGGTTTCTACTGAAAAGTTGGCTGCTGAACATATTGGAGCTTCATTGTATGTTTTTTTGTTTCTTTTCTCTTGCTGCTTTTAGGATCCTTTCTTTGTTCTTGATCTTTTGGAGTTTGATTATTAAATGCCTTGAGATAGTCTTCTTTGGGTTAAATCTGCTTGGTGTTCTCTAACTTTCTTGTACTTGGATATTGATATCTTTCTCTAGATTTGGGAATATACCTTTCTCTATGTTTGTCCTTATCCCCTAGAATGAACTTTCTACTCCTATATCTCTGTCTTCTCTATAAGGCCAATACATCTTAGGTTTTTGAGGCTATTTTTCAAATCTGTAGGCATGCTCTATTCTTTTTGTTTGTTTGTTTGTTTTTTCTCCTCTGTGCATTTTCAGATAGCCTGTCTTCAAGCTCACTTTCTTTCGTATGCTTGATCAATTTTGTTAAGAGGCTCTAATGCATTCTTCAGTATGTTATTTGCATTTTTCAGAACCAGAATTTCTGCTTAATAATTTTTAATTATTTAAATCTTTTTGTTAAATTTATCTGCTAGAATTCTGAATTCCTTCTTTTTGTTATCTTGAATTTCTTTGAGTTTCCCCAACACAAGTATTTTAAACTCTGAAAGGTTACATATCTCTGTTTCATCAGAATTGGTCCCTGGTTCCTTATTTAGTTTATTTGTTGAGGTTATATTTTCCTCACTATCATGATATTTGCAAATGTCTCTGTGTGTCTGGGCACTGAAGAACTAGGTATTTATTTTAGTCATCAGAGTCAGGGTTTGTTTGTACCCATCCTTCTTGGGAATGCTTTCTGAGTGTTCAAAGAGACTTGGGTGTTGTGATTTAAGCTATTTGCATTAGGGGGAACCCCAAGCTCGGTAACACTGTGGTTCTTGCAGACTTATAAAGGTACCTCCTTGGTGGTCTTAGATAACATCTGGAAGAATTCTCTGGATTACCAGGCAGAGACTCTTGTCTTCCTCTCTTACTTTCTCCCAAACAAATGTAGTCTCTCCCTCTCTGCTGAGCCACCTGGAGCTGAGGATGGGGTCACACAAATACCCCTGTGGCCACTACAACTGGTACTGCACTGGGTAAGACCAACATTAGGTTTCACCCAAGGCCTGCCGTAACCACTACCTGGCTACAATCTATGTTTGCCCAAGTCCCTTGGGCTCTACAATAAGCAGGTGGTCAATCCAGCCAGGCTTGTAGACTTTCCTTCAAGGTGGCGAGTTCCCCAGGCCCTGGGAAAGTCCAAAGATGTCATCCAGGAACCAGGGACTGGAGTAAAAATCCTTAGAAATTTACCTGTGCAGTTGGGGTTGGAAAAGGGGTGATACAAGCACTCTCTCAACCACCCCAGCTGATGTTTTAATAGGTGGCATGGCCCCCAAGTCCATTGTCTCTGAGTCCAACTCAGCACTAGAACTCATCTAAAAGTCTTTGTGGCCTAGACGGTGTTTTGAGTTATTGAGGGCTCTCAAGCACTTTAGCCTGTGGTAAGGCTCGCCAGAACTCAAGTTTCAATCACTGAATTGGGGTGTTTCCCTTTGGCTAGGGCTTGTCTAAATGCTCTCTATGTGGGTGGGCATTGGCTGAGTTCAGTGGGGTTTTGCTTTCAACTGTGACAGGGCAGCACTGAGTTCAATGCAAAGTATCACAATTGCTGCACTCTCCCTCTCTCAAAGAACACATTCTGTCTCCATACCACATGGCCCCATCTTGGCAGTTGGGGAAGGGGTGGCGTCAGTGATTCAAGACTGTCTTTTCCATCTTTTTCAGTGCCTCTTTGAGCAATATAAAGCAAAAATCAGTTATCACGAGTGTTCACCTGATTTTTGGTTCTTATGAAGGTGCTTCTTTGAGTAGAGTTGTTAAAGTTGGTGTTCCTGTTAGGGAGATAATCAATGAAGACTTCTATATGGCCATATTGCTCTGCCCCTCTTATTTTTGAACATTTGACCAGATTATTTTTAATACATTTATTCTTTCATTAGCAAACATACATTAAATTGTTATCAAATGCTACAACAATTTAAGTAGACTCTGTCATTTTAATAATTTATATTTTAATATGTTATAGCAGAACTGTAGACATTTGAAAAAAGTCTATTATTAAATGCCATTTTAAATATTGAAACATTTTTTAGATAATTGTTATAATAGTCACTTCACATTTCACTGACAAGTGGAGAGCAAACATGTAGAAATGTATATTGGAGGAAATATGCTTAGATTTTTAAAGAGAAAAAATCTTTGCTTCAGCTGGAAAAGTTGCAAAGGTTTGTATTTCTTACACACAGAAATGTGTGTAAGAAAATACACAAAGAGGTGGAAAATGCAACTAGAAAATAGAGAGGAAATGTATCTTTCACTTCATCTTGGCAGTTTTTCATTTATGATATTCTGGACATAGCCAGCATGATAAAAAAGATATACATAATGAAGAAAAAAAGCCAAGCTGAGAAATGCAAGCCTATAGCAATCAGAATATTACTGACTAGTCAGGTCATTTGAGGATCTTTAGATTACAATCATGCCTGATGTTTCAGAATCTGGATATGTCAGAGAAGGAAATTTGACTGTGAGGTGCCGTTTGATGGTGAGTTTAAAAAGATGATTTTCTCAGAATTTATTAATAAGATTAGGGTTGAATTAACTAATTGAAGAAATATTGATTTTGAAAACTGTCCATTTCTATCTAGGCATTTATTCTTAAAATCTTATTTATAATACACACTCTGTGTTTTGAATGCCTTATCCATCATTTCTTTTTAACTGTTAATATCAACTTCCTTCCTCTGTCTCTCCTCCCTTACAAAAACAAAAACAAAACAAAACAAAACAACTTTTTAAAATTGATGTTGAAAGACACATAGAATAAATTATATTATGAATCTTCATGTATTTATTAAGAATATCAACAATTACCAACGTTCTGGAATTCTTTTTTCTTATTTGGTCTCATGCATAATATTTTTTCTCAGTGTTTCATACGAATTTTTAGGTATCATATGATTTTACCTATATATTTGAAAGTATTATTTGATAGGGATTTTTTTTCATTTTCGTGATGATTTCACAGTGTATACATATTTTAAAGCTCATGTGTTTTCATACTTTAAACATATGAAATGTATATTTTATCTGTTATACAGCAAAAGAAAACTATACAAAATAGATTTTATACATATTTTGTTACATTAATATCTAGGTATTATATGCATTTTACTAATATTAAAGATGATATGTTTTCAATGTTATTTTCAATTGCTTTTTGCTAGTATATAAAATATAGACTATGTTTTAATATTGACTACTCAGCAACCATATAACATTCTCTAATAAATTTTAATAGTTGATCTGAAATTTCCACATATAAAAATGGTTTCTTCTCTATTTATATTTGTTATCCTTTCTTTTCTTTCTTTCTTTCTTTCTTTCTTTTTTTTTTTTTTTCTTGATACAGAGTCTCACTCTTTCACCCAGGCTGGAGTGCAATGGCGCGATCTTGGCTCACTGCAATCTCTGCCTCCCGGGTTCAAGTAATTCTCCTGCCTCAGCCTCCCGAGTAGCTGGGATTACAGGCTCCCACCACCACACCCAGCTAATTTTTGTATCTTTGGGAGAGATGGTCCTTTCCAGCCAGTTATAATTCACTGGCTTGGATTTTCAATAAAATGTTGAATGCAAGTAATAGTAGAAAACCTTACATTTTTTCTGAATTTAGTGGGAAAACCTTAGTATTTTACCAGGATAATATTTGTTGTAGGCTTTTGCTAGATTTATCTTATGAAACTGAAGGGAAATTACTATTTCAGGCTTGTATGCAGATTCTTAATTTTTTTTTTTTTAGTTTGTATATTTTTTAAAATCATGAATATGTGTTGGGTTTTATCAAAATTTGTTTTCCTTAGTTATTGGAAAGATTATATGTTTTTCTTCTTTGTTTATTTGAAGTGGCATATTTCTAATGTTAGACAAGACAGGCATTCCTGAAATAAATCTCACTTTGTCATGAAATATAAATGTTTCTACATATGAATAAATTCAATTTACGTTTGCATCTATATTTGTGAAAGATATTGGCTTACTTTGGAGATCGTTTTTTGCTTGTTTTTCTTGCAATGTCCTTTTCAGGTTTTGGTATTAACATTATACTGGACTCATAAAAGAAGTTTAAAAGTGCTCTATTTTTCTTCTATTCTCTATCTTATTTTGTAGGTATTATATATGTTCCTTCAATATTTGTAAAATTTGAATAGTGAAGCTATTTAAGGCTGTATATTTCTTTATGTGACAAATTTTATTACAATTTTGTTGCTTTAATAATCTTGATTTACTTTGAATATGTTAAGATCTGAATTCCTTTCATCAAAAACAACACAGCGTGCTGCATATGACCAGAAAATCTTTATATGTTGTAAAGCTATTTTATTATGCAAAGCTTTGCTTAATACACCTTACTCTATTTTTCTCAATTGTTCTTTTCATGTGGTTCCATAATCCTAAATAAAAGAAATTAACTTGCAGGACATGTGAAGGCATTTAAATTATGCAAGCACCCACAGAAAGGAGAAATTTCTATAATCGAGAGCCTACAAAACATTCTCAATCTATAATGGTATTCTTTAGATTCTAAATAGCAGCATGTAAATAACACAGAATTCCAAAGATTAAGGTTCTTAATTAGGCCTACTGAACACTTAATCCATAGCTAAATGTTTTCTGTTTTTTCTTATTATAACCTGCATATAATGAAAGTTAAAATGCAGCTACACATTTTTGAAAAATGAAAGTTACTGGCTGATGAAATAGTTTCACTACTTCGTCATATTCTTGAGATGGCCTGTGATTTTCTGATCGTCAGAGCAAGTATAATTACAATAACTACAATTTCATGAACTTTTTGCATCATGTAATATACTACATATTAGTAGTCTGTTCTTACTTAATTTCTACAATACTCTTAGGTGTCATTGTCTCAGTTTATATGTGAAGTAACTGAGATTTCAAGGTGTTAAATAATTTTTCCATAGCTACACAGTTTGGGAGATGGAGACAAACTTATAGTCTCAGCTTTCTGCTGCCTTCCTGCTATTTAGGTGGGCACTCATCTCATTCTTTCTACCCCCTAACCATGATCACATTTGTTCTCTGCAAGGAGTGGAAACCAGGCTTCATCTTTACCCACTGGATAGTAAATTTTCAGAAATGAATACATTCCACAGAATAAATCTCACTGGTGCACTTTAAGTATATTCATTACCCTCAAGGAAACTGGTGTTTCTTCAGTTAATATACATTTTTATTAAGCAAAATGCAGCCATGCTATGAAAATTTGATTCTGTGGGTGAAGAGTAGTAACCATGTCAGAGTTATTGTTCTTTCAAGCAGCGATTCATATCACTGTGATGACCTACAGCATTGTAGTACTTCTGCAATTACTTACTCTTTCCATGAGCAAAAAAGTTTTTAAAATAAACTAAAGAGGCTTAACTGGGTAGTAACAGGAGTAAGGATGAGAGCCAATGCATTTTTGAAAGAAAAGATGCTGATTTTTTTTTTATTCTTATTCCTGGGAGAGATATCACAAAATCATTACATGTGATTTTATTCAAGAAGCTCAAAAAACCCCAAGGAGAAAACACAAACCACACCAAGGTATATTATAATAAAATTGCGTAAAACATGAGGAAGAAAAAAAATCTTAAAATTGGCCAGAGAAGAAAGTTTCATACATACAGGGGAAAAAAGATCAGAATTAAAGATGACTTCTAATCTGAAACAATGAAAGTCAGAAGACAGTGAAATGACATCTGCAGGTGCTGAACAAGTTGGTCTTACTAGCTAAGATGTTACTAAGAGGGACACTTTATAATTCATTTTTCTTGCCATTGCCTAGCACAGAAACTTAGGATATTCTTGGTAAATGATTCTTGGATGAATAAATGAATTGCCATGTATGAGTCGAACCCATAGCATCTATCCTCTACACAATGTTCTAACCAAATAAGCTGGTCAGCCCCCAGGCCACTGTCACTAAAATATTGATGTTTGTCCTAAAGTTGCAAGAGTCTTTCCTCATAGTTAAGAATTAAAGATACAAACCTGAAATGGAATAAGTTGTGTAGGAGAAGGCTTGGAGATACAACTGTCTCAATAGATTTTAAAAAATGGTAAAATATTGTTTATTACTTCTGTTTAAATTTTACTTGTTTATTTTTACAAAAGTCTAACAAGGTAATATTATTTGTTGTTTTACTAATAAGGAAACTAAAACAAGTAGGTAACAAAACTTAATGTAAGATGAACAGAAAACACTGTAGAATTTAGACATACTCATCATAGAACATTTGGCAAATGTAGAATAGTCTAAGGAAACAATATTTAAAATACTAAATTCTATCCTCTCAATGTGAGTACCACTATTAATTTTCATCTGTTTTCCTCCAAACATTTTTAAACTCAAATTTAGTTAAATTTATCTATCTGTGAGATAATGCAACTCTAAGATTTATACGTTAATCAGAGTTCAATCCGTTCAAAGGGATGTTTCTAAAATAATAGATTTCCTTTAATTGTATAAAGCAAATGTTAATCTATCTATAATCAAGCACATTATTTAATATTTATTACAATTACACATTCATTACAATAGGTAGTTTTTGAAATAATATGTAGTTCGTAAATGGGAAAATAAATTCAAACCCACATTTTTTTATTACAGATCCTGCAATCATAATTAGTATGCTATTCCTTCTGATAAAATTGTACCTTGAAGATACCAATCATGATTTTTGGAGTAGCAGAAACAAGGCTAAGACTACTAAAGATATAAATGTTAAGGACGGTAAACAAACAAACAAAAACTCAGACTTACGTATTTATTTTTCTCTGTCTGGGGTAGTACTTCTGAGTAAAATTGATACTGTTACCTCTGGAGAATTCAGGAACTTTGTTGTTGTTGTTTCTAACTAGTAATATTGAAATTGTCTGAGGCTGAAAAATTTGATTACTTAACAAAACAGAGGGTAGAAATGTTTATACTGCTCTATTTTTGTCATTGGGAACAACTAGCACCAAATCTGATTAACAGATATAGTTGATTGTGATACGATTATAACCTTTCCAAAGAGAAAGAGACAAATTGTACTTCGGTAGTTTACTTTTTTCTACAATAAGAGAAAAACAATTATCTCTTATATTTTTATAAATGTGGAGGTGGATTGCCTAGAATGATAAATTTGCTCCAATTTAGGAATGCACATAGTGCATTTCCAAAATGATTTCTATTGGTTCGTTTTTGCATACTTTTGAAGTAGATAACTTGTTCTAATTTTGTTGGCATATATTCAAATTCATATGCAGAGTTTCTTTTGCAAAGTCATTCAGAGGATACAGACTGGAACAATGTGCTCAAATGAACAATATTATCTCTGCTTCACAGATGACAGAACTGAAACAGAAAAGCAAAATGACATGTTCAATGCCACAGAAGAGTCACTGGCAAAACGGGATTAGAACTCACTGTCCATAATTTCCAAGACTGAATGTTGGCAGAACTATTCCCATATTTAACTAAAGATTTTTTTAGCTTTGCAAACTCCAAAACAGAAATCTACTTATAATACTGGTATGAAAATAAGACTAAATTTCCATTTAGAAAAAAACATGATAACTAAATTTTCATCACGGTTGAAATATATTTGGATACCGTATGCGATGTATGGTGTACCTAACTTTCAAAGTGAAATGCACAATAAGATACACATACATTTTTTTTTTTTGCATTTTTAAAATTAAAGCAGAATATTATTCATGTCCTATTTAGTGCAAACCAAACCATTTCTAATGTTCAATGTTTTTCATCTAAAAGTGATGATGTCATGTGTTCTACCCATCATGTGAATAGATAGAAACATAATCATGTAAATAGTTTATTTTGTCCTGAAAATAAAGTCTTACATTTGTTACTGCTGCATTAATGTTCAAACCTGATTCCCGAGACACTAACAATTATGATTCCCATTTATGTAACATTTCATAATCTGAGCTTAGATAGTTCAGGGAGAGTTACAAATTCTGTAAATGACTATTGCCCCAAGACAATGGTTTTCAGAATACTTAGAGAACCCTGATTCTAAGGACTCTTAGACATTTGAACCCTTTACACACTCATTATTTCATGGGTGTACAGTAGAGTATTCTAAAGGCTACATCACATTTGATAGCATTATTACTTTGATGGCTAATGTGAGTACTTATGATAGTGCGGACTTTGACCATTTTGGGCTATTGAAACTATCTGGTCACTAGCCTTGCGGCAACTCATTGTGTTCATGTGATCAGAGCCGACGTGGTTTTGGAACCTGTAGAGGCAGAGAAGGCATTCACCTCTGGCAACTTCTTGGTTGTAGTGGCTTCCTAGTTACTTTAATGGGAACAGTGTATACTTTTTTTTTTTCGTCTGAATCCTAACCAATCATCTTTTCAATAATTAGAAAAAATATATTTACATGCTAGAAAGTACTAAAATTCATTAAGATTTATATGCTTCTCTCTAGACATGCTTAATCACAGAAATCTGTATTTTGTATAAAACTTCCCAAACAAGTATAGCAATTGGACAGTTTCTTGACCTATAGTTTAAACAATGGGAAATTCATTGAAGGCATGGAATAGATGCAATATGTGTATTAGAAAGAATTATCTGGTTTTCTACTGTAAATTGATCATGTGATAGAGTACTAGTACATAGAGAAAAAGTAGGAATATGTCAATAATACAGCCAAGATATTATGAAATCATAATAGTGGGCAAATATGAATGATTATAATTCAAAAAGCATTTTATGTGTTCCTCTTTATGTTTTATGTGCACCTCCACAATTATAATATACTTTCCCTGCAGAGATGTATTACAATATAATATTGCACAAGTGCTGTCTTGATCCAGTTTTGAGACCATTGCCAAAAAATCTTCAAGTCTTCTTCCCAGGCTGTTTGCTAAACCTACACCCCAGTGATTTACCTTATCGGGCTCTGCTGCTCCGTTTTACTACATACGTACCCAACTGCCAAAAGCCTGGGAGCCACATATGGAGGAATGGCCCTTCCTTCATTGGGCCCATGGAATTATTTAAAATTCCCAGTCCATAACAAACCCTCTGAACCTTGCTCACTCACTTGACTTGCCTTATATAAGCCTCCTCCTAGGTTTCTAGGTTGCTGCTACCTTTTTTCTGGGTGCAACCCCTATGTAGCCCTACCCCACAGCCGCCTCTCGTGCAGGACTATATAAGTAATAAAGAATTCTGCCTTTCATTTTTCTGGAGTCATTGTTGTTATGTCCTGCCATCATCATAATCTAACAAATCTTGAAACAATAAAATACCTTGTAGATATTTTTTTTTTTCCTGCATCCACACTACTAGAAATGGTAGAAATACAAAAAATTAGCCAGGCATGGTGGTGAGCACCTGTAGTCCCAGCTACTCGGGAGGCTGAGGCAGGAGAATGGCGTGAACCCGGGAGGAGGAGCTTGCAGTGAGCCAAGATCCCGCCACTGCACTCCAGCCTGGGAGACAGAGCGAGACTCCGTCTCAAAAAAAAAAAAAAAAAAAGCTCATTAACTATTATTTATATTAAATTTGAGTGACAGAACAACATCTTGTACTGAGTGTGGAACCAATAAATACGGATCTTTTATCAGGGGTGGGTGTCCAATCTTTTGGCTTCTCTGGGCCACATTGGAAGAGGAATTGTCCTGGACCACACATAAAACACATGAACACTAACGATAACTGATAAGCTAAAAAGAAAATTGCAAAAAAAATCTCATAATGTTTTAAGAAGGTTTATGAATTTGTGTTGTGCTGGATTCAAAGCTGTCCTGGGCTGCTTGTGACTCACAGGCCACAGGTTGGACAAACTTCTGTCAGATAAAGGCATTTATTTATTGATAAAGGAAGAGGTTAGTGATATGATATATTGAAAGCTATATGTAAAGTTTTTTTAAAAGCATAATCATCAATTTTATTTATGCTGAAACATCGATGTGTTCTGATTTTGATTTTTGATTTTAATGTTTTCTATTTCCTACAATTACTGTGCCCATATCCACTCATACTGACATTTGCAAATTTCCTTTTCCTAGAACATATTTACTATCTTCTAACATGTTATACAATCAACATTTCTGTTATACATGTTGTTTTTTGTCTATATACTATTTTTCCTCCCTAAGTGTAATATAAGCTTCACTCAAACTGGGACTTTGTCGTTATGATCACTAATGTAAGAAAGTATGTAGACCAGTACTTGTCACATGGTATGTGCTGCATATTTGTGTGTGTTAATGGATAAATAAAATAAGTTGTAAAATGGGGAATTATTATTTTTTCTGTAGTGTTAATTATGGCTAAATATGTTACAGATAATTCATGTACTATGCTTGGCACATGACAGGCTATTAAAACCTTTTAGATACTATTCTTACAAATAAGAGTTTTAAAACAAAAACAGACTCGCTAACCGAATAGTTGTGTTTTCCAATGGATGACTAATAATAAAATTTCTATGAGTTAGTTAGGTAAAGCCCTGAGATTGGCAAAATATAAAGAATTCTTTAAACATGATGTTTACCAGATTAAAAAAAATGGAAAATAGAAGCTAAAAATCAGGAAGCCCAAATACTATCAGAAATTTAAAATTATTAGGGGAAGATATGGCATGTTTCAAATTGAAAAACAATTAATACTTTTCCTGATTATAAGTTCCTCAATATATGTTGAGGATGGGAAATAACACCAAGTGAGTACATACATATATAATTACATGTCTATGTTTCTTTACTATACCCGTAAATCTGATTTGGGAGGTATTTTCCTCATGGTCAAACATGTCTTCTATAAACAGAGACAGTTTTATGTCCTTTTCCTTATCTTCACACCTTCTATTTATTTTTATTGTCTTATTCCACTAGTTAAGATCACCATATGATGTTCCATAGATATAGTAACAGAAGACATCTTGCCCATTTTCATTTTTAGGGGTAATTATCTAGCTTCTCATAATGAAGCATGATAAGGGCTGAAGGTTTTTGCAGATATTCTCTATCAAGCTGAGGAAGTTTACTCTATTCCAAGTTTGCTGAAGTTTTTAATCATGAATGGCTGTCAAATTTTGTCAAATGCTTTTTCTGCCTCAATTTAATATAACTATGTAATTTCATTTCTGTATTCTGTTGATGTGGTGGATTACACTGAATTTTTAAAAATTGAGCCATCCTCACATACTCATAACAAATATCCCACTTTGTAATGATATATATATATTAATACTTTTTTAGTTTGATTTGCTGTTATTTTTATTGTTTTTATGTAAAATTAATTTATACTGTAGTAATAAATAACTGATAGAACTATACTTTTTGTTGCTATTAGAAACAGAATTTCATTTTAAATTATTGTCATTAATTAATACTGCCTTATAAATGAAAGTGGATTTTATATATTGATCCAGCAAAATTCCTTAACTACCTAAAATTGATTGTGCTTTTCTATGTATCTGGGCATATCACTTATGAAAAATAATGATATTGTAAGTTATTTTTTTAAATCCATTTAACTCTTCTTTTTGTCATATTATAGTATATAAAGTGGATTTTCTGGTCATACATTGTCCAGAAATAATAATGATGAGCTTTCCTATATTGTTCTTGATCATAAATGAAAAAATTCCAATAACTAAAATATTTAATGACTTAAATTTTTATTTTGACTTCTGATTATGCAAGTATTGTGAATATAGCATAGATTTGAGAATAAATGTCAAAATTGTGATCATCCTACAGGGGTATCTCAAGAAAATAAAGAAAAAATTTTAACAAAAAATTGTACAAGATTACCATTGAGGAAAGTTTAAAACTTTATTAATGTTATTACAGAAGACCAGCCATATTTATGTATTTTTATGATTTATAAATGATGGCTCATATTTGGCTAAATTAAATCTTTGGGAATTCAGAGGAAAATGGATTAGGAATCCTAACTCCAGAGAAAATTTGTACTTACTTATTCCACACACCAGGGGGCAATAGCAACCTTGAATCATGTTAAGTTTTAGGCCTGTTTTTTGTTGTTGCTTTTTATCTTTCAAGAGAATAAACCACAAAATCAGTAAGAACAGTCCTATGGTGACAAAAGTCTCAAAGGACACTGATATTTTCCATGAGCAGGTGAACTAAATATTTTTTCACTGGGATATTTGCAGGACGGCAGATATGTCTACATGTACCCTGTCAATAAGGGTATGTGTCTACATGTACCCTTGAGTGTCCCATATATAAGAAAGTGTTTCTTTACAGTCCAAGCATGCTTAAGTGTAAATAAAGTCTAATATTCTAATCCTCAGTGGTTATCATTCTCTCAAAGGGTGATGTAGCAATCGTTTCGAACATGTTCTTATTGTTATGCTTTATACTTCAATTAAGCTTTAAGTACAACCTCTCTGTATTCTCTAATTGACTTATGACTGACATTCTCCTTGCAATCTACATCAAAAATAAATGTTTATTGAATAGTAACTATATGTAGTATATACCAGGTAAATTGGAATAAAACACATAATATGCAAGATGCAAATACTGACTGCTCATCTATAGTTATAATCTATTAAGTATTATAAACTGCTAGTGTCAAAATAAATATTACAAAGCCATACATCAAAAGATGCATATTGAGAATAAATGTATCTAATAGTATATACAAGTACAGTAGGAAAAAGTGAAGTTATAATCAAAGTATAATTTAATGAATTAGGAACAAATATCTAGTGACACAATAGATCAAATTTGTTTTGAAAGAAGGCAATGAATGTAAGTTGCTTTCTTAGAAAAATAAAGTAAAAGTAAATATTTTCCAGGAACCTCACTCATACACAAGTTGTTTGTAAAGATGTTATTTACCCGATACCTCCAACTAGTGTAAAGATGCCAGGTAGCTCACAGAAGGGATTCTGCTTTAGTCTATTGCTTTCTTAAAATACTTTGCTATATTTGTTTTACCATATTACCTCATTTGCGGGGCTCTGTGATTATTTACTTCTGAAATTACTTCAAACATATGAACACAAAAAATGATTGATTTAAAACATGAAATTTGGCAAGTGATTACACATAATGTGCTCTAATTACTTGCAATGAAGCTTTTATCCTATGAATTTTTCATAAGGATAAAAACAGCACAGTAAGTAATTAATTGGTGATTTTTCTTATTTAAATTGTGAATATATTTGTAACTTATATAGATTAAGACAATTGTTCTGGTTGACTGAAATTATCGTACATTTTCAAATGTTATGTAAATACATCATTAAAACTATTGGGGTCTCCCAAGTTAATCATGCAAATTTATGTAAAAGAACTATAATTATTTTTACCATGGGCTGTTAAAAATCTTAATGAGACTTTTTTATCTCATTTAGATTTAAAAATCTTAATGAGGTTTTGTAAATTTTATATCCTATGTTCACATATGATAAATTTTCCTTAAAATATATGTGCATTTAAGATAATGTGAGATTGTAAGCACTAGTTAACTAAAATCGAGGCTGTCTTTCATTCAGGACAACTCTTTTTTTTTTTTTTTCACATGCAATGAAGAGATTTTTAAATGTAGTTCAATTACTTTCAAGGAAATTTTTATAACTTTTTGATATGATAGAGGTATTAAATTGGGAGCAATTGAAGGGCAAGTAAAAGGAGAAGGAAGAGGAAGAAGAGAAGAAGGAGAAGGAGGAGAAATAAAAGAAGAAATTTTAGTGACCAGCAGGACAGGCTGAATTCCTAATAGCAGATACTACTGCTTTTTAAGAATACCATTGAAAATTATGATTTTTTAAGTGTAAACATTGAATATATTTTGCTTTGAAACAAGTAACGACTTTAGGTATAATTCATTTTATTTAAAACATGGTATGCTGTGCAACAGCATTTGACGTCTAGATACATCTTGACTTACAAGCAGTATTTGCTTAGCATCAGAGGAATTTTAAGTTACCGATACTGTGATTCAATACATATTTAATTAAATGTTCTATTAAGCTGTATTAGTTTTCTAGAAGTGCTTTAACAAGTTACCACTAACTGGGTGGCTTCAAACAACAGAAATATATTTTCTCTGAATTCTAAAGACCAGAATTCTGAAATGGTGGTTTTGCATGACTTAGCTCTATCTGAAGTCTGTAAGGAAGGAATAAAGCAGTCACTGATTTAAAGCAAGCATTTAAAGCAAGAATTTAGCAAGGCAAGTTGCAATGGATTTCAGGGCTTCAGTACAATTCTCTGTGGTATCTGCCCTTGGGGCCATGGAGAATGCTATTATGCAAGGGTATGGATCCCCTGCCTCTTGTCCTACTCAACCTCTGCCTCTGGTCTTGCCTATCTGGTCTCTGTTCCTACACCCACGGCTGTGTCTCAGGAGTCATTCTTTCTCTTTCATGACGGGTAGTGCATGTGCATAGCTGAGTAATTCTATCAGCCCATTTCTGCCTATAGACTCTGAGAAGGTTGACAGCCTTCCCTTATTTTGTCTCATCTCTGTCCCTTTTGGCCCAAGCTGAAAGTGTTTCTGAAGATATAACATTTTTAAAGACTTTTTTGGTCTTCTATGTACTTCCAGGGGACTCAGACCATTGCATAATAGCATTCTTCACAGATTCCATCTGGATAACCCCGTCTCCATTCCCTGCCTCTGCTGAGATGGTTGACTGAATCCATTAAATGTATAACTAATCTCTTTAACAGATGACCACATACTTGGACTTATTTCCAAAGTATACTGTCTGGATAGGTTGAGAATTTCCCAAACCATCAAGTGCTGGTTCCTTTTTGCATTAGGAACTTCATCTCTTTGCTCTCGTTTTCTCCAATAAGTATCAAGAAGATACCAGACTACATTTTCTACACTTTGCTTGGAAACCCTCACAGTTAAATATTCAAGTGCATTGCTTAAAAGTTTTATTTTCCACCCAACAGAACACAATTCATCCAGGATTTTTGTCACTTTATGACATGGATCACCTTATCTCCAGTGTCCAATAGCATGATACTAAGTTTCTTCCTCTTATTTCCTTTAAGGCTGATTATTTCCATGAACATTCTGATTATGATGATATATGCATTCACTAAAACAATAAAAGCTTTCTCTACCATTCTCTTCACTTAACTTTTGAAACTTCAACACGATCACCTTTAACATCCATATGTAATGTATGGGACTTACCAGCCACAATTTGGAACCAATTTTAATCACAAAATTAACAGTTACTAACAACGACAATAAAACCTTCTAATTTTATACTAATAGAGAATAATGTTCTTGAGAGAGATTTAAGAGAACCTGTGGCTTTCCTTGACAAGGTGTTTTGATGGCATATAGTTTGGCATTTTTATTTTAGCTTCAGACATTAAATATAAAACTGCCACTTGATTACCTTTTCCTTGTCCTGCCTCAATCAATGGTAAGAACCATTAAGATGAGAACAAGAAAGAAGCTATTGTACTTGAATAATCAGAGTCCTTGAATGTGAATTTTTTTTTTTTTTTAGACGGAGTCTCGCCCTGTTATCCAGGCTAGAGTACAATGGCGTGATCTTGGCTCACTGCAACCTCTGCCTTCTGGGCTCAAGTGATTCTCCTGCCTCAGCCTCCTGAGTAGCTGGGACTACAGGCACGTGCCACCACGCTCAGCTAATTTTTTTTTTTTTTTGTATCTTTAGTAGAGACTAAACACGGTTTTACCATGTTGGCCAGGCTAGTCTCGAACTCCTGACCTCGTGGCCTGCCTGCCTTGGCCTCCCAAAGTGCTCGGATTACAGGTGTGAGCCACTGCACCCAGCTGAATGTGAATTTTAATAGACACTGTCACAGAAAGAATAAATATATAAAACAGACATTGGGGAATTAAGTAGAGAGGCTGGAAAATGAAGTAGAAAGAGAAAATATAGTCTATTTAATGAATAAATGTAAAGACAAAAGAGAAATGACAGAAGTTCAAATTCACAGTAAGTTTCAGTGAAGCCATTGAAAAAAATGATATATTGAGGAGATTAGATTATGTAAAAGCATAACTGGCAGGGCACGGTGGCTCATGCCTGTAAATCCCAGCACTTTTGGAAGCTAAGGAGGGCAGATCATGAGGTAAAGAGATCAAGACCATCCTGGCCAACATGGTGAAAACCCGTCTGTACTGAAAATACAAAAATTAGCTGGGCATGGTGGCACGCAGCTGTAGTCCCAGCTACTCAGGAGGCTGAGCCAGAATTGTTTGAACCTGGGAGGTGGAGGTTGCAGTTAGCCGAGATCTCGCCACCGCACTCCAGCCTGGCAACAGAGTAAGACTCCATCTAAAAAAAAATAAAATAAATAAAAAGTAAAATAAAATAAAGCAGAACCAATTTAGAGAAAAGCACCATAAATGCCAGACAGATAAAGAAGCAATTATCTAAGAGTAAAGTAGTGAATTCAACATAGAGTAGAAGGTGATTGTACAGGGCAGCAGCTAAACTTTTAGAAAGTGACTTGACTAGAGAGGAACAATATAGCAAGTTAATGGAAATTCACAGGAGAGGAATATAACATAAGTGAGCTGAAGAAATCAGATGAGGAAAGACCCCCTCAACCAAGTCACTACATTATTTACCTAGTAATCAATATAAAGTGTTTCAAGCTGCAGCCCCCAAGGAGTTTCATATGAACAAACTGGCCATTTCTGTGATGTGCCCTGTCAAAACTGGCTGTTTTGAAAATTTAGAATATGAAAAAAATTAGGTCTGTTTACAGAAGTTTATCTGACAGAGGTTTGTTATTGAATCAAATCCCACAATGGCACATTAATCCTAAGCACAACTTTATATAAAATGAAAATAAAGTATATCTGCAGCCAGTCAATTATTGTTGTTGACAATTATTTAATTAAATGCCCCACACAGAATGGTAAGAAAGACTGACTAGCAATATTCAATCATTGTGTTTTACCTAACCAAGTTTGTTCCTATAGTTAGAGCTTCGTTTTGATATGTTCCTAACTCAGAATATACCATCGTATTTATCACCTCAAGAACAGTCAGGAACAAGAGTAACCTTAAATGAGTCATGTTTTCCATCTCTGGAATTCCATAGTTAAAATAAATTGGCATTAACATGTATATTAGTTTGCTTGGGCTGCCATAAATATATACCACACACTGGATCGCTTAAATAACAGATATTTATTTTCTCACAGTTCTGGAGGCTAGAAGTCCAAGGTCAAAGTGCTACTAGGTTTGCTTTCTTGTGAGGCTTTTCTTCGTGGCTTGCAGATGGCCACCTTCTCTCTACTACCTCATATGGCTCTTCATAGGCATATACTCCTGGTGTCTCTTTCTTTTGTTATGAGGACATATAGCCTACTGGAGTAGGATCCCTACCTTATAACTTCATTTACCCTTAATTATGTTCTTAAAGCTCATATTTTTAAAAATAGTCACAATAGAGGTTAGAGGTTCCGTATATGAACGTTGGTGCGGGGCATAGTTCAATCCATAACAGTATGAATAGCATAAAACAAAAGTGATTTTTGTGTTAATATCACTTGTGTTTTTAGTTGAGATAATAAAGTTCTTTACATTGTCAGTAAAATTAGTCTCTTGCTGGCAGTGAGCATTAACAATAGATTTTTTCACAGAAAAAGGATCCATTTCTTCTAAAGCTTTCTCATTAGCTGAGGGATTGCTAAGCATACCTCTTTCTGTCATAGAAATTATGCAAAAAAAATCCATACCAAATGATATTACACTCTAGCTGCAAGAAGTGCCATCACCAAAAATGATGTGAGACATTTAAGCATATTTTCAGTATAAAAAGCAATTCTAATAAGATGACTTTTCTTTCTTCTACTTAAGCTGATAATTCTTTTGTTTAACTTTTTGCAAATATGTCTATTTAATTACAGCAGGGAATTATATGTTGAATATATTGGTGAAATAGCTCTCAAGAACAAAAATAGCAAGATGAATGTTTTGCAATATTTGGAGTTCCTTGTCACAGTTATAAAAAATTTCTGGAGTTGGAAAAATCTTTGGCTGTGGAGACATAACTATGCAAATGACATTGCATGGCTTCAAGAGGGCTTTCTAATGTTCGCCCAAGTGGAATTTAGGCCTAAAGCATCCATCACCTCTGAGGTACAATCAGATTTGAATGTAGATTCCTGGAAGGAGGATGTCAGAAAGTCCAATAGATGTGTGGTATAAATGGTTCTAGAATTGACAGAGGAGAAAAGAGCTGCTGAATTGCCTGAAGGCTCACTGAAGGCTTTAAGTGTTTCATTTTCAAAAGGACATCCTGAAACTAAAGCTATCATCAGTGTATTAAAATGATCTCATTTTCCTACTTTTTTTTCTCGCATTCTTAATCTGCACCAGAGAAGCAATAATGAATACTTCTTATAGTCATGGAGCTTATGGGGAAATCTGTTGGCAGCTTATTTTTAGAGCATCTAAGCATTGTTTCCTTGGCATAAAATATGCAAAAATCATTCTACAGAGTAAACTATTAAGCATTCATATATATTCTCTTAGTAAAGCTGGATTGCTTACTATAATATTCTCTCAAATATATCTATTATGTCTAATTTAAATTCTGCAACTTTCCTTTCTATTAGTCCAATATCCCTGGGTACTGAGATTAGTGAATAACTGCTGTTACCAACTCATTATCCTTCAGACAAACTGAGATCTTAGCATATTTCAAATCTCTAATTGTCTTCAGCATAGATAGCTATCTACACTTCTTTCAAAAAAGTCCTGGAGTGTCATGTTGCATAGGGAAACAATATTTATATTGCTATTCTGAGAACAGAAGACTATTATTTGAGGCTCCTAATTCTGTTGTGTAAGCCAGAAAAAAAAAAGATCTTTATATGATTTGCAGAAAAATACTGTGGGTAAATCTCTATTTGTGTTCAAATTTTGATGCAGAACATAAGAAGTTCTGGCACGATAGTTTAATGATTTACCATAAATTGATGATTTATCAGAGTTTAATGATTTACTCTTTTACCATGAAAAAGATTCCAGACAGGTTGGGGGATAAGTGAGTTTCTCTTTTATTCTTACACTCTTACTGCCCTGAATGACGTTTAAAATGGCTCAGTATTTGGAGTCTGATTACCAGGCATGTTCAAATAAAGGACGTTTGAGTCTTTATATGCCTTGGGTACTGGTTTACAATATGAAACTAGGGCCTGGGGGTACCAGAAATAGGAATTTCATCTTATGAAAGAAATAATAGGTGACAAAATCAGATGAGAAATCCTAATTCATTTATTTATTCATTTATTTATATATTTGTATATTCACAATAATTATTTAGTATTCCTATATGCCTGATAGTATTCCAGATACTGGGAATAAAGAATAAAACAGAAAAAATCTCTACCCTCATGGACCTTAGATTCTAGTAAGAAAAGACATACTAATAAATACATTACTTGAGCTGGATGAAATACGACTTTAAAAACCTCCCAAATCTCCTAACAGAAAACTTATTACAAAGGTAGAAGACGAAGAAAACAATTTTATTATTAATTAAACATTAAAGCAGAATGTGTTGCACATCAAAGACAATGTGAAAAGAGCTTTCAAAGACAACAGTCTCACTCTTTTTAGATAATCAGGTACAACACATTACACACTTGTTCTCAAGGTAAGTAAATCCTCAAGGAGGAGGACTTGACAGCGCCATTTTGCACATAAGGTTGATTTTAAATTCATTTGCTAATTAGGGCAAGCATCTGTGTTTGTTAATTGTGTTTATGCAGAAGAAAAATAAACTCATATTTTTATGACAAAAGGTAGTTTTGCTACTTGGAGGGAGGTGTCTGCCTATGTAAGGCTCCTACCCTCTCATAGAAACTGGAAAATAGAGGCACTATCTTCCTTGATGATTACATTTCAAAGAGATGGCTCTCAGGTCCTTGAGAAAAACATTTCTGGGTCTTAAAGCTGGCAAGAGGCAATTTGCTGTTTTAAAGATTTACATACATGTCAAAGAGATAGAAAGAATGTAGCATTACAAGTATTCTAAAATAAATGCTCTAAGAAAAGGAAGAAAGGGAAGTCCTTTCATTTATTTTTCAATAGAAAAAATTAAATTTCTCATTTTAAATTCATATCCGCTCTTATAATCTCTTCCTTGTGTTACTGTAAAATAGTGACATTATAATTTTTAAATTATCTTCATTGCTATTTCTACCTTTCTCTGGGCAAGTTACAGGCATCTAAATATCCAGCAAGTCCAGTGAATTGTAAAAAATATTTTCTTTGGAGTTTGTGATAAAACATATAAATCTTTTGTTATTTTTGTTAGTTTATTATTTTATCTTGCCTTCCCCTCCCCTAGGCAAACAAGAACATTTATATGTTTCTTCTCTCCCAGAGAAGACTTTGGGGTTAAGAAATCCAAATTTCTGTTCCCAAAGCAATTTTATTAATGTTATCTATAATGTAGCAGTACCTTGCAACTGAAAGATATTGCCTTTTCAGATATTGAATCTGTTTTGATCTCTCGCTTTCTTTTGATTGAGAAAAAAGTATTGGGCTAGGGTACTGTGACAATGTCCAAAGGAAGAAAAATGAAAAGGAAAGAAAACTGTTCCATTCGTTTCTCAATGGAATTTCCAGTTGTCATTTCTAATCACTACAATTAATTGACAATTACCAGTTAGGTAAGAATGTGGCCAGATATAAAGCCTCAGTCTACCTGGTAAAATAATCTTCATCTTAGACTTCATGTAGAGAACTAAAGTAGCCTATGTTTAACAAATGATACATGTGCCAAATGCTTACATTTATGGAGAAGTACCTTTAGTAGAAGGAAAAGGGAAATGATTAACCATAAGATAAAACTGTTATAGTCTTGCCAATGCATCACAATGTAGCAGTCTCTCTTGGTGAAGTATCACTCAGAGTTCTTTGTCTTTGTATCACAACCAAGAGAATTAAGGAGGGTGGACACAAAGGGTGAGGTTGGAGTGAAAATTTAATAAGCGAAAGAAGAAAGCTCTCCCTTGCAGAGAGGGCACCCAGAAAAGGGTTGCCGTTTTTACAGTTGAATGCAAAGGCTTTTATAAGAAACCAATGAGGGCTGGGTGTCTTATTTGCATAAAGCACAAATTTCTGGTAGGTACACCTCATCCTCCTAGTGCGCATATATGTCCTTAGCTTGAGTTATTCCACATTGCTTTGTTCCCCTTACTGCACATGTGTCAGGCGACCAGATTTTCCATCCTGGGCATGACCAGGGAAACCACCTGTGTAGCCTTTCTTATCTGTGCAGCTGTAGGCAGTTCTTAGGCAAGATCCCCTGTGCAAGTTCCCTTATCTGTGCCTGCAGGCTGTTGTTTTGTTAAAAAGAATTCGACCAAGGACCCAACCTAACTTCCTGCCAGTTTCTTCCTTTCTCCTCTCTCAAAATGTATGGTAGGTATAAATAGCCATTTTTCTAATCAGTTTACTTATTTTCAGGCAAATTCATTCAAACACTTTTCCACACTGGCTTGATATTGTCCTATTTTGTTTACTCTGAAAAGTCTGTGGAACACTGCTTAATTTTCAACAAACTCGTCTGCTACCACTTAGCCTGGGTTTCTTACCACACTTGCCCCATACCTTTACTCCCTCTCTTGCAGTCACATGGACCTCCTCTCCATTCCTATAATTCAGAAGTTACTCTCCAGGTTCTGAGCCTTTGTACTTAACTTTTCACTCAACCCAGAAAATTCAACTTTCCCCCTACCACCAGATATCCATTTGTAGAACTCACGCTTTTCTTTCCATGAGGTTTCCCCTCACATGCCATTTTATCAGAGAGGCTTTATTGGACCACCCATATAAATAGCACTTTCTCCTTCACCTCTAGAATTTCTCCCATTTCATTTACCCTGCCTTAGATTTTCTTCTAGCACTTAGACAACACCAGACGTGTGTTAGGGCAAAACTGTTACATGCTGAATGAGTCACCCTCTTTTGTAACCTCTACTGAACTCTCTTCTACTCACTAGCGTTATATAAATTTCCTCAGTAGATATGAACCTAAAATCTTCTTCCCCTTCTTCTCACATGATTTCACATTTTCAGTTTTCCTAGTCTATTGTATGCCCACTTATCCTGTAACATTTGCTACCTTCTATCTTTCACTGTAGTTAGCTATTTGCATAAGTTTTTACTACAAGAATTAAAGTCTTTTTAAGACAAAGACTGTTTTAGTTCTCTTTTAAAACACTGGAAGTTCAGTTGCTAACAAATTGCCTGGAATGTAGCATGTATCAAATAACTAATTGCCAGATGTTAATACTGATTCAAACGTCATCTATTAAGATAAATCTGTCATTTTTTATAAAGTTAAAATATTTCATAATAAAACAAGTTTTTAAAAATAAATATGAATAAATGAATTCATCAACTTTCCCAGAAGGCTATTGGAATTTGGATGGTGGAATTTATTACCCTATCCCAAAGATAAATTGGAGCTTACAAACCTATTCTTAAAGCTATCTGAGAACATGGAGGTGTTCAGATTCTCTTTGTGTAACTCTATATAGATAGCCTGCTCCTCTGTTTTCTAATGATAATTAATCCATTATCATGCTTTTAAATAAGAATCCCTTTTGAAGTAAAGTCAGCTTTCTATACAGTTTCCTTTCTTGTTTGAGATTATTTTGTAAATCTGTAGGCATCGTTGTCTGGGGTAAATACCCGGGTTCATCATCTCATGCCAAGAAGATTAAAGACACGGACACACATGAGGAGCAAGTTCAGGAGCAGAGGTTCAGTGGGCAAAAGAAAGAGAAAGGACAGCAGCTCTTTCTCTCTTGTGAGAGAGAGGGGTGTCCAAAAGGGAAAAGCTGGCATGTGGAGGACCACAGCAGATTTTATAGGCAGGCTTGAGGAGGCAGTGTCTGATTTCCATGGGACCCACAGATTGGTTCGACCAGGTGTGACCTTTCCACAGTGCATGGGGAAGGCTGGTCACCCCACCCTAATCTTGTTATGCAAACGGGCTTTCCACTTGTCCAGCACCATCTTGTCTGTTCCTTACTGTACCTGTGGCTGGCAAAGAGAAGGGAAGATGGAGCCACCATTTGGGTTACGCCTAGTCCCAGGTAGCGTTTTCCTATTGGCACAACTGCTGGCATTCATTCGTGCAAGCTTCCAGCTCACTTGTCTATGTCTGCAGCTCGATTTTACAGGCTGCTCTTTATTAGAAAAGAAAATGCTTTGGGGACTGCTTTTCATTAAAAGGGAAACCTTACCAAGGAGTGACTTAGCCTCACTATCTGCCTAAATACTCTAACTCCTGCATCATTACTGATGATACTGTTTTCTTTCCTTTTCCTTTTACCAATTTTGGACATTGTCACAGTAACCTGGTTCAACATTCTTCTTTCCATGGAAAAAGTGAGCTCAAAAAAGGTTTAACACCTGAAAAGGCAATATCTTTCAGTTCTAAGGAGCTGTTACTCTATAGACAACACTGATAAAATTGCCTTGGGGCACTTTTTTTTTCTTAGCCCCAAAGTCTCTGAAAGAAGAGAAAGCTATAATTTTTTGTTTAATCCAGAAAAAAATAAAAACTAAAATAATTGTGTAACAAAAGATTCACTTTTATATCAAATTTCAAATATGGTATCTATGAAGCAATTGCATAAAAATAACAAAAACATGAATCATTATTTTTAATCCACTCAGTATGAAAAACAGAAGACATATCCCCAATATTGAATCACTGTATATAACAAATAAATTTATAAAATTTTTTTAAAAAATTAAAACTTCTGTAATTTATTATATATTATCTGGACTATGTAGTATTTTATATGATAAAGTTGAAGGGTATTACCTTTATAAAAAATGTAAGAAGATGAATTGGGTCATAGCCTCATTATTAAAAGCATTCACGTATCTTTGAGCTATTTTTTCTAATTGTATTTTATTAGTACCATATTCAAATATTCTGAAAGTATGCTGTGTATTGGAAACAGTTTTAATACCAGCAGAAGGGACTGGATTGTTACCTGATTATTAAAAATAGAGCTGGTTTCCAATCCCACTGCTAGGTATATATCCCGAGGTAATAAAATCAGTATTTGCAACATATTTCTGCATTCCTATGTTCATTGCAGCAATGTTCACAATAGCCAAGATGTGGAAGCAACCTAAGTGTCCATCAGTGTATAAATGGATAAAGAAAATGGGTTTTATATATATGCAGTAGAGTAGTATTCATCCTTAAAACAGAAGGAAAACCTGTCATTTGCAATAACATGAATGAAACTGAAGGACATTATGTTAAGTGAAATAAGCCAGGAACAGAAAAACAAATATTGCATGATCTCATTTATATGTGGAATCTTAAAAAATTGAACTCATGAAGCAGAGGATAGAATGGAGGTTACCAGGGACAGGGAGATGGGGGTTGGGAAGATGTTGGTCAAAGTATTCAAATTTTAGTTAGATAGGAGGAATAAGCTCAAAAGATCTATTATATACCATGGTGAGTATCATTAATGCAACATCTTGTGTTCTTGAAAATTGCCAAGAGAGTACATTTAAAGTGTTCTCACCACAAAAAATGGTAAGTATGTGAGGTAATGCACACATTAACTTGACTTAGCCATTCCACCTATATACATAAATCACAGCATCATGTTGTATATGATAAATATATACATTTTTTTCTTTTTTGAGGTGGGGTCTTGCTTTGTCGCCCAGGCTGGAGTGCAGTGGTGTGGTCTCGGCTCACTGCAAGCTCCGCCTCCCGGGTTCACGCCATTCTCCTGCCTCAGCCTCCTGAGTAGCTGGGACTACAGGCGCCCGCCACCACGCCCGGCTAATTTTTTTGTATTTTTAGTAGAGATGGGGTTTCACCGTGTTAGCCAGGATGGTCTCGCTCTCCAGACCTCGTGATCTGCCCACCTCGGCCTCCCAAAGTGCTGGGATTACAGGCGTGAGCCACTGTGCCCAGCCATTTTTTTTATTTGTCAATTTAATGTAATTAATTGATTAATTTAAAAAATTATTGTTGGTTTGTTTCATCAGTATCATGGGATTATACCCATTCCTGCCTGTGATGGAAAACAGTGGACAAAACAGTGAAAAAAAAAAAAAAACACCACTCCAGGGGGTCCATGATTTCCCTCTAGGGAAGGTCCTGCCCAATCATTGATATTTGACCTATGGCCAAACTTTCATTCTCTTTGAGATCAATAGAGTGCTTGTTAGCAGAAATTAAACACAATATTACGTAAATATGAAAGCCATGTATGTAGTTGTAATGCATGATTCTATGTAACCTTTTGTTTTCTGTCTTTTTTGAGGTTTATAACCCAGATCTGTATACTAGTGTAGAAGCTGGACAGAATTAAAATATCTCTCTGAAAACTCTCAGGCGTTCCTTGAATCTAGTACTCCAAAGCAAAAAGAATTCACCCCCAGATTTAAAAGAAATTATTTCTCCATAGGAATAAGGGCAGTTTGGCAGAGACTGTTATTTGAGCTTTTCATTAGAGATGAAATAGAGAATTTAGCATGTCCTCAGTGCCCTAGTGCATTCTATTTGACACATTTCATGAAAATCACAGGATATCTGCCTGACTGCCTGCCTTTCCATAAACAGATACAAAACCAAACCAACAATAAACATAAAGACATTCAATAATAGAGTGAATAACTTAGGAAGAGCTCATATTCTGCTCTCCTACCTTATCACTTAAAACGTCAGTGAAAAGTATTCTGTTGGCAGCAGTTTTAGGAATCTATGTATAATTCTATCACAGAGAGAAATCTGACTTTCTTTATTTCATTGTGAGAATGGAGAAACATAACACACACAGAGGCTTACAACTTTATATGGAAGCTACTTTCAAATAAAAAAAAGATTTGTGCATGGTACTACAATAAAGGATAACATCTGGGGCAATAAAATTAGAATGTGATAATGAAATAACATGAACAGAGTCATTTGAATAAGCTTGTAGGGTGCAAGATGTCAGCAGGTCTCATACTGAGCATGGTCTGTCTTATTGTCTTATTTCCTTTCCCATAAAGCCTTGTTGAAGGAGTCCTTTGAACTCATAAAAGTGAGATCAATACCAACATTATCCCTCCACCTCTCCCATTATAAACAAAGTTGTTTTTCTTTCTCATTTTTTGCACCCCAAATTTGATATATAATATGATTTAGATCTTTTGAAATGGGTGCTGATGTGTGAGTGTTAGGCCTAAAATGAAAAATATCAGGATTAATATAGTCAGAACGATTCACCTTTTAAAAAGCAATGTGCCCTGTGCTTCAGCTGTGGGAAATGGAGATTGCCAGTTTCATTACTTACCCCAGGAATTCTCCTCCTTTTAACAACCGATTAATTTTGCCATTGTTTGGTCTAAATTATACCTATTTTCTCCTAAAGAAACTACAGTAAGATCTCTTGTAGACAGATAATCACTATAGTTCCTGAACAAGGATTGATCTTTCTTGTTTTCTCTCAGGAAACATTAAGTTTGTTTTATTCATTATGGCCTCTGTTTTAAGATATATTAAAGACATATTTACAAAGATTTGTATTCATGTGACCTTCTTTTCTGAACATCAGCAAGTCTCTCTCAGTGAAGGTCACTACCTGATCAAGAATTGGAAATTTTCATAAATATTCTTGAAACATAGGCCACGGGCAGGATATCCAATAAGTTTTATATAGAAAATATAGCCAGAGCTTTTGTCACTTCACAGTTCAGTCAGAATGGCAGTTGTTTATTGAATCAAAAGTTTAACATACACATCCTTTACTTCAGCATGTAATCTACTCTTTGTTGGTGGTTAATGAAAAATCTTCTGTTCAGATGTTTGCAATGCATATGTAAGTTGAATGGTAGAATCTGGATCTTATAACTTCCCAGATAAATGGAAAGTTATTTTGCATCATAAATTTGAATATCCATAAACATAAATTTTACCTAAAATTAAGGCAATTATTATGTTATCATAATAAGATAAGTAACAAAAAATATAGCTGAGTAATATGTGGTAACAATGAATCTTAAGAGAATAGATTTTGTAAGCTGTAGGTCATTGTATCCCAAGTGTTCTACAATAATTAAAACAAAAAATAAAGAAAGATACCCATGAAGTTCTACTTTTAGAGACCAATAGTGTAAGCATTGAAATTTTTTTATTTAGTCATAACTGCCACTGTTTCACAATTATACGATATAAAGAATTTAAAGTAGCTTAAATGATAAACATAAAAATCCCTTTTACATTTTGAAAATATTTACAAATCCTATGTTATGATTGGTTGATATGTCTTTGTTAGAGGGAATAGGCTATATAAATGTATGTAAATATATATTTAAATATATATATATAACAACACACACATGCCTACATAATTTTACTATGTATTTAAAATATGTTCCTATTGATAGACAGTGGTAATGTACACATTGTTAAACTATTTGAAATGATTGTCTATAGGATATATAATTTTGAATCCCACAATGCTTAACACACTATCAAACATTAAGTATGTTTTTATGTTCACAGAAAATTTGTTACATTGAAATCAATTGAGAAATTGATTTTTGTATACGTCTTTCAAAAAGTAGTGAAAATTGATATTTAAATAACAATGAATAAATATTCTAGTTTAATATTAAAAGGTGTAAATCATTCTTAAGATAACTGAAACATTCATTTATTTCTGAATCAAAAATATAACCATGGGCAATAGAATATAGAAACTGTATTCAAAACTATCGTTGAAACTATACCTCCTGCATTCTCAAAAATTGTGTTTGCTATCTAGTAGTAAATGTACATGAAATAGGAAAAATAAATTAAATTGAAACTTTAGAAAAAGAAAAACAATATGAAAAATAGTACATAAAGAAAAGTTAGGCAGAAAGATCCATAGATATGTTTAATTATATTAAAGAATATATGCTAAAATCATTAGAAAACTGAAATTGAGAAATATCGAAGGACATATAAAGGAGAAAAACATTGGTAGTGTAGATTTATTAAAATGTGTAAAATTTAGGAATTCACAAGAATAAGGTTATAATTAATCAGATAATAAAGAATTAATATTTTAAATTCAAAAAATTCTAAAATAGTAAATAAATTATATGGATGAAGCTGAAAACCATCATTCTCAGCAAACTAACACAAGAACAGAAAACCAAACACTGCATGTTCTCACTCATAAGTGGGTGTTGAACAATGAGAACTCATTGACACAGGGAAGGGAACATCACCCACCGGGGCCTGTCAGGGTGTGGTAGGCTAGGGGAGGGATAGCGTTAGGAGAAATACCTAATGTAGATGACTGGTTGATGGGTTCAGCAAACCACCATGGTATGTGCATATCTAAGTAACAAACCTGCATGTTCTGCACATGTATCCCAGGACGTAAAGTATAATAAAAATATTCTCCAAAAATATATAGTAGAATTTTATACATTCTGCAAATAAAATTACAAAATGATAAAAAATCAAGGCCACCTGAATTCAGACCACTTAATTTTTTGTGGTTTTAAAAAGTGAAATTTTCAAAAACAAATTATGATATGTAGAATGCCATTTCACTTATTTCTATCTACCTCAGAAAGATATACTATCCAGTAGTCCATTTGTAGATTGTTTATTAAATTTTCTAATAGGAACATTATCTCCTTTGGATCAAATTCAATTTATACAGGGAAATACTTGAAGGCCTCCACCCCACATTATACATCCAGAAATCTTGAATTTAATAGCTATTTGAGTGTTGCTGAGCTTTAGAAGAAAGGATAAACCTTCCCTTTAAGGTCCTTGTTGACGTTTAGTGCAGAGATAAGTCCTCAGGTCTATGCAAAATAGTCCCTATTCTAAGTTTCACCCTTACACTTCTGGGGCCACAAATGTCCAAATGCAAAACCAAGTGGCCATGAGCCATCAGGTTTGACCTCAAAAATTTGAATTCCTAACTGAAAGTTACATTTTTCTTTGCATAACTTCTTCTTACATTTTTCTTTGCATAACTTCTCTCAGGGCTAAGACTCTTTCCTTTCATTTTTTAATTAATAAAGTGATGCTTATATTGTTTGTTTAAGTAAAATAAAAATGTGTGACTTATCAGAAAAGAGGTGTTTATATTAGAGTTTATTTTCCTTCCTAAATGATTTAAAAATAGGCAAATGACCTGCATAGACATATATCAAAAGAAGATATACAAATGGCCAACGGGAATGTGAAAAAATATAAAAAGCTCAACCTCACTAAATATCAAGATAATGCAAATTAAATCCACAATGAGATGCCACCTCATACCAGTTAAAAATGGTTACTATCAGAAAGACAAAGGTGTTGGAGAGAATGTGGAGAATAAAAAATCCTTGCACACTGTTGTTGAGAAGGTAAATTAGTACAGCTGCTATCGAAAACACTACGGAGGTTCCATAATAAATTAAAAATAGAAAAAGATGGACTAGTCAACCCAAAATAAAGAGATCTGTAAAATCGAAGAGTTAAAATGTTCTAGAGAATTAATATAAGTTGAAGCCCAGTCCTCAGTTATTAAAATCAGTCAATATATATAAAGGATTCAATAAATTATATATATATTTTTATATATAAATTATTTAAATATTTGTTTACATATAAATTATATATAATTTGTTTAATACAAAAGCATCTGGACAAATCAGTTTTAATGCAAACTTAATGTAGGTTAAAACTTAATGTAAGTTAAAATACAAAAGAAATATATTGGATTAGCTTGAATTAAAGTCTTTTGTTATGAAGCAAAAGACACTAGCTTTTCTAAAGGAAAGCATCATGGGGCAAAAAACGTTCCAATAATTGAAAAAGGAAGATAGTACATTTAGTTTAATCAGTATTGAAAGTAAAGGGAGTTATAAATTGGGCTGTTAACTCACACAGAAAGTAATTTTTGTAGCTAAAGAATCTCAAAAGACAAAGGAAAATGATCTATGTTTCCTAAGAGAGAAAAAATACGGAGTTATTTAAGTAGTACATAGTGAAAATAAGGCAAACTGTGATGTGTGAACCTGTAAACTGGATTTTGGTAATAGAGAAACTGCCATAACATTCATCATGAGACTTAGAATAAAACTGAAAGGGAACCCTTTGATTAAAGATAATTCTTTCTCTATCTTTCAGTCGTATCTAGTTTCCAACTGTTTGTAAATCTCATCTGAACACAAAACTCTCTTCTCTTGCCTTTCATTCTTTTCTGCTCTCGCTTTGCTTTAAAAAATATTTTAGGTCAGCTTCACAACAACAAAAAATTAATTCCACAGGGCTTTAGGGATATTTTTTATATAAAAATGTAATTAAAATGAATAATCAGTAGTATTCTACTCAAGAAAATTTGAACTCAATATATTAGATTAAGTAATAAAGCATAAAGAAAGAAACTTTTTTGTTCTACTCAGGGTGTGAAGAACTGTATAGAACATTATTCCTAGCTTTATCATAACACAAAAATTTGCAAAAACTGTAAATTCATGACTTTCCTTGAATTTGCTAGAGAGCTGATGTCGCAGGGCAACGAATGACCTACTCAGAAATCTATGGAGAGACTGGCTGTATGTAGCAGAGAACGATGGAGGACAAGCTCTTGCTTTCCTGAGACAGTTTGAATCAGCTTGAATAATTGATAAGTTGGAGGAGGCCGAGTGTGGGTGAACTGGTACAAGAATGTGAAGCCCCTAGGGGTTACAGAAATTAGGAGAGTTTATAGCCTCCTATAGGCTTTTCTCCACCATCTTCACAAGACAGACAGACACACACGCACTCACATACACACAGGATGAAGATTGGTGAGAGCCCTGAGAAATTTTCTCTTAGCATGCAGGCCCGTGGGAGAGGAGCAACAGTCTGAATAGGAGGGACAGGAAACCAAAGCTGAACCCTTTTCCCTATTCAAATAAGGCAGCAAACACTCATATCTTTAGGTCATTGGGAATACTCATTGCAGTTGGAGTAATGGAAAAGGAAGTCTCTCAGGAGGGACGGGAATATACTCTGGACACAGAGATAGTAATGGGAGGGGGCAGGATCAACAAGAAAGTCACACTCTTGAGATCCAGAGAGATAATGTTTGTCTAAGACTGAGGTGTGATGAGAACAGAGAATGGTCTCCTAGTCTGCCGCCACCAGGTTAACAAGTGTCTTGTAACAAGTAACAGTGGAAAACGCTAGGAAAGTTGCAAGAATGTGGAGATAGCCCTTACAGAGGCAGGGCGAGAAGAGAAAACCTCAGCTGACAGTGAAACAGGAAAATCTTCTGTCAAACTAGCCCAGCACACAAAAATAAACTACTACAAACGGAATTTGAAGCCTGTGGTCAAGTGAGGGTAATCCTAGAAACAACAAACCTAAGCCCAGCCCAACTTTTATTTTTTTTTCCATTTTTTTATTGTAGTAAAATATGCATATCATAAAACTTACCATCTTAACCATTTCTAAGTGTACAGTTCAGTGACTTCAAATTCATTCATAATGTGCCACCATCATTACCATACACCTCCATAATACTTTTAATCTTGTAAATTTGAAACTTTATACTCATGAAACAATAATCCTCCATTTACCCCACTTCCCAGTCCCTTGCCACCACCGTTCTATTCTTTGTTTGTTTGTTTTTTTAGTACTCTGTGTACCTCATATAAGTGGAATCATACTTACTTTTTGTGACTAATTTTACATAGCATAATGTCCTCAAGATTCATCCATGTTGTAGCATATGTCTGGATTTTCTTCCTTTTTAAAGTTAAACAATATCCCATAGTATGTAGATACCACATTTTGCTTATCTGTTGATGGATACTTGGGTTACTTTCAGATTTTAACTATTGTGAATAATGCTGCTATAAATATGGGTGTATGAATATCTCTTTGAGACCCTGATTTCAATTTTTGGGGATATATTCTGGAGCAGAATGGCTGGATCATATGGTAATTATATTTTTAATATTTTGGAGAACTTCCATACTGTTTTCTACAGCAGCTGTATCATTTTACATTCCCACCAACAGTGAACAAGGGTTTCAGTTTCTCCACATCCTTGCCAATACTTATTGTTATCTGTGTTTTTGATAGTCACTCTAAAGGGTATTAAATAATATCTCACTGTAGTTTTGATTTCCATTTTCCTAATGATTAGTAAGGTTGAACATATTTTCATGTGCTTACTGTCCAATTGTATATCTTCTTTGGAAAAATGTCTATTCAAGATTTTTGCCCATTTTGGAATCATATTTTGGTTATCTTTTAGGAATTACCTATATGTTCTGGCTATTTCTTTATTGGACATATGATTTGCAAATATTTTCTCTCATTCTGTAGGTGTAATTTTTAGTCTGTCAATATTGTCTTTTGGTGCATTTAAAAATTTTTCATGAAATTCAATTTATCTATTGTATCTTTTATTGTTTGGGTCTTTGATGTCATATCCAAGAAATTACTGACATGTCTAATGTTGTGTATATTTTGTTCTATGGTTTCTTTTAAGTTTATTTTAGTTCTAGGGTTTGCATTTAGGAATTTTATGCATTTTGAGTTAATTGTTGTATATGGTGATAGGTAAGTGTCTAACTTATTCTTTTGACCGTGAATATCCAGTTTTCTCAGCATTGTTTCTTGAAAAGACTGTCCATTCAGCATGAGTGGTCTTGACACTCTTGTTAAATATAATTTGACTATACATGAGATAATTTATTTTTGGTCTCTCTATTCTATTCCTATTGTACATATGTCTTTATGCTAATGCCACACTATTTTGGTTTACTATAGCTGTGTAGCAAGTTTTGAAATCAGAAAACTTCCAGCTTTTTTCTTCTTCTTAAAGATTGTTTTGGCTATTTGGAGGTCCCTTAATATTTTATACAAATTATAGGATGGGTTTTCTATTTCTGCAAAAAATATTATTATGATTTTGTGAAGGATCGCAGATTGCTTTGGGTAGTATTTTGATATTAACAATATTGAGTCTTCTATACCATGAACACAGGCTGTATTTCTATTTATTTATGTCTTCTTTGATTATTTTAAACAATGCTTTGTAGTTTTCCTTGCACAAGGCTTTCACCTCCTTGGTTAATTTAATGCCTAATATTTTATTCTTTTTGATGCTATTATAAATATGATTTTTTCATAATTTCTTTTTCAGATTGCTCACTGATAGTTTAAATAAATGTAACTTATTTTTGCATTTTGATTCTGTATCCACCTACATTACTGAAATTATTTATTAAACAATTCATTTTTTGTGTGGAATCTTTAGTTTTCTACATAAAATATCATCTACAAAAAGATCTTTTTATTTCTTCCTTTATATTTGGATGCCTTTTATTTATTTTACTTTCCTAATTGTCTGGCTGGGACTTTCAGTAGTATGTTGAATAGAAATGGCAAAAGTGGGTATGCTTGCCTTGATCCTGATGTTGGAGGTAAATTTTTTAGACTTTCACATTGAGTCTAATATTCCCTGTGTGTTTTTCACATATGGATTTTATTATGTTGAAGTCATTTCTTTCTACTCCTAGAAAATGGTCAACAAACCAAACATTTGTAAATTTTCTTAGATACACCAGAGAATGTAGGTTGCAGGACAACTTCCTCTCTGGTATCTGGGGAGACAGGTAAATCCAGAGAGCCACAGTCAAGATGTGTTTACCTGAAGCAGTATCCTCTGCAGCTATGAACTAGTAAAAATATGTAAATGACAACTTTGATGAATTGTTAAAGGCTGAGTGTGTATTAGTGTGAGTAACTCCCAGGGGCCACGTTCTTCAGGGCATTCCTCACTTTCATCATTTTACCTTCCCAATCCCTATTAAGTTCGGACGGTGAAGATTCAAGAAAAATCACAGTGTGGCTTTGGAAGTGGAAGGGGAAGATTAATCATTGTGAAGTACGCCTTCATAACAAAGGTCTATTATCCTGGGAAAAAAGGCTTTTACATAGTCTTATCCTCCTAAAAGGCATTTATCCAAATCCAGCCCTTTCTAACATTCATGTCTCACCTACTGTGTGTGTATAAAGAAGAAGCCGTACTCCTGAGAAATACCTGTTAAGGTCACAATCTCAAATCACAGTCCCATTAAGAGACTGAAATTTAACTCTAATATTGTAGAATGGTTTTATTCTCCCATGCCTCACCATAGCATCAAGGTTGTTTCAGAATAAAAAAGTAGATTGCAACTGAAAAGGAACAAGATGCAGACTCTCTCTAAGTAATGCCACTTAGAGAATCCCAACTCAAGGGAGGAGACAAAAAACAAAGGTATTAGATCAATTAGAAGTTTCTAATATTTACTCATAGAGCAATCAGTAAACATAATCTACTTCTAGCCAGGTTAATATACAAGCTTACACTAACATCGTATTTACTTAAATTCCTGTTACCTAATACTACATATCTGAATTCCAATAAAAAAATCACAAGGCATGCCAAAAGGCAAGAAAAAACACAGCTTAAAGAGAAAGAGCACAGATCAGAACTAAATTTAGATATAACACAAATGTTGGCAATTTGAAGTAACTATGATTAATAGGTTATTGCTTGCAAATAGACAACATGCAAGAACTGATGAGTAATATATGCAGGGATTTAGAAACTCTAAGAAACAATCTGAAGAAAATGTCAGAAATTGGTCAGGTGCAGTGGCTCAAGCCTGTAATCCCAGAACATTGAGAGGCCAAGGTGGGTGGATCACCTGACATCAGGAATTCAAGACCAGCCTGGCCAAAATAGCGAAACCCCGTCTCTACTGAAAAAAAAAAAATACACAAAAATTAGCTGGGCATGGATGTTGCATGCCTATAATCCCAGCTACTCCAGAGCCTGGAGCAAGGGAAATTGTTTGATGTTAGGTAAAGGTGAACCTGGGAGGCAGAGGTTGCAGTAGGCAGACATTGTGCCACTGCTCTCCAGCTTGGACAACAGATTGAGACTCTGTGTCAAAACAACAACAACAACAACAACAACAACAACAAACAGGAAAAGAAAATGTTGGAAATTAAAACACTGAAAAAGAAATAAAAAACATATTTGATGGGCTCATCAATAGCCTGGACATGAGTATAAACACATAGACATACACACACACACACACACACACACACACACACACAACCCTATAAAATTCTATAGCCAACAAAATAATTTTTAAAAGTGAAATATAGTTTTCAAGTCTGGCTAAATTGAATAATCGTTGTATTCTAGCTCTCACTGATTACAACAACAACAAAAAAACAAAACAAAAGAAACTGAAAATAATTAAGCAACAGTTCAGGCCCTTAAAAGTGCATAATCGCAGGTAGGTAAGGAGATAAATCAAACCCAAAATAATGGCTGATGTGGTGGTTATATCTTTTGCTGTTGTTTCATACATTCAGGTTTAGACTAAATGATGACTGCTGTTTCAGAACTGTGCAGTGAGCACAGATGAAAAAAAAGCCTCAGGAAAAATCATATCTCTTTTTCTTTACAGAGGTCCAAGAAAGGAGACTGTAGGAATAATCCCCCTTTTAAAAATTCATTTATTATTTGTTTTAGGCTCAGGGAACCAGGTAAACCATGAAACTTTACTGTGGTGTCAGCAGTGATTTAAAAGTTACTAAAATTATGAGACAAAAAATGCTATCTGGCCAGAGGAACTGTTCCCCTTGTGGTCTAAATTTTGTGCAGGGAATCCTTGTTATTTTTCTCTTTCTGCTTAGCCCCCGAAGCAGACCATTGAAGATATGTCATTTTCTCAAATTCTCTAACATAGGGAGGTAAAAACACCACGGTTTTAGCCAGAGGACCAAGATAAAATGAATTCTAGCAGCCATAGGAAGTGAGGAAATAGAAGAAGATAGAAAAATGGAAAATGAGATCTCCTAAATATGTATATAACATCTTATGCCTGCCTCTGAGCTGCACACATGTGGAACTGAGTTAATCATTGTTGTCTCACCCTAAGCAGGTTGATTGCCTACTAAAGAAAAGGAAAAAAAAATCAAGTAATGTCCACAGGGTTTTTTACAGAATTGAACTTCACATAATGTAAGAGCAAAAATGTTTAGGATACAATGTAAAATCAGTTGACACACACAGAACAAGAAAAATTTCAACAACCATCAAGGGAAGAGAAAATCAGCAGACTTTAACCTGAAGCCAGCTTGAATGAGGGGCCATTGGCCAATTCTACAACAACTTAACAAAATAAATACATATTATAATGGATTATAAACAATATATTAAAATAAAAATGAGTTGATAGTGATATAAATGGATAAATAAATGGAGAGAAGGGAAACTCTTGTAGCACAATGTCAACTAATCAATCTAAGAGAAATGATACAGTTAGAAATGATGATTTCATTAATGGCTGCCAAAAAAGGGATAAAGGTTTAATAAGAAACAGGATACGTATATATATTTACATAATCTCAAATATATTTCTGAAAATTACTTGTTCCAAAGAGTCATATAGTAATTTACATTACACTAGAGAAAAATGGCAGACATCTTTGATCAAAATTAACAGAATTACTTCTTGACCCAGTGTTTCAGTTACTTCAGTTTAAAACTTAGTCCAGTGCAATTTATATTGACAATTTTAAATGAAAATCTTAAGTCTAACTTGTTTGCTATAACCAGGAGCTGCTTGTGGTAGAGAGCTATGCAGACTGAAGTTCAATCTCTCTTTTGTCACTACACCTCCTCAGCTTCACCGGAGAGCTCTGCTGACCGGATGAGCAAAGCACGAGTGTTTGCGCGTAAGAATGCCCGTGCAATCATGGTAGGGAGGGTATAATTTCATTTCTTACTGTTCACTTCTTACTTGTCTTCAGCTGTCCCTAAATTTCAGGTTTCAACTGTTGATCAGGAGCCAGTCTTAATGTATAACATATCAAGCAAGTTTCAAATTCAAAGCTATTTTCATGACAACCTTTCCACAAGCAGGAGGGTCTCCATGTAGTCCATATGCCCTAGCCTGTTGTATCCCAGTGCAGCTATCACCTTGGCCAGGGGTCAATGTCTTCTTCTGCTCTGTGACCTGAAATGGACCTATTGGAAACAGAAATCCCCACCAAGTCCAAAAGGAAAATTTGGGCCAATGCAATCTTTGACTTCTACTAACTTTTTGGACTTCCTACTGTAGTTTTGTTTTCTTTTCCTGCTCACACCGCTAGAGTGAGAAAACAGGTGCCTCAAGCCATCAAGCATTTAATTTTAGAACAGAAACTCAAATATCTTTCCGTGAAAGCGCCGACTCCTTTCAGATATAAAAGTATGTCTTATATCACAGAATATCCCTGAATTTAACTATGAGGAGGTTATTTTGTTTTGTTTTGTTTTTTAATAATCCTGGAATAGTTGGGGAGACTCTGGAAAACAGAACATAATCCCCATTGACACTTTACATTGTTGTGCTTCAACTATATATTTTACACCTACTGCTTTTTGGATATCTTTTATTTAAAATAATATTTCCAATTTCAAAGATCAAAATATTATAAATCAATGTTTCTCAAACTCTTGGAAAATGTCTGGTATAAAAATAATCCCAGAAGACTTTAATTCTAATTCAAATTCTACATTGAAAATCATAGCTTCAAGTCTTCATTAACTTCTGGTATCCAGCATCTATAAAACAAAATACATAAACAAAATATATAACAAAAATCTGGAAGGAAGGAAGGAAGGAAGGAAGGAAGGAGCGAGCGATGGACAGGGAGAAAGAGAGGGAGGGGGAAGGGAGGGAGGGAGGAAAATGCTTACAAGCAAACTTTCTCCTCTTTGTCCCTCCCTTTCTTCCTTCCTTCCTTCTTTCCTCTTTTTCCTCCCTGCCTACCTACCTGCCTGATGCCGGCTTTCACAAAACAAATGTTTATTAGGCATTTTTAAGTAAAATTCTTTTGAATAATCTTTGAATAATAATATTATCATAATCATAATATTTGAATCATAATATTAATGACATCTCTACAGTATCACTCATTGAAACATAGATCAGTTATATTCAAGATTTGAGTCATCATTTCAATCATATTCATGAAACCAAGAAATGGATACAAAAATGGATGTTTATGATTCTAGGTGAGATATTTAAAAGTGTATGTAAGCCCAAAACAAAATATCTTTCAGACATTTCTCTGCAAAGCTGATAAACTGCTTTTTGGTCCAGAAGATAAAATGTCATAAAGCCCTGTAAGCTGAACCATGAGATCAGGTATCAGTGTGAAGATTTAGCAGCATCTAATTGTGATTTCATTAAGGTCTTAATAGAGTCCTAGGGTTTCAGCAGTACGAAGATGACTAGGATTCCACAGTGAACATGCAAAGCTTGATGACCATTCACTACAATTAGTATCTGTATAGTTTTATAATTTATTGGAAAGGAACTAGTAGAAGAAGATTCTGTCCACAAAGCTGACCAATACTGTCAAATTGGTATTGCTTCAATTTGGAGATAAGAAACCACAATTCCACTGAATCACAGAAAGCTCTTCTCCCGTTCCAGAATCAAGTTGCTAGAATAGTCTACCTTCAAAAACTGGGCATCTATAGATAAAATCGTTCATTATCCATTTTTCTACTAAAACACCAGAATACAAAGAAAACTATTTTGCAATGTTCCACTTATAGGAAACATTATATATGGGTTTAAAAATTGTTTGAGAGTTCGGTTTAAAGTTCTTATGTCAACTTAAAAAAACATAATTGCATAAGATGAATGTACAGAAAGCAAAAAAAAAAAGAAATCTTGGTGCATATAATTCAATAAGAAGTTAATTGCTATATTGAAGAGAAGACATTAAGGATTATACTGATAGACTACAGGTCATATTTGGCAGCTTTCCAAATTAACCCACTTCAGGGAGGTCTGGTGATTCATGGCCACATTCTGTCCCTGAATAAAGAACCTTATCATAAGTTCCTCAAATAGTTGATGTACTGATTGATATGTAATATACTGGCAATGAAAAAAACACTGACTTATTTTGGAATCAGAAACTCTTACTAATTTTCTTGCATGTAGACATTTTAGCTTGTATATTGCAATCTGAAGCCAGTGATTGTAACTTCTATATAGAAGGACAACTTTCATATGAGGAATCCCTCCACCTTCTCCTAATCGCTTTTATAAAAGCCTTCTATCTTGTAATACGTCTCCGGAATACTCCCAAATTTGTTGCTGTGACTTCCCAGGTCAGTCCTCATATTTAGCTTCCAATAGACCTTTATCAAATTAATTCTGCCTTAACAGCCTTAATTTCAGTTGGCAATATTATGTTTCCAGATTCTGGAGCAATAAGAAGACTGCCAAACAGTCATCAAAATTTTCTGGCCTCCCTAGCTGAGTATCTTACTCTACTAGGTATATCATTTTCAATATACAGCAGGTCCTTTAATAACATCATTTTGTTCCATTCATTTTGTTATAAGGTTGATGAGAAAATAAAAATTGATTTCCTGGCTGGGGCCACTTTTCTGTGTAGAATTTGCATCATCTACTAATGTCTGTGTGGATTTTCACCAGGTACTCTTGTTTCCTCTCATATCCTAAAGAGGTGTATGTTAATTTCTTTTCTTTTGTTTCGTTTTTCTCTTTCTTTTTTTCTTCCTTTTTCTCTTTCTCTTTCTTCTTTATTTATTTATTTATTTATTTATTTATTTATTTATTTATTTATTTTTGAGCTAGAGTCTCAATCCATTGTCCAGGCTGGAGTGAAGAGGCATAATCTCAGCTCACTGCAACCCCCGCCTCCCGGGCTCAAGCGATTCTCTTGCCTCAGCCTCCCACGTAGCTGGGATTACATGTGCCTGCCACCGCGCCTGGCTAATTTTTGTATTTTTAGTAGAGACAGGGTTTCACCATGTTGGCCAGGCTGATCTCAAACTCCTGACCTCAAGTGATACGCCGGCCTCAGCCTTGTTAATTTAATTGGTGCGTGTACATTGTCCCAATTTTGGAATGAGTGTGGGTGTGTATGTGAGTGAGCCCTTCAATGGAATGGAGTCCTTTCCAAGGTTGACTCCCTTCTTGTGCCCTGAGCTGCTGGGATAGGTTCCATCAACCATGAACAAGAATAAGCAGGTAGCAAAATGAATGAATGAAGGAATGAGTGAATAATACAAATTATTGCAAAATAAAAATATGTAAAGTCTATGATAATCATACAAATGCGCAACAATAAACAATGTGATATGAAAGCACTCAGCAAGCATGCTGTATTTTTTATTGTTTTTGAATTGTGTGGTGGTAAGATGTGCTTCTTACAATTTTTGTTTTGCATACTTTTTTTTTATTATTATTTAACGCACCGCTATGACCACCATGACTCACAGGTTCACCAAGAACTGGGGAAATAATTATCCTACTTTTTAAAAACTTTCTTAAATGTATCTATAGCTCATATTTATTTCAATGTTTAATATTGGAAGTGTTTTGGTTTTTATTTAGAAGCCTGGTGATGTTACTGTAGCTAGAAATACACCACGGAAAATTAACTCTCGTTTATGTCAATTTGCCTAGGATCTAATTGTTTTCATTATTCATCGTTTCACTTAAAGTCACAGTTTCCAAGTACCTATGGATGATGTTAAGTGAGGGCTTACTGTATTTAAAATTAAATTCAATATATTTAACAGCTGTTCTTCTATTCACACACCCATACATACACATCAAATAAAAGGAAAACATCTTGGATTCTTTTTGTTTGTTTGTTGTTTGTTTGTGTGTGTGTGTGTGCTTAAACATGGTAGGACTCCTATTATCCATTTGCTGGGGCAAGCAGCCTGAGGGTTTTTTTAAAGTTTTCTTGTGGCTATGTCAATGTCATCTTCAGTAAGACACTTTTTAGCTTTCCTTCTCAATGAAGATATCTCTCCTTTTCTCTCTCCTTTTGCACTGATTCTTTCCTTCTTTATTTTAGATTTTCATTTTGTTTTGATCACGGTTACTATTATAACGTTGTGAATGATTTCCTCTCTCTTTCTCACACTCTCCACATTATAGTCTCATGAATAATTTTGAGGCTCTCCCAGAGTAATCTTATTTTTTTAAATCGAAAGATGATGTCATTTCCTGATTAACAGTTATTTATTGTTCTTAGGATAAAATGCAAATGCCTTATTATGGTGTACAATACCCCCAAAATATGGTCTTTTCTTTTTACTCAACACCAAATATGCTTTGTATTTCAGACATGCTAATGTATTTAAAGTTTTTCAAATTAGTTATACTTTTGCATGCCTCCACAAATTTCCTCTATCTGGATTCATCTTCTGCCCTTTTCTTTACCTGATTGGTTTCTTGAACAGAAGAAAAACTATCTCCCTAGAAATCATCTCTTGACTGTAATAAAAATATTCTTGAAGCACTTTGTAAATTTTTAAAATCTAACTTGCTATATATGCTCTTTCACTGCCAATGCCCTTATAATGTGCAGAATAAACAGATTATTAAAGTGCAATGCCTACTTTCAAAGTTGTATTCATTTGGGAAATATTAAAATGTCTGAAAATGTAGTATGCATAAGAACATATAACATATTTTATTGTAGGAATTTTCTCTACCAATTTTTATAAAACCCAACTTCTAAACCTTTTAAAAGCAACCTTTCCTTTAACAAGTCTGTGTCAGTATCTTCTCAAGTGACCACCAAAACATAATCTCATATCCCTTTAATGCATTATCAACACTGCTGGCAGACTGATGTTTCTGAAATATAGATTGAATTCTGTAACTTCCCAGCTTAAAAGCTTTCAATGGCACCACGACGTCTATGGGATAAAATTAAAACTTGGTGACATTGCCTTCGTGGCCTATTAAAACTTGACTCTAAATTACGTTTGATGCTTTATCTCCTACAAATCCCCCTCTGATTCTAGCGACAAGAAACCATATCATCCCTTGAACCTACCATAACTCCTAACACCTCTTGCTACTGCATGTTATTTATTTTTCTGAAATACCATTTCCACTTGAAAAATCAATACTTACACAATTACATTTCCTTTCAAGTTTTTCTTCTCTGCCCTCTCCCTTGTTGTATTAGTTACTCATTATTTCATAGTCCCCAATATCTAATATCTAATGCACTGTTCTGCTATGTTATATTTTCACTTAGAATGAACACTTATCTATTAGACTGGAGATTCCTCAAATACACAAGCTATGTTTATTTTTCTTTGTTCTTCAAGGGCTAATCACACAATATGTTCTAAGGGATTTACACATGTTTGTAAAATGAATGAAAAAACAGAATAAAAGTGTGGACTCATAACCCTACATATATATTTGGTTTATTATTATTTTATTCATCTTTATTATTTTATTCATATTGACGATTAAAACATATTGTCAATCCATATTATACATATAAAAATATAAATATATATTATATATTCATATATTATACATATACAAATATAATAATCCATATTATACAAACACAAAGATATATTATATATTTGTATATTATACATATACAAATATGTATTACACATACAAAGACCAGTATAAGGTGTATATTCATAGTTTAAATAATCATAATCATAATAAAAAGAATACTTGTACTCACCATAAGAAAATGGTTACTTTGATTAAGTAAATATTATATTGTGTGCCAAGGTGTAAACGTGGCATTATATAAACCCCTGGATGATGGTACTAGCAAAGGCACAGGGGCTAGAAAGGCAAACCCAAATCTTAGAGAAACACCTATTCCAATAAGAATGGACTACTGTTTGGACAAGTCTGATATAATCAATATATTGCTAAGTGATTGACATGTCCCATTAGTTGACGCTACTCTATTGAGTGCTCTATGTTTGTCTCTGATGTTGGCAGGCTGGACTATCAGCAATGGCAGTAGTGAGATCTGACAAAGAAAGGAAAACCTTGTTTTCGTCCTGTTCTCTTAATGGGCTCATTGTTCAAGTTGGACGGCTGAGTGGCTGAGACAAATTGTGTTTTATATCCTTACAAGGATTCCACTTATTTCTCTTATTTTTAAGTGCTTCCTCTGTATTGGATACTTTTAGGTAGATATCAACGTGAGACACAGTTTCTTACGCTGTTTGCCCACTCTCATGATCTATTCATGTGCTTCTTCTGCAAAATTTTTATTGTTTCCTCACTGAAGCCCAAACTTGCTCTTATTAGATATCCCAATGTTGCACTTTTCAGGAATTTACACCTCTTCACGTAAATTATTTTTTGTTCTAGACCTGCGAATTTCCAAATCCAAATGCACCATTTCAATTATGCAATAAAAGTATATTGCATATGTTTGACCTCACTCCTGGATACCTGCTCTTTCTGTATAGTCAACAGATGTTCCACATGCAGTGTTTCTTTTTCTGCTGGGCTCTGTAGCACATAAGAATGTGGTTTTCCGAGAGTGCTTAGTTCTCTTCTGCAGATGGCCTGACCCTGAAATACATGCAACATCTTTATCCATCTTGGATACTTCTGACACCACTATATTTAACAGCCAGGTGGCTAATGTCCAGGGAAGTTTGCACTGCACTAGAACCATAGTTCTGATTGTTAAAAAAAAAAAAAAAAATACTAAGTTCTATGTCTATGACTCTACCTTAGTGGTAGGATTTGTGAAGAACAATAACCTATCCTTTGTTTTAGGAAGCAAGTCCTTATTGATGTGGCAGGACTGTCATCTTTCTGGAGTTCATTTACCACTTCTGGGAAACATGTAATTTACTAGGGTGTCCAGTCTCCTTATTTCAGACCAGGTAAAATTAGCATAATGAAATGAATACAGTGACAAGTGTAATGCCCCATAAAATTATAAGATATACTCAAGGTCTCAGAATGGTATAATGAGATAAAGTCAAGGACATTTTCATACCCCTGGTCCAAAACTGTCAATGAATAGAGTGATACAAAAATATATTACTTCTGATACATTTTTATTGATGGAGATAGAAGAGAATGTATTCTCTACATCAATAGTGACATCCAAGTACCAGAAGTTATATTCTATTCCAGAAACACATCCAGCAAAGCAGTTGCACATGTGGTATCATCCTTTAGGTTTATATTAATCCTCTATTACCCAGTATAGGCCATCTATGTTTTGAAAGGGCCGTACAGGTAAACTAAATAGAGATATCATAAAAGCAATTACCTCTGACTCCTCAAAAACTTTGAAGTTGTCAATAATTCCTGCAATTCTTCTTGACGTACAGTACTCTTTTTTATTGACTATCTTGGCCTTGAGGGTAAGAGGGATGATGCTGGAGTTTTCTGCTGGTCTTTCATTCTGCAATGGCTCACCCTTAACAGGTCAGGAACTAATAAGATTCTAAGTATATCCATCCTAGTGTTACAAGTGAGTTCCATGGAAATTGCCACTGTGACTTGGTCTGGACTCCATTTATTACCTGAATTCCATAATACCTTTCTCAAGCCTGAATTCCATAACACCTTTCTCAAGCCTGAATTCCATAACACCTTTCTCAAGCCTGAATTCCATAACACTTTTCTCAAGCCAAGGAGCTATGATTGTGTTTCAGATCAGCAATATCACTGCCAACTTAGACCCTGAACTAAAAACCCTTGAAAGATATGAGTAATCAAATTTCTCCAGTGTACATTTATTCTGGTAAAGGATCTCAATGGAACATACATTGAATATACTTGCATTGGCATTACACAGTCCTTCTTCTAGGTGACCTAGTCCTCCTATTGAGCTCTGGGCTGAGAACTGGCTTATACATGAAAAGGGTCTAAGAGATTGCAATTTTCTATTGCTTGTCATCTTTTGATTATTCAGGTTATATAATCAAATCACAACTTAGTTGGCTGCCTTTGTATTTCATTCCTAGAAAAACTATGATATATTACTTCCCTGTAGGATAAGTCACTCTTGTTTCTTTTACTGTCATGAGGTTTATTATGGTCATTTTACTCACCTTATCTGTTGGTTAAATGTTGTCACTAGGCTCCTGCAATTCCCAAACCACTTAATCTCTGTCATTAGTTGATACAGTTAGGCTTTGGGTCCCCACTCAAATCTCACCTTGAACTGTAATCCACATAATCCCCACGTGTCAAGGGAGAGACCAGGTGTAGGTAATTGAATCATGGGGGAGGTTTGCCTCATGCTGTTCTCATGATAGTAAGTTCTCACGAGATCTGATGGTTTTATAAGGAGCTCTTCCCCCTTTACTTCTCACTTCTTCCTGCCACCTTGTGAAGAAGGTGCCTTGCTTCCTCTTCACCTTCCGCCATGATTGTGAGTTTTCTTACAGCCATGCTGAACTGTACATCAATTAAATCTCTTTCCTTTATAAATTACCCAGTCTTGGGGAATAAGACCTCAGCTTATTCATAGTATCTCCTATTGTCAAATATGGTCAACAGAGCTCAGCTAGGATTAAGGTTCTCAAAGATATTGCTTCCTTGGAAGGAATGTGGATTTACACTTGTGTTTTGAGTTTGGACATTCAGGAGCTTCAATGATTTTTTCCACAGACAGGCTCTTTGGGGCCATGATTTGCATAATCGTATTGTTTTCATAGTTATCAAATTGCTATTACATTGCTATAGCCACAATTCCCCAATACCATGCTTGTCATCTACATATTAGTTGATACCTCCAAGCCACCACATGAAAATGTGAATGTGATGCTGATGCATAGCATGGATTACCAATTTCCATTTTTTCCACTGATAGGAATGTTTTCTGTTTATTTCTTGAACATGTGCAGAATCCCATTGCAGAATCTGTAGGGAAAGTCTGTTTTCTGACATCATTCCTTGTATCAATTACTGGAACAGGTAAGATCCTATCAGAAAATATATTGTCCACCTGGTCAAGGTAAATAAAAACAGTTAATATAAAGTATTTAGATAAAGGTGTGGTCATAGTGAATGGAAACACACAGAACAGAGGAAGGCACAATGGGACAAGCCATAGCAGTGAACCATTACCTAGGCCTGAAGGGGCGCGAAGATGGGGAGTTTGCTGTGACGGAGAGAATGGGTGTAGTTGTTGAAGGTGCCACTCCGTGATGTACTGGAGATGGTCATAAAGCTCACTGTGGCAGACTGCCAGCATCTCTTCCCAACTCCACAAACCATCACAGCCTATGATGTCATATTGATACTAAAATTGGTATTGACAGCTTGATATTAGTGATATTAGCTATGGTGCAATGATTTACACTACAGAATTTAGAAACTGCTAAAAACAAGCTTTTTTTTTTTTTCCTTCAGAGAGCTGATTGTTAAACATATACCTGAAGACCAATGGGACCACCCAATAGAACTTGTGGCTGTTGGTAAAAAAACAAAAGTGTGGGAGCTAACATATTAGTCATTTACTCTGCCATTCCTCACATGTCCAGCTAGTGTCCCTTATCTATTGGCAGAGCAAAATTGCAAGCCAGAAGCCAGGAGAGTCATGTAATATTGTCAATAAATGCTGGTTTCCAAGGGTGCAGAACAAGGTCAAAAAGACTAGAGAGAGACAATCTAAGTAAAACATATTTAGCACAAGTGGTTATTAAATAAACTTGTGTCAAAATGTACAGAATAAAAAAATAGTTCTTAGCAAAGGCTTCAGTTAATAAGTGACAAATGTAAAAGACATCACTTGTAAAGGCCCTTAAGTGTGACTAGCTTGGGGCTTTCCATGGACTGAGAAGGGCAGTGTGACTGTTGCACAGGGAATGAGAGAGAGAGAGAGTGAAAAGACATGAGATTAAGGAGGGTGAAATGGACTAGATAATATAGTTTTTAATAGGCCATAATAAATGATTTATTATTTCAAATAACTTTTGATATGTTATCTATATACAATACAATTCACCAATGTTAAGTTTGAAATTTGATTTTAGTAATTGTGTAAAGCCAAGTAAGATATCAAATTAATTTCTTACCTGAAAAAGTTTCCTTCGGTCCTTTGCAGTGGATTCTCTCTCCTGACTTTCATCTTAAGGCAACCAATAATTTTCTGTCACTAGATTTTTCATCTTCCAGAATTTTATATAAATAAACTTCAGTCTTTTGTATTTAACTTTTTCTCCTAGCATAATTTATATTGTGAGATTGATCTATGTTGTTGTGTATGTTAGCACTGCTGAGTAATATTTTATAGGGCAGATATATTATAATCTGTTTTTTTTTTAAATTCACCTGTTGAGGGATATTTGGGTTCCCTCCTATTTTGAGGTATAAATAATGCTGCTATAGATTCAAGTTTACAGATCTTCATGTAGATGTGTACTTTAATTCTCCTAAGTAAATAATAAGGGTATTAAATTGTTGGGTCTTGGGGTAAATGTATGTTTAACTTTTTAAATATACAGGTTTACAAAGTAGTCAAATTTTATATTCCTAACATCAATGTGTAAGTTTCATTTGTTCCACATTCTTACCAGGACTCGATATTATCAGTCTTTTTAACAAAGACTTTTGTTACTAGTAAATTTGTAGTGGCATCTTATTTTTATTTTATTTACATTTTCCTAACTGCTGATATCAAGAATTTGCCCTGGGTTTACTAAAAACTTATATGTTCTCTTGTGTTGAATACCTGTTTAAATTCTCTAATGAATTTTTAATTGAGTTGTTTCTTTTATTATTGTTAGGTAGTAAGTGCTTATTATGTAATTCTGGATACATGTTCTTCATCAGATAAATGTGTTCCCTATATTTTCTCATAGTCTGTGGTTTCTTTTTGATTTACTGAATTTCATTTTTGAAGAGTATTTTTTAATCTTAATAAAATATTTTATTAAATCTTTCATTTCATACATCACTACTTATTGTTCCATTTATTTATTTATTTCATTTTTAAATAGCTATATTGAGGTATAACACATATAATAAAGGTATGCACTTTAAGTGTAAAATTTTATGATGTATTTTGTAAATTTGCAGAGTTGTGTAACCATCTTAATCCACTTTTAGAACACTTGCTTTACTCCATAATAATTCTTTATGCTAATTTCCATTTAACCAGTATTCTTGTTCCTAGGCTAGCAGATCACTAATCTACTCTCTCTCTCTCGGTTTACCTTTTCCAGATAATTAATACAAATGGAGTCATACAATATGTGGAATTTTGTGACTGGATTCTTTTACTTAGCATATATTATTTTTAGGTTCATCCACATTGTACTCTTAGTTATATTTATCTTTTTGTTAAGTAGTATTTCATTGTATGGTGAAACTACATTTTAGAATTATTCACATGTTGATAGAATTATTCACATGTTGATTTCAGTTGTTTCTACTCACTGATTTTTATGAATAATGCTACTAAAAATTTTGTGTGCATGTATTTATTTTTACTTCTCTCAGATAGTCACCTAGGACTGGAATTCCTGGCATGATAAATTTTAAAAACCCACCAAACTATAGAAGCACACTTACATTCTTAGTTATTGGTAGTTTATGTAATATAAAGGTATTGTATTTAATCAAATAATTTTCTATATCTATTGATATGATCATATTGTTTTTTATTATCATTATGATAGATATTTATTGAATTTTAGATATTAGTCCCAATTTAATTTCCAGGGGAAATAAAAAGTACATTTGGCCATAATATATGTATACATAATTGAAAAAGTTTTGCTCATCTTTTAAGAATTTTTGAAGCCATATCATTTGCACTATTAGTTTAGCTCTCTTTTATAGTGATGTTTTTGTCTGGTTTAGCTATAAAATTTAATATTAAGATTATAAAGTCAATTTGAAAGTCTTCCTTCCTCGAATACCTTTCCTAGGTTTTTGATAGAAATTGTCAGTGAAACCACTTGGGCCTGGATATTATTTGTGGGAAAGTTTTTAATTATAAATTTATTTTTTAATTATCAGAATTATTTAATTTTGAATTATTTCTTTGGTCTTTTTTATTACATGTATTTCACTGAATTTATATAATTCAAAAAGTAGTAAAATTTATTGACTTAATGTTGGTTATAATATTTGATTCATATTCTTTTAAGATTGCAAGATCTTTTAAAGTTTGAAAGAAATTTCTTTCATTACTGACAATGATAAATTTTAAAAAATGTATTTAAAAATATTTTATCCTTTTTTCATCTTTCATTCTTTTATTCTTATCATAGGCTTATCAATACAATAAAAAATTTAAATGTCATCTCTTGATTGTATTGATTTTTCTCTATTTTCTACTTAATTGATTAATGTGTCTTAATTTATTACTTTCTTAAATTTACTCTAGGTTTATTTTGCTCTTTTTTTCTTTACTTAATCTTAACAGGAAAACTCAGATTATTAATTTTAGAGCTGTCTTCTTTTAAAAAAATTAGAATAATACATATTCTCTAGTGTTCTAGCTGCATTCTGGAAATTATCATATGTTTATTTTTATTATCATTCAATTAATAGTAATTTATCATTTTGATTTTTTCTTTGACTCATGTATTACACAGAAGTGTTTTGTTTCATTTCCAAATAGCTGGGCTCTGATATTTATGTTTTTTATTAATATCTAACTACATTTCAGTGGAATTTTAAAACATATTTTGTGTAATTTTAGTCCTTATACATTTACATAGATTGATTTCTGAAACCTGTATCATGTGTAGTTGAAAAGACATTCATTTTATCTTATCTCGGCATAGCATCTGTATCTATCTGAAGCTTAAGGTTTACATAGTATGTTTTTTCTTTCATTTATTTCCAACCTGTATATGCCTTTAATTTTAAGGTGTATTTCTTGTTGACAATAATTTTCTTTATAATTAAAAATATGCTCTGATAATCTCTTCCTTTATTCTACATGTGTAATCCATTAATATTTAATATAATGATGGGTATAGTTGGATTAGAGTTTCCCGTTTTATTTCTTTTATTCTACTTAATATTTTTTGGATTATTTAATAACTTTTAATATTCCTGTAACTATTTAATTCTGAGTTGACTTAAGAAAGAAAAAATAATAGTCAACCCAGAATGAAAATTTATGTATTATATATATCTTACATATATAATACATATATATATATGATGAAATATACACACATTGCTTGGAGGTACTGGGATGTGAACTAAAATAGGTAAACTCTGCTAAAGTGTTTATGTTTGGTGATGAAAGGGGATGAAGAGTCATGTGAGTAAGTCAGTTATGTGAGTAATATATATATAAATAAGGTGGATATGTATATACACTATGTTTCCACACATATATACACATACGTATACACTATTCACCTAATATGTATACATAGTGTGTGTATATATTCACCTTATATATATATATATATATATATATATATATATATATTTCACACAGGACTGACTGACTCACAGGACTCATCATCCCTCTTCATCACTAAACATAAACACAATACATATATATATATATTCACCTTATTTTGGTATCTATGGCTTCTAATGAGAAGTTAATCTAATTATTGTCCCGTTCTGTGTAACATGGGTTTATTTTTTGCCAATTTTAATATTTTCATTTTTCTTTGACTTTCAACATTATACTAAGCCTCAATGTGTGCACACTTGTGTTTATTTTCTCTGACATTTATTGAGATTCTTCTATTTGTAAATTTCTGTCCATCACATTTGGGAGCTTTTTGGCCATTATTTCAACTCTCTTGACTGACTAGAGTTTTGTGCCTTCACTATTCAGGTTCCTCAATCTGGAAAGACTGCTGTTCTTATTCTATTTAAGCCTGTGCTAAAATCCTTGATGGCAGAAACTTACTCACATGAATCATCCTTTCCCTTCTTCACCAAACGTAAACAAATCATCAGAGTCTGCTTGTTTAGCTCACCTGCTAGTACCTTCAAGTGATTGCTTTCTGTTTTTTATCTAAATATCTAGTGGTTTTTGTAGGTGACAAGGAGGTTATCTGGTAGGTTCATGGTCCTGCATTACTGGAAACAAAATGTCAGTTTATTTGGAAAACACGTATATTTTTACTGAAAACAATTTTTGACTTTTAAGAAGAATTTTATTATTTACCGTCTAAAAACACTCATTCTGTAAACTATGTGAATTGTGTGGCACCAAATGTGATTGGTTACAGTTTGTTCAGAAGGATAATTAAAAAATCTAGCAAGAGATAAAATGTTTTGGAGTAGGGATAAGCACTGTAGATGCTAAGACATATATTTTAGGTTAATTTGTAGGTATTTGAAATCTTTATGATAGTAAAGCCCTCACAATCATAAACTTAATATATTCCATTATTTATTTTTTGTAGCATTGTTAAATTTGCTGATAGTCTGTATGTAAGAATCAATGCAAAAGTACAATAGCATTTGGACGAGTCTCACTTTACTGGCAGGCTGGAATGCAGTGGTGCTATCTCGGCTCACTGCAACCCCCGCCTCCTGGATTCAAGCAATT